>NC_000011.10:78025392-78328423 GCF_000001405.40 Homo sapiens
GATTGTGCCCACCCAGATTAAGGGTGGGCCATCCTTTCCCAGACCACTGACTCAAATGTTAATCTCCATTGGGAACACCCTCACAGGCACACCCAGGATCAATACTTTGTGTCCTTCAATCCAATCAAGTTGACAGTCAGTATTAACCATCACATTGACCCAAGTTAAGTTTTGCTTATGTTTGCAAATCCAGCAAGGCTGAGTTCCCTTATGAGGCCTAACTAGCATTGTCTAGCCAGGGATTCTTCAGGCCTGATCTCCATTTTAATTTACTATAACAGTGGCCAGTGTAGACTATTTAGCCAGCCCAGGGCAGCTGCTTGGAGTACAAAGCATGCCCACTGGTGAAAAGAGTTAGGTATCTGTTTTGTGGGGTTGTTTTCCTAGAGTTAAAATATAACTCTAAAGGAGAGGGAGCATAATTTCCCACTCCTTAAGTGTGGGTTATGCGCCGTGACTTCTTCCAACGAGTACAATATGGGAAGGAGGAAAAAGAGAAGAAACTTTACATTGGGGAAACTGATCAATACTACTCCAGCCAGGTGACCAAAATCAGTTGCCAACAGTTATCGATCATGACAACAGTATGTGCTTGCTGTAAACCAGAAAGTATCTGAGACAAGTCTCAACCAATTTAAAAGTTTATTTTGCCAAGGTTAAGAACATGCCCACGATACAACCTCAGGATGTCCTCAGGTCATGTGCCCAAGGTGGTCAGGCTACAACTTGGTTTTATATATTCAAGGAGACATAAGACACTAGGGCCACGCATGGTGACTCACGCCTGTAATCTCACCACTTTGGGAGGCCAAGGCAAGTGGATCATTTGAAGTCAGGAATTTGAGACCAGCCTGGCCAACATGGTGAAACCCCATCTCTACTAAAAATGTAAAAATTAGCCGGGCATGGTGGTGCGTGCCTGTATCCCCGGCTAGGGCTACTAAGGAGGCTGAGGCAGGAAAATCACTTGAACCCGGGAGGCAGAGGTTGCAGCGAGCTGAGATCGCACCATTACACTCCAGCCTGGAAGATAGAGTGAGACTCCATCTCAAAAAAAAGAAAAGAAAAGAAAAGAAAAGACATCAATTGGCTAGGCATCAGTGGCTCAGTCTATAATCCCAAGGGAGTGGATCTGGGAGGCCAAGATGGGAGGATCACTTGACCCCAGGAGTTCAAGTCCAGCCTGGGCAACATGGTGAGTCCCCATGTCTACAAAAAATACAAAGCTTAGTCAGGCATGGTGACATGTGCCTGTAGTCTCAGCTACTTGGGAGGCTGAGGCAAGAGGATCTCTTGAGCCTAGGAGGTCAGGGCTGTAGTCACCTATGATCACACCACTGCACCCCAGCTTGGGCAGTGGAATGAGATCCTGTCTCAAAAAATATATATCTCTGTTGGACTAGAGATTGTAAATAAATATATAAGGCCAGGTGTAGTGGCTCACACCTGTAATCCCAGCACTTTGAGAGGCCAAGGTGGGCAGATCATTTGAGGTCAGGAGTTTGGCACTAGCCTGGCCAACATGGTAAAACCCCAATTCTACTAAAAGTACAAAAAATTAGCTGGCGTGGTGGCATGCGCCTGTAGTCCCAGCTACTCAGGAGGCTGAGGCAGGAGAATTGCTTGAACCTGGGAGGTGGAGGTTGCAGTGAGCCGAGATTATGCCACTGCACTCTAGCCTGGGCAACAGAGCGAGAATCCGTCTCAAAAAAAATTAATTAATTAATTAAAATATAATAAAAATGAAGATACCAATTAATACATGTATGACGTACACTGGTTAGGTCCGAAAAGACTGGACAGCTGGAAGGGGTTGTGGGGGCTTCCAGGTCATAAGCAGATTCAACGATTTTCTGATTCTGAGGCATGGAAACTCATGCCTGTAATCGCAGCACTTTGGGAGGCTAAGGTAGGCAGATAGCTTGAGCCCAGGAGTTGGGGACCAACCTGGGCAGCATAGCAAGACCCCATCCCTATTTTTTTTTTTTTGAGGCAGAGCCTCACTCTGTCACCAGGCTGAAGTGCAGCGGTGCAACCTCAGCTCACTACAACCTCTGCCTCCCAAGTTCAAGCAATTCTCCTGCCTCAGCCTCCCGAGTAGCTGGGATTGCAGGCATGTACCACCACAACCAGCTAATTTTTGTATTTTTAGTAGAGACGGGGTTTCACCATGTTGGCCAGGATGGTCTCGATCTCCTGACCTTGTGATCTGCCTGGCTCGGCCTCCCAAAGTGCTAGGATTACAGGCGTGAGCCACCACTCCCAGTCAGACCCTGTCTCTACTCTTAAAAAATAAAAATAAAAAAGCAAGGATTTTCTGCTTGCCAATGGGTTATTATCTAAAGACCTGAGATCAATAGAAAGGGATGTCTGGGTTACTATAAAGGGTTGCATAGACCAAGGTTTTATCATGCCGATGAAGCCTCCAGGTAGCAGGCTTCAGAGAGAATAGATTGCAAATATTTCTTATCAGACTTAAAGACTGACAGACTTTGTGCATGACTGACAGACTGTTCTGTCAGTCTTAAGGTCTCTGTTTTGATGGTAATACTGGTCAGCTGTGCCTGAATTCCAAAAGGGGGAAGGGTATAATGAGGCATGTCTGACCTCCTTCCAGTCATGGCCTGAACTAGTTTTTCAGGTTAACTTTGGAATGCCCTTGGCCAGAAGGAGGGGTCCATTCAGATGGTTGGGGGGCTGAGACTTTCATTTTTTGTTTATAGTACCGAGTATATACCCTTGATGTGATGTGAGGAAAATGATCTTCCTCCCCAAAACTCATAACCTCAGTTCAATCATGAGAAAAACATCAGAGAAATTTCAATAGAGGGACATCCTATAATATAACTGACCAGTACTCCTCAAAACTATCAAGGTCACCCAAAAGAGGAAAAATCTGAGAAACTGTCACAGTCAAGAGCATCCTAAGGGGCCAGGAGCAGTGGCTCGCGCCTGTAATCCCAGCACTTTGGGAGGCTGAGGCGGGTGGATCATGAGGTCAAGAGTTCAATACCAGCCTGGCCAGCATAGTGAAACCCCATATCTACTAAAAATACAAAAATTAGCCGGGCATGGTGGCATGCGCCTATAGTCCCAGCTACTCGGGAGGCTGAAGCAGGAGAATTGCTTGAATCCGGGAGGCGGAGGTTGCAGTGAGCCCAGATCACACCACTGCATTCCAGCTTTGGCAATAGAGCAAGTGTCCATCTCAAAAAAAAAAAAAAAAAAGCAGCCTGAGGGGACGTGACAAGTATATTGTTATGTGGAGCCAGGCATGGTGACTCACACCTGTGATCGCAGCACTTTGAAAGACCGAGATCAGCAGATCAGTTGAGCCCAGGAGTTTGAGACTAGCCTGGGAAACATGGCAAAACCCCATCTCTGCAGACAATACAAAAATTAACTGGGTATGGTGGCACACGTGTGTAGTCACAGCTATTCGGGAGGGTAAAGTAAAAGGATCACTTGATCCTAGGAGGCAAGAAGAGACAAACCAGGTTATTAAATGACATGCATAAAAATGAGGTCAGGCACAGTGGCTCAGCACTTTGGGAGGCCGAGGTGGGCAGATCACTTCAGGTCAGGAGTTCGAGACCAGCCTGACCAATATGGTGAAACCCCATCTCTACTAAAAATACAAAAATTAGCTGGGCATGGTGGTGCATGCCTGTAATCCTAGCTACTGGTGAGGCTTAGGCATGAGAATCGCTTGAACCCGGGAGGCGGAGGTTGCAGTGAGCCAAGACCATGCCACTGCACTCCAGCCTGAGCAAAAGAGCAAGACTCTGTCTCCAAAAAAAAAAAAAAAAAGAGAGATGTATGAAAACAAAACAAGGGGGTAAGGACGGCTTAGAAATCCTGAAGTCGCTGACACGCCCAGATAACTAGTGACTATAGTTACACCTGCTAAGATTTGGGTGCATGGGGCTTGGCTTTGGTTAGCTCCCTTGGTCTTATTTCACCAAAGGAAGAAACCTCCCGGTTATGGGCACCCTATTTACTGCTGTCACCTGACAGGATTTGCAGGGTAATTCCCCAGAACTAGTATATTGATCCAGATTTTCTGTTTTTACCCAGAGGTCACTGGTTGGTTCACAGGAATAAGCAGGGTTAATTTAAAATGTGGGAAAAACTTAAAAACAACTAATGAAACTGGAATGTAATGTCAAGTGTATGATAAGTTTTGAAACTTAATTTTTCTCTCTCCTGTTCTCACTTTTGTCAAAAAGAGATTATGATAGGACTGAGTTGTTTGCAAAATAAACTTTAGTCTTATGGTTGGCCTGATTATTTGCATAAAGTTCAGCCAGAATAATTATTTTTACTAGGGTTTTTTAATAGGTTTTGATGGAACTCAGTTCCACAAGGAATCTCAGACAAGACTTTTTTTTTTTCTTTTTTTTTTTTGAGACGGAGTCTCGCTCTGTCCCCCAGGCTGGAGTGCAGTAGCGCAATCTCGGCTCACTGCAAGCTCCACCTCCCAGGTTCATACCATTCTCCTGCCTCAGCCTCCCAAGTAGCTGGGACTACAGGCGCCCACCACCACGCCTGGCTAATTTTTTTTGTATTTTTTAGTAGAGACAGGGTTTCACCGTGTTAGCCAGGATGGTCTCGATCTCCTGACCTCATGATCCACCTGCCTCAGCCTCCCAAAGTGCTGGGATTACAGGTGTGAGCCATCGCGCCTGGCCTTTCTGTGAGAAAATTTCTTTAGAGCAAGAGCTCTCTCTGTCTCCATTCCTGGACAGGAATATAAAACCTGCTTGCTTCTTTTTTCCCCCCCTCCAATTGCATGTTCTTTCTTTGCCACCAATGCAAAGTAGGAAAAAAACTCAGTTTTCCAGTGACATTAGCACATTTGACCCTGGCAGTTCAAAATAGGCATTAGCACCTCCATTTTCTATATGAGGACCCCAAGGCTCCCAGAGATGAAGCACCTCTTTGAGTCAGTCAGACCAGGAGACGAGAGAGCAGGGCTCTAGTTTCGGCTCTGCCACCAGTTTGCAGTACCACCTTAGACACGTCCCTGCCCCTCTCTGGGCCTCAGTTCTCCACCTGTAATATGGTGGGGGTTTGTGTATTTTCTGAGATGGTCTCTGTGATCCTGCCTTGCTTGATGCTATGGCAACAAAAGAATTCAAACAGCCCCTTGCTATTGCCTATCACTGGATCTTGTTTCCCTTTGGCCTGACTCCAAGAGCAAGCACTGCTTCCTTCTGCCCTCCCCTCACTCACTCCCCTCTGTTCTTCAGGAGACAATGCGGCCAGCCCCTCTCCCCTCCAGGCGGCTGGGCTTTAGGCCAGCCAGCCAAATGGCAGCTGGGACTCAGATGAAAGGGCCCTCAGAAGGCTGCTTGTGGCAGAGTGCCCAGCCTAGCCCAGCCCAGGCTTGGCAGCCTGGGGCTCAGCTGTGCCACGAGGCATCCTGTCCACCCGCTCCCATACAAGGCTCCCTCTGTGAGTCCTGCAGAGAAGGAGACCCCTGCCAACCCACAAGGACCCTCTTCCCCTCCCTCTGCTCCATACCTGCTTGAGAAATATGCAAGTCTGTAGAGAATGGTCCAGGACTACATCAGATTGATCTGACTGTGCCAGGCACTTTGGAGAGCTTTATCCCATTGACTCTTCAGAATAACGCTGATAGCAAGTAATGGTTTTTTTTTTTTTTTTTTTGAGACAGAATCTCACTCTGTCACCCAGACTCTAGGCTGGAGTGCAGTGTCACTAACATAGCTAACTGAAGACTCGACATCCTGGAATCAAGCAACCCTCCTGCCTTAGCCTCCCAAGTAGCTGGGATTACCGCTAACACCCAGCTAATTTTTTTTACTTTTTTGTAGAGATGGTGTCTCACTATGTTGCCCAGACTGGTCTCAAACCCCTGAGCTCAAGCAATCTTTCTACCTTGGCCTCCCAAAGTACTGAGATTACAGGTGTGAGCCACCATACCTGCAATCTCTTTTTATTTATTTGTTTATTTTTTAAAATTTATTTTATTTTTTTTGAGACAGGGTCTTGCTCTGTTGCCCAGGCTGCAGTGCAGTGGTGTGATCTCGGCTCACTGCAACCTCCGCCTCCAGAGTTCAAGCAATTCTCCTGCCTCAGCCTCTCGAGTAGCTGGGATTATAGGCACCAGCCATCATGCCTGGCTAATTTTTGTATTTTTTTTTTTTTTAGTAGAGATGGGGTTTCACCATGTTGGCCAGGTTGGTCTCAAACTCCTGATCTCTAGCGGTCTGCCCACCTCGGCCTCTCAAAGTGCTGGGATTATAGGCGTGAGCCACAGCACCCAGCCCGTAATCCCTTTTTAGAGAGGAGGAACACATATTTGCCTACTGTGTGTCAATCATGGCACCAGGCACTGGGGAAAGAGCAGTGAACCAGGGGACAAGAGCTAACCTCAAGGGGCCCATTGTCAGCTGTAATTGAATAACCACAGAAATGAATATCTGGTTTCACAGTGTGACCAGTGCTCTGAGAAGAAAGTGGAAGAAACTATAGATATGGATAGACATGCTAAAGAGCCCATAGGTAATGGTGGATCACAGATAATGGTGGCTCACAGATAATGGTGAACCAATGTGTCCTCCTTCCCTTTGGGAAGTCCCCCACTCCACCCAGGGAATTCTTTATTTAGAAGCAAGTCCCCTGAACTCTGGGAGCCTCATATTCTTCAGTTCAAAAATGGGAGTTTTGATGCCCCTACCATTTCTGGGAGGAATCTGGGAGGCCCTGTACTGTCAGTGCCAGGCACAGGGAGGCACTGGGAGGAAGTATGGCTGGGCTTCCTTCAAACCACTCCACTTGATTGGGTCCCAGCCCCAGCAAGCTCCTTTCTGGAGGGAGCAGGCAGCCAGAGCTTCTGGATAAGGTTAGAACCTGCTCAGTTTCAGCCTTGACTGGAAGAACAGAGAGCCTGGCTGGAAGCCAGGCATTTCCCCAGTTCACCAGCTCTTGGGTCTTTTAACCCCAAAAATGCCTCTTGCAAGGCACAGGAGTCAAGATGCCCAGGCTAGGAAATGGTAGTAAAAGGTAACCTTTGTTTCACAGGCATTATCTCATTTAATCTTCACAACAACCCTATAAGGAAGACTAAAGGAAGATTAAAACCACCCCCATTTTCCAGGTGATGAAATTGAAGCTTAGAAAGCCTATTTTGCTAAACCACGATTCAAATCCAGGCATTCTGGCTTCAGGAACTGCTCTGTTGTCCACACCCTGCCCTTCCAGGCCAGGACAGTACTGCCCTACTCCCAGCCTTGCCCTCTTTCCTCCACATCTTCTCTGGGAGAACATAAAGTGATCTACTTCTTTTTTTTTTTTTTTTTTTGAGACAGCATCTCAATTTGTCACCCAGTCTGGAGTACAGTGGTGCAAAGATGGCTTAATGCAGCCTCAACCTCTCAGGCTCAACCATGTCACCCCCAACAGGTACAGCACCATGCCCAGCTAATTTTTAAATTTTTTTTATAGAGCTGGGGGTCTCACTATGTTGCCCAAGCTGGTCTCAAACTCCTAGGTTCAAATCATCCTCCCACCTTAGGCTCCCAAAGTGCTCAGATTACAGGCCTATCCCATGATGCCCAACCATAGTCTACTTCAAATCTACCACTAGGCTGCTGTCAGACCTGGGGCCTCAGTGTCCTCATCTGCAAAATGAGGAGGGAAGAGTTGGGCTTGAGTATGGTTAAGATCCCTTCCAACTCTATCAGTCTTTGTTCTTTCTAGCATAAGTGGTGTCAGCATAAGCCCTTGAAAGGCATGAGGTACCATTTCCATTCTTAGGATTAGCCCCTAGAGCACACATGTGCAAAGACACTATGTGCACAAGAATGTTCGTTGCGTCATTGTTTGCAAAAGCAAAAGACCAGAAGCAGCCTAAATGTCCATCATTTGGGGACTGGTTAAATAAGAATATATCCATATAGTAGAACACTCTTCTATTATTGAAAATGAGGTGAATCTCTGTGGCTAATATAGGAAGGTCACCAAGATAACAAAGACAGGGGCAGGGCACGGTGGCTCACGCCTGTAATCCCAGCACTTTGGGAGGCCGAGGAGGGCAGATCACTTCAGGTCAGGAGTTCAAGACCAGCCTGGCCAACATGGTGAAACCCTGTCTCTACTAAAAATACAAAAATTAGCCGGGCATGGTGGCAGGCACCTGTAGTCCCAGCTACTCAGGAAGCTGAGGCAGGAGAATCACTTGAACCCAGGAGGCAGAGGTTGCAGTGAGCTGAGATTGTACCACTGTACTCCAGCCTGGGCAACAGAGCGAGACTCCTTCTCAAAAAAAAAAAAAAAAATTAGCCAGCTGTTGTGGCACATGCCTGTAATCCTAGCTACTTGGGAGGCTGAGGCACGAGGATTGCTCGAACCAGAGGTAGAGGTTGCAATGAGCCGAGATCACACCACTGCACTACAGCTTGGGTGACAGAGTAAGACTCCATCTCAAAAAAAAAAAAAAGATAACAAAGAAAATAATAGTGTGTGTGTATGTGTGTGTGTGTATATATATATATACACACATTATATATAATACATATATGCACACCATTGCATTTGCAACGGTAATTTCTGGAAAGATATAAAGGAGACTTAGTCATCATTACCTCTGGAAAGAGGACCAGGAATACATCATGGGACAAAAATTACTTTTTTGTTTCTGAAACAGGGTCTTGCTCTGTCACCCAGGCTGGAGTGCAGTGGATGCCACACCCAGCTCTTTTATTTATTTATTTTTTTGAGACAGGGTCTCACTCTGTCACCCAGGCTGGAGTTCAGGGGCGCCACAATCACAGTTCACCACAGCCTCAACCTCCTGGACTCGAGAGATCCCCCGACCTCAGCCTCCTGAGTAGCTGGAACTACAGGTGCATAGCACCATGCCTGGCTAGTTTTTAAATTTTTTGTAGAGACGAGAACTTCCTGTGTTGCCCAGGCTGAACTCCTGGGCTCAAGCAATTCTCACTGGCTTTCCAAAATGCTGGAATTACAGGTGTGAGCCACTGTGCCTGGAGGAAAATTACTTTTCATTGTATATTATTTTATACTGTCTTAATCTTTCTCTCTCTCTCTCTCTCTCTGCCTCTCTCCTCTCTCTGTTTTTCACCCAAACACTCTGTATGGGTGTTTCTTTCTTTCTTTCTTTCTTTCAAGTCATGTGTGGAGGACAGATTGTGCGACCTGGGTTCAAGTCCTGGCCTTGACATTAACTACATGGTCTTGTACAAATCTCGTCTTTTTGCTGGGCTAAGTAATCTTTCAGGTCCCTTCAGTGCAGAGGTGGGAACGGACAGCCCACGTGTTTTCAAGACAGTCTGAGTCATCCCCAAACAGACTATAGCCAAGCAGGGGACCCTGCTCACCGCGGCCTCAGTGATCTCAATCCCTCTTGCCTGAGTTTATGGGCCATGAGCTCTCCGAGGTACACTGTAGTGAACATGTGTAACATTTCCACCCTGCTTTTATTCACTCTCCTTTGTAAAGAACAACGGCTTTGCTTCGGGGGCCACCCTCTTCTTTACTCTCTACCGCCACCATCTTGCCACCATATGTAGCCTGAGATTGAAGTTAACCTACAAAGGAACATAGAACTAAGAGTTGATGAGAACCTGATTGCCGGCTATCATTTGAGCACTGATGAAGCTCTGCCTAAGGCCCTACCCCTGGAGTTTCCGGTTAGGTGACCGAGGGTTTTTCTTTTTGACTTACGCCACTTTACAATGGGTATATCTGTCACTTCTGGCATTCTAAAGAGGCCAGTGGAAGTGGAGAGCATGCTGTAACTCTTCTACCTGTCTCTCCAGATCCACTCCAGCCTTTTCTACTCTGGGAGGCTGATCCTTTTGGGGTGCATCCACAGGCTTCCATGCACCCTGGCTTCCAACTGAGTTTGGCCAATGGGAGCTTAGCGGGAGATCAGAGGCAAGAGGAGGCAGAAGCCAGAATATTCCTTCCCGGGCCCTCTCCCTGTCGAGTTCCTATACATTGGCTGCATCCCTCTTCTGAAGGTCCCAGCCCGTGATAGCTGTCTCCACACAGCTATCATCTCAGTTCTGCTAACTGCCCCCTTCCTCACCCTGTTACTAACCC
Organism: Homo sapiens; assembly: GCF_000001405.40. Lineage (NCBI taxonomy): Eukaryota > Metazoa > Chordata > Mammalia > Primates > Hominidae > Homo > Homo sapiens. The sequence goes on from NC_000011.10 coordinate 78,035,488, forward strand.
TCAGGGTCTGCACTATCTCTTGTTACTCTCCCCAAACCCTGCCAAAGGGACTCTTTGTAAAGAGTCGCTTTATGGGCCAGGCGCGGTGGCTCACGCCTGTAATCCTAGCACTTTGGGAGGCCGAGGCGGGTGGATCACTTGAGGTCAGGAGTTCGAAACCAGCTCAGCCATCACAGTGAAACCCTTTCTCTACTAAAAATACAAAAAATTAGCTGGCCATTGTGTTGCGCACCTGTAATCCCAACTACTTGGTAGGCTGAGGCAGGAGAATCATTTGAACGCAGGAGGCAGAGGTTGCAGTGAGCTGAGATTGTGCCACCACACTCTAGCCTGGGCAACAGAGCGAGACTCCATCTCAAAAAAAAAAAAAAAAAAAAACAGTCCCTTCATGGCCGGGCACAGTGGCTCACGCCTGTAATTCCAGCACTTTGGGAGGTCAAGGGAGGCGGATCACTTGAGGTCAGGAGTTTGAGACCAGCCTGGCCAACATGGTGAAACCCCGTCTCTACTAAAATACAAAAATTAGCTGGGTGTGGTGATGGGTGCCTGTAATCCCAGCTACTTGGGAGGCTGAGGCAGGAGAATCACTTGAACCCAGGAGGAGGAGGTTGCATTGAGCAGAGATTGCACCACTGCACTCCAGCCTGCATGACAGAATGAGACTGTCTCAAAAAAAAAACAAAAGAGTCCCTTTATGAAAGTCTCCTGAAATACCCAGCTTGAGAGAGCTATCTATGTTCTGCCTGCATATCTATATGTGTTTCAAGTGTGAGTGTGAATGTGTGTGCACACATGTGCATGCATTGTGTCTATGCTGTACACTTGACAGTCTCAAACTGGGACAAGAGGGGAGCTGATTTTCACAGGTGCTCACCATGTGCCAGACTCCATGCAGGGTACTTTGTATGCACGATTGAGTTTCATCCTCACAATTCTATAAAGTGGGTATTTTTAGCCACATTTCACAAAAGATAAAACCAAGGCCCAGAGAGGTGAAGACACTCACCTAAAGTCCCACAGCTAAATAAATAGAGGAAACAGGATTCAAAACCCATATACATCTGGCTGTAAAGCCTGTGTTCTTTAGCCTCCTCCCGGCACTGCTTTCCCAAATGCCTGGCTCATTCTCATACTTTAGATCTCAGCTTAAATGTTACCTTTCCCAAGAGGCCTTCCGTGACCACTCTATTTGAAGGCTGTCATCAATGATTCTTTTTAGTAAGACATTACTTTTCCTTCAGGACATGCCTTTGTTTACTGAATGTCTGCCCCAAGCTCCATGAGGGCAGCCAGTCTCCACATCTGTGATTTTGTTCACCACTGTGATCCTGGTGCTGAGCACATGTGGCTGCTACATGCTAGGCCCCGGATAAATCGCTGCTAAGTGAAAACATGGCAAAGGAAAGGAACAGACATGTATTAATTGCCTGCCCAATGCCAGGCATTTTACACAGTTTGTCTTAGGAAGTACATGCTGTTGTCCCATTTTGCTAATGAGGAAACCAAGGCCAAAGAAGGAATATGACTTTCCCAAAGTCACGGAACCATGAGCCAGGGTTCAAAACCAGGTCCCTCTGAGCCACAGCTGTGCTCATTCCATGGTGCCCTCTGTCCCCTACTCAGGTGTCCACCACAGGATGAGAGGCAGAGGGGCCAATCAGTAAAACTCATGTGAATCATTCCTGGACAATCAGAAACTGGGGAGCAAATAGTGCCTGCTGCAACCACTCCCCCGGGGCCAGCCACTCTCAGACCTCGTGGGCACACGCCCTCCCAGCCCAGCCAGGACACATCCTCTTCCCTGTTTGCCCTCAGGCTCTAGGCCCAGCTCCACCTATTCTGTGACCTCCACAAACACTGTTTCTGGGCTCTCTTTGCAGGGCTACTTATGGCTGATAACTTGCTCTCCAAGCTCCCAAGGGCCAGCTCCAAGGCCCTGAGCACCAGGGACTGGTGCACTCCTGAGCCCTGTGAGTAGGCCAGTTCACCAGCTGGTGCCAATAAAGAAGGGACCTCCTGCTGAGCCCCCAGAACTATACTCATCCCAGGCTGGCACATGGGAGGACCTTTTCCTACCTCCTCCCTTTGCTTTCAGACCCTGCCCATGTTCCACTTTAAAATCACTGCCTCCAGCCAGCCTGGCCAAAATGGTGAAACCCCGTCTCTACTAAAAATACAAAAATTAGCCGGGTGTGGTGGTGGGTGCCTGTAATCCCAGCTGCTCGGGAGGCTGAGGCACGACAATCGCTTGAACCCGGGAGGCAGAGGTTGCAGTGAGCCAAGATCGCGCCACTGCACTCCAGCCTAGTCAACAAGAGTGAGACCCTGTTTCAAAAATAAATAAATAAAAAAAATCATTGCCTCCCTAATGGGAGGCTTCTGGGATGCTGAATAAAGTTCTTTTTCTTGAGCTAGGTGCTGGTTCCACAAGTGTGCTCACTTTGTGAATATTAACTTAGGTGCATTCCTCTGTGTGTAAGTTACATTTCAATAAAAAGTTGACCAAAAAAAAAAAAAAAAATCAGTGCTACCTGACTCTTGCCCCAGGCTTCCCCACCAGACCAGCATGGATTAAGGCACTCTGCCCCCCACACCATCCTTTCTCTCTACTTCCCCAAACATATCCAGAGGCCCTTCCCATGTAAGGGTTTCTGACTGAAAATTGGCCAGCAAAGACAGGACAGAACGAAGTAGCCAACATGGGCAGCGTCCCAAGTCTTGGGACCTCGGGTGTCCTGTTCCTGGTGGACAGCTCCTCCTGCCTTCTCTGAGACATCTTTTGAAGCCCCATAGGCCTTTCCCTGGTCCAGTTCGAGTGAGAGGTTCTCGCATCCTCTCCCTATTCTTACCCCAAACCTCTTTCTCAGGCCATGCTGATGGCCTCTGGCCTGCAGGGCCAATTTTCTGGTGCCCAGGACCACGTGCAAACAATTATTGTTTACCAACTGTCCACTGTCACTCAGAAGGGCATCTCCCATGGCCTGGACCCAGGACCTCTCCCAACTTGTCCTCCTTGGGTTCCTGGAGAGGAATCAACCGCACCCCATCTGGCTCCCCGCTCACTGGCTCCCCAGCCCAAGTGCGTAGGCCCCAGCTGGTTACCCCAAGTGAACAGCTTCTCCACCATCTCACACAGCCCAGACACCTGGACCCAAGAGAGGGGGTGACCTGCATACCTAATGGGTGGTGGCAGCAGAACTCCCCACAGCAAACACAGCAGGGGTGTCAGAGAGGGATCCTGGGGACAAGCAACAGAGGCCAATGTCACCCCCTGAAACAGAAAGAGAATTTCTTAGAAGACTATCAGTGTTCACAAAGGACGAGGACCAGGAGTTCAGAGGGCCCAGGCCAGGAGCCTGACTGGAGCCACACTGCAGAACTGGATGGCTACTGCTGCTGTGGTCACGGTCAGGCCCGGATGTACCAGGGGCTGCCAGCAAAAGAATCCCATCTCTTGCAAGGGATTCCATAGCGGGAGCAAGGGCCAGGAATTGGCGCCCTGCCTAAAACTCATGGGAATTTCCCCAGAAGGGAGAATATGGGGCTAGGAGGGAAGGAGTAGAGTCTGGACTTTAGATTACAAAAAAAAAAAAAAAAACACAAAAAAACAGGTGTCTCTGACCACAGGGTTGGGCTGAACTGAATTTCAAGAGGACCTTGAACTGGGACAGGGTTGGTGCCACCCCTACTACATATATATCCACTAACAAAACTTGAATCATGCCATTTAAAATATTTATTTAACCAGGCCAGGTGCGGCAGTTCATGCCTGTAATCCCAGCACTTTGAGAGGCCGAGGCAGGCAGACCGCTTGAGCCCAGGAGTTCAAGACCAGCCTGGAAAATGTGGAGAGATCCCATCTCTACAAAAAATACAAAAAAAATAAATAAAATTAGCCAGGTGTGGTGGTGTGCTCCTGTAATCCCAGCTACTCAGGAGGCTGAGGCGGGAGGATTGCTTGAGCCCCAGTAGTTGAGGCTGCAGTGAGCCATGATCTCACCACTGTACTCCAGCTTGGGTGACAGAGCAAGACTCTGTCTCAAAAAGAAAAAAAAAAAGAAAAGATTTATTTAAACATGTATGAGCCTGGGGCAACATGGTGAAACTTTGTCTCTACAAAAGAAAAAAAAATAGCTAGGCATGTTGATATGTGTCTGTAGCCCCAGTTAATCAGGAGACTGAGGTGGGAGGATCACTTGAGCCCAGGTGGTTGAGGCTGCAGTGAGCCAGTCTGGGAGACAGAGTGAGACCCTGTCTCAAAAAAAAAAAAAAAGTGTACTCATTTTTTCCACCTGGTATCGTGACGATTTCCCCCATATGAAGGGCTCTTCTGTACCACTTTTTAAAATGGCGACAGAGCATTGTGTTGTATGAATGTATCATAAATCTACTAAGCCACATTTTACTTCTTTCTTCTCTCCTTCCTTCTGTATTTTTTCTCTCTTTCTCTACTATAATAGTGCTGCAGTGAGCATCCTTGATAGCTAAGGCACTGTGCAAGGAGTAGGCACTTTTTTGAGCTCTTATTCAGTGTTTCCAAATTACTAAGAAAGCTGTGCCCACCATCCAGGCACACAGAGTGTGGCTGCCCTGTTTATGTTTTTGCCCCATGTTCAGAGTCTGACCTCCAACAGACTTCCGGGGCTGCAGGCAAGGGCTGAAACCAGAGCTGGCCGCTGGCCAGGAGCTGAGAACCAAGCCAAGGCTGCCCCCGTTTCCCGTGTCATGTCTTCCTGGAATCTGAAGTACGGGCATTTTTTCTGGCTGATTCAAAGTACCCTCAGAAACTCACTTCCTGCTCCATGTTCTTTTTCCTTTCTCCTGTCTTCTCCTTCTCTCTTCCTTGTCTCTTTTCTTTCTTTCTTTCTTCTTTTTTTCCTTTCTGTTTCCTCTTTCTCCCTCCACTTCTTCCTGTGTCTCTTCTCTCTTTAACTCTGCTCCTCTTTCTCTCTGGCTCTTTTCTCTTTGTGTGTCTCTCTGCTGTTTTCTTCCTCTTTTGCCTTCTTTCTGCACCTTTTAATTTTCTCCGCCTGGAATCCAGCCTCATTTCTGTGTCTTTTCTCTGTCTCTTCGGTGGCTGTCTGTCCTCCATCCACCACTCCTGTTCTGTGAGTCATCCCTTCCCCAGGGAGAGAAGGCAACCAACATTCTCCTTGCTAGGCCTTGATTTTTTATTTTATTTTATTATTTTTTTTTTTTTGAGATGGAGTTTCACTCTTGGCCCCCAGTCTGCAGTGCAATGGCGTGATCTTGGCTCACTGCAACCTCCGCCTTCCGGGTTCAAGCAATTCTTCTGCCTCAGCCTCCCAGTAGCTAGGACTACAGGTACGCATCACCACGCCCGGCTGATTTTTGTATTTTTAGTAGAAATGGGGTTTCACCATGTTGGCCAAGCTGGTCTCCAACTCCTGACCTCAGGTGACCCGCCCGCCTCAACCTCCTGAAGTGCTGGGATTATAGGTGTGAGCCACCGCGCCCGGCCACTAGGACTTAATTTGAATGGAAGGTGATTTTGCCTCTCACAAAGGACAAAGCTAACAGATCTCCGAAGTGGGAGTTGCCTGGTAAGCCAGGTTGACCCAGGCACTCTGGGCTTCAAGGATTGGGAGACACACAGTCTGTCAAGCTTCCATTAGAGGCTCTATCACCCCAGGGGCCAGCACACTGGGTCTGATGACTCACCAGGGCGGCACTGGCGCAGTGGCAGCAGGATGTAGGTAGGGGCACTGGAGTTTATGATGTTGCTGCAGGGAGCAAACCTACTGTGTGTGGGTGGGCTCAGGGCTGGATGCTGGAGACCCAAGAACACAGCAGACCCAGTCTGCATGAAACTGAGAGACTGGACTAGCTGGATTTCCTAGGCCGACTAAGAATCCCTAAGCCTAGCTGGGAAGGTGACCGCTTCCACCTTTAAACACAGGGCTTACAACTTAGCTCACATGGGACCAATCAGATAGTAAGGAGAGCTCACTAAAATGCTAATTAGGCAACAACAGGAGGTAAAGAAATAGCCAATCATCTGTTGCCTGAGAGCACAGCGGGAGGGACGATGATCAGGATATAAACCCAGGCACTGGAGCCGGCAATGGCAACCCCCTTTGGGTCCCCTCCCTTTGTATGGGAGCTCTGTTTTCACGCTATTTCACTCTATTAAATCTTGCAACTGCACTCTTCTGGTCCATGTTTGTTACGGCTCGAGCTGAGCTTTCGCTCACCATCCACCACTGCTGTTTGCCACTGACTCCCATCCCTCCGGATCTGGCAGGGTGTCCTCTGTGCTCCTGATCCAGCGAGACTCCCGTTGCCACTCCCAATCGTGCTAAAGGCTTGCCATTGTTCCTGCACAGCTAAGTGCCTTGGTTCATCCTAATCGAGCTGAACACTAGTCACTGGGTTCCACGGTTCTCTTCCGTGACCCACGGCTTCTACTAGAGCTATAACACTCACCGCATGGCCCAAGATTCCATTCCTTGGAATCCGTGAGGCCAAGAAAGGCTTGCCACCATCTTGGAAGTGGCCTGCCACCATCTTGGAAGTAGCTCGCCACCATCTTGGGAGCTCTGTGAGCAAGGACCCCTGGTAAAAAAAACCACCTTCACAAAATTATCACAGTGAGAGGAATCTGACATGGCTGACTCCATCTTGCTTCTGGTGTCACAGGCTGACTGTCTTTGCTCATTCCTGGGCATATGCCAAGCTAACTTTGGGAGAAATTTCGTTCATAGTTTAAATGATAATGGCTGGACACGGTGGCTTACTCCTGTAATCCCAGCACTTTGGGAGGCCAAGCGGGATGGATCACTTGAGGTCAGGAATTCCAGATCAGCCTTGTCAACATGGTGAAAACCCATCTCTATTAAAAATACAAGAATTAGCCAGGCGTGGTGGCGCATGTCTATAGTCCCAGCTACTCAGGAGCCTGAGGCACGAGAATTGCTTGAACCTGGGAGGCGGAGGTTGCAGTGAGCCAAGATCCCACCGCTACACTGCAGCCTAGGCAACAGAGTGAGACTATCTCAAAAAGAAAAAAAAAAATAGAAGAAAGAGAAAAGAAAAATCCCTAACCTATGCGCTTTGAACGAGATTGATTTGAGTAATAACTCCATCTCCTACGTGGCATGGCCACCTTCGTGTTGAAGCAGCATCATTGTCTGGGGTAAATATCTGAGGTTCATTGCCTCATGCCAAGGAAATCAAGGACACGGACTCACACAAGGAGTGAGTTTAAGAGAGAAGTTTAATAGGCAAGAGAAAGGGAAAAGTTCTCTCTCCTGCAGAGAGAAAGGCTCCCGAGTGGGTCTTCTGGTTCTGTGGTGAAATGCATGGGGTTTTCTAGACGAGTTTGAGGAGGTGGTGTCTGATTTACATAGGGCACAAAAGATTGGTCAGACCCGGTGTGCCATTTATATAGCTTGCGAAGAAGCTGGCCACCCCACCCTAATTTTTCATTATGCAAATGATTTCCCTACCTGGCCGGTGCCATGTTGCCTGCTTCTTTACTGCACACATGGTTGACAAAGACAAGGGAAGAGGGGCTGGGCACCGTGGCTCACACCTGTAATCCCTGCCTTGGCCTCCCAAAGTGCTGGGATTACAAGTGATCCACCTGCCTTGGCCTCCCAAAGTGCTGGGATTACAGGAGTGAGCCACCGCACTTGGCCTCTGTTACACTTTTAAATGCACACACCCTATGTTCCAGCAGCCCAACCCCTGGCATTTTCTTCTACCAAAATACTCTCATGTGTACTATGTAGTAAGATATTTGTTGCAATGTTGCTTGTATTATCCACAAAATAGGAATATACTCAATATCCATTCATTAGAATGGTTAGATAAAATGATGATGTCTCTTGCTATGGAATAACTGTCATCGCTAAAAAAGAATGAGGTATTCAGATAAACCAAAAGTAGGTTAGTAGTGCTAGGATGACAGGTGTGAGCCACTGCACCCAGCCTGTGTGTGCTTTTCGTATGAAACAATTAAACATACTCAATAAAACAAATACCATCCTTGCTTGCAAAGAGCTCAGAATCAAGTGAGGGGATAGACTGAGACAGAGGGAATGCCAACAGAATCCTTCGTGACAGGGCTGGCACAAGCACAGTGGAGGGGCCCCCTGAACCAGCTCGTGGGGTGTCAGGGAAGGCCTCCTGGAGCAGGTGACATTTTGACTCGGGTCTTCTAAGACCAAAAGGTGTTGGTCAAGTGGAGAAGCAGGGGCAGGATTCTTCTGGTGGAAGGTGAGGCAAAGTGGTGCAGCCCACATGCAGCTGACAGAGAAGGAAGGGTTTCACTCAGGGAACTGATGGCAGCTTTGTCTTGGGTGGATCCTCTGAGGAAGTCTCTTCTGGCTCGAGGTGACAGACACCCTGAATAGCTCTTAGGGAAAGTCTGGAAACTAATACAATGTAAATGAAGACTTTCCAGTAGGCTCAGAATTTCAGCTGAGGCCCCAAAGGCAGAAACAAGGCCAGAGTTGCTGATCCTAAAGTGAAGCTGGACCACCCACCTAGGATTCCCCAGAAGGGAGAACAGAGTTAAAACCCACCTCTTCACCTACTTCCTGACCACAAAGAGAGGCGACATCCCCAGAAGCTGGAGGGGAAATTTCTCTGGACAGAGTTGTCAACGTGCTCCCTCAGCCTGTTCCCCAGCCCACACCCCAAAACAGGGAGTAGAGGGCGCTGCTCTCCCTCACCTCTAACCAGGTGAGCGAGGCTTTAGGAGAACTATCTGGGGAGTCTTGGAGGTGGAGACTCTGGGGTCTGGAATCTGCCTGGCACCTAGCAGGGTGTGGAGGGGCTGCTAGGAAGGGGCTGCACTGCCAGCTGTGTGCTTCCTGTGACCCACATGTGGACCCCGCAGAAAAATCTTCCTGAAAAGGACCTGGTGGAAGAGAGCTTCTATCTAGGGGTGAGGGGACTCCGGCAGAATGAGACTGGAGGTGTGAGGAGGGTTGTAGTAGCTGAGGGGCAGTAAGTGAGTATAACCCCCAGTAGGTTCTTCCGCCCACTGCACAGACAAAACCAATTCACTGAGACCACGCAGCATTGTAATAAAGATATAGTTTAATTGCCACAAGGCCAGCCATGCCGCACAGGAGACGGAGTTATTTCTCAAATTGTTAGCAGTAGTGAATCTGTACGGGTCTGTAGTAACCTCCATTCTTGCCTCCTCAGAGGAAAGAATTAGTCGGAGGGGCATAAGGCAGAGGGAGTGACCAAGGCAAGTTTTAGAGCAGGAGTGAAAGTTTATTAAAAAGTTTTAGAGCAGGAACAAAAGGAAGTAAAGTACACTTGGAAGAGGACCAAGCAGGTGACTTGAGAGATCCTTGTCCGGTTTGACATTGGACTTGGAGCTTTACACCTTGGCATGCTTCCGGGGTTTTGCGCCTCCCCTCCCTTGATATTTCCTTGGTGTGGGCTGTCCACATGCACAGTGGCCTGCCAGCACTTGGGAGGGGCCCGCATGTGTAGTATGTTTACTGAAATTGTTCACATGCTCATTTCAGGCATTTTTCTCTTACCAGTCAAGTGTTCCTAGAGGAAGGTCACACACAAGTTAAGCTGTGCCATTTTGCCTCGTAGGTGTGAATGCTCAAGCCCACTCACCCAACTCCTGAGATCTTTTTTTGAGACAGGGTCTCACTTTGTCACCCAGGCTGGAGGGCAATGGCACAAACACAGCCCACTGCAGCCTTGACCTCCCAGGCTCAAGCAATCCTCTTGCCTCCGCCCTCAAGTAGCTGGGACTACCAACACATGTCACCACGCCCAGCTAATTTTTTTGTATTTTTTGTAGAGACAAGGTTTGCCATGTTGCCCAGAGTGGTCTTGAACTCCTGAGCTCAAGCAATTGCCTGCCTTGGCCTCCCAAAGTACCAGTCTTAGGTTCTACGATAGTGATGTTATCTGCAGGAGTAATTGGGGAAGTTGCATATCTTCCCTCTGCCTCTGGAATAATGGTTGGCAATCGTTTATGTCTGCACCTTAGCAGAACTCAGGCTCAACATCCTCCTGACCTGGTTGGTCTTTCATTAGCTTTACAAAGGCAGTTGAGTTTTGGAGAAGGGCTGCTATCATTTAAACTATAAACTAAATGTCTTCCAAAGTTAGCTTGGCCTAAACCCAGGAGTGACCAAAGGCAGTTTGGAGGTTAAAGGCAAGATGAGGGTTGGTTAGATCAGATGTCTTTTGCGGCCCTAATTTTCTCACTGTTATAGTTTTTTCAAAGGCAGTTTCATAAGCAGCCCTGGGGGAGACAGCCCCTCTTTATAAGGGTACTACTGAGGAGAGATGTGAGGGTTTTCATAACGCCCGTCAAAGTGCTCCCAAAAGCCCAGAGTACTCAGGTCCTCCTCAGACGTTGCTGCCCCTACCGCTTCTCCCCCACCCCACCCAGGAAGAGTCCGAGGCAGCCTGTGTAGGGGCAGGAGGAGCAGAAGAGCTGGGTGAGGACGCAGGGAGGCTGCCGGTCCTCTCCCCAGTCAGCAGGTGTCCCAGTTAGAGGCAGCCTCAGGAGGGGAGCGTTTGCCAGAATAATGGCCTGCACTTAGACACAAGCTGGAATTACCTGACAGTAAACCGGGGAGGACTCCGAGAAAAGCGAGTGATCTGCCGAGATTTCCCCCAGAAACAGCAAAAAAGGAGTCCACAGAATCAGTTCGCAAGGGCAGGAGCAGGAAAGAAAGAGATCGGCTCAGTGCTTTTCCCTGCTAAGTCAAGCCCCTTTAGTAAACCAGCTACAGAACATCGACGCTGTCTATGTGGTGAGGGTGTCTTGGAAAGATGAGAGGATTTGACAATTGTGAGCCGGAAAGCTCGCGTGTTGGCGGGAGGCCAGGGTCCCCGCCACTCCAGGCCTGGGCCTGCCCGGCAGCGCCCTCTGCTGGCCGGAGCCGCGACGGCGGGGGCCCCGCCTGAACCGGAGCCCTGAGCCTGGGGCTGGGAGTCCAACCTTCCCAGAGTTTGCAGTTCTTTGGGGACAGGCATACATGCATGGATTGAGCCACCCACGATAAGAGGCGCACCTTGCAATGAGAGGAGAGCCTATCCTAAAGGGGAAGGGGGCTGATCTGGCGAAAATGTCAGCGCGGGGGCTGAGGCTGGACTTAAGGGGGCGAGGTTAGGAAGAGGTGAGCAAAGATTTGGAAGTTATGGTGGAGTTTGGGAGAGAGTGCAGGCATGCTGGAGAATCATCAGTATATATGTATGTATGTATCTTGCTATTTCATGCCTCTGAACTTTTGCTGAGGCTTGCATTTATTCCTAGAAAACATTTCTCACTTTTCCTTTTCTGTTGTTATAAGTACTTAATCTATTCAAAAATATTAGATGATGAATATATAAATATTCATGTAGCCATTACTAAGCTTGGGAAATAAGACCTAATGAATATAAAGTACTCATGTACGCTTCCTTTTTTCCCCTCCCTCCACCCAGATGGCTCCTTCAATTTGCTTTTTCATTCCAACGTTTAAGTTTGTGTTTACTACCTGTGTAGGTATAAAGAATATACAGATACATGAAATCATAATTTTGGGGGTTTTTTTGAGACAGCGCATTGCTCTGTAGCCCAGGCTGGAGTGCTGTGGCAATGATCACGGCTAACTGCAGCCTTGACCTCCTGGGCACAAGCAATCCTCCTGCCTCAGCCTCTTGAGTAGCTGGGACCATAGGCGCATGCCACCACACCCAGCTAACTTAAATTTTTTGTAGAGATGGGGTCTCTTTATGCTGCCCAGGTTGCAAAAATATTTTTTAGTAGAGATGGGGCCTCTCACTATGTCACCCATCTTGGTGTCAGACTCGTGGCCTCAAGCAATCCTCCTACCCAGGCCTCCCAAAGTGCTAGGATTACAGCCCACCATACCCAGCCAGAAAAATTTTAATAGGTATATATTTTATTAAATATACTATATCCTGGCCAGGCACGGTGGCTCATGGCTGTAATCCTAGCACTTTTGGAGGCTGAGGTAGGGGCATCACTTGAGGCCAGGAGTTCAAGACCAGCCTGGACAATGTGACGAAACTTATATTTCTTTTTTTTTTTTTTTTTTTGAGACAGAGTCTCGCTCTGTTGCCCAGGCTGGAGTGCAGTGGCACAATCTCAGCTCACTGCAAGCTCCGCCTCCTGGGTTCACGCCATTCTCCTGCCTCAACCTCCCGAGTAGCTAAGACTACAGGCGCCTGCCACCACACCTGGCTAATTTTTTGTATTTTTAGTAGAGACGGGGTTTCACGATGTTAGCCAGGATGGTCTCGATCTTCTGACCTCATGATCCACCTGCCTCGGCCTCCCAAAGTGCTGGGATTACAGGCGTGAGCCACTGTGCCCAGCCAAATTATATTTCTTGTCTCTACAAGAAATAAAAAAATTAGCTGGACTTGGTGGCACATGCCGGTAGTCCCAGCTACTCGGGAAGGCTGAGGTGGGAGAATCCTTTGAGCCTGGGAAGTTGAGGCTACAGCAAGCCGTGATTATGCCACTGTACTCCAGCCTGGGTGACAGAGTGAGATCTTGACTCAAAAAAAACAAAACAGGCCAGGTGCAGTGGCTCATGACTATAATCCCAACACTTTGGGAGGCCGAGGCAGGCAGATCACCTGAGGTCAGGAGTTCCAGACCAGCCTGACCAACATGGTGAAACCCCGTCTCTACTAAAAATACAAAAATTAGCTGGGTGTGATGGCTCACGCCTGTAATCCTAGCTACTCGGGAGGCTGAGGCAGGAGAATCACTTGAACCTAGGAGGCAGAGGTTGCAGTGAGCTGAGATTGCACCACTGCACTCCAGCCTGGGCGACAGAGTGAGACTCCGTTTCAAAACCAAAAACAAACAAAAAAATAAAATAATAAAATAAAAACAAAACAAAAATACAAGGCACCAAAGCAATGTAACAGGCGCCTGCAGTCTGAGCTAATGAGGAAGCTGAAGTGGGAGGATGGTTTGAGCCTTGGAGCTCGAGACCGGCCTAGGCAACATCGCGAGACTTCATCTCAAAAAAGAAAGAAAAAAAATACCATGGCATATAAAAACAAAATTGAAAGGGATGAGTGTAATAGGCACAATAATGGCCCCCAAAGATGCCACCTTCCTAATTCCTGAACCTGTAAATGTTAGGTTACATGGCAAAGGGAAATTAAGGGGGCAGATGGAGTTAAGATTGCTAATCAGCTGACCTTAAGATGGAAAGATTATCCTGAATTATCCAGCAGTACCCAATGTAACTGGAAGAGGGAGAACCAGAGAGGCAGCATGAAAAGGTGTTCCTGGCTTTGAACACAGAGGAAAAGATTACAAGCCAAAGAGTGCGGGCAGCCTCTAGGAGCCAGAAAAGACAAGGAACGAATTCTCCCCAGAGCCTCCAGAAAGGAGGGCAGCCCTGCTGACCCCTTGATTTTACGCTGGTGAGACCCATGTTGGACTTCTGACCTCCAGGATTATAAGGTAATAAGTGTCTGTTGCTTTAAGCCCCTAGGTTTGTGTTCATCTGTTACAACAGCAATACAAAATTAATACAAGGAGCGTGACCGGCAGCGAATCCGTATGGGTCTGCCGCAACCTCAGTTCTTGCCTCCTCAGCAGAAAGAATTCGACTGAGGCACATAAGGCAGAAGGAGAAACCGAGACAAGTCTTAGAGCAGGAGTGAAAGTTTATTAAAAGCTTTAGAGCAGGAAAGGAAAGAAAGTACACTTGGGGCTGAGTGTGGTTGCTCACGCCTGTAATCCCAGCACTTTGGGAGGCTGAAGCGGGTAGATCACGTGAGGTTAGGAGTTCAAGACCAACCTGGCCAACATAGTGAAACCCAGTCTCTAATAAAAACACAAAAATCAACCGGGTGTGGTGGCATGTGCCTGTAATCCCAGCTACTCGGGAGGCTGAGGCAGGATAATCGCCTGAACCTAGGAGGCAGAGGTTGCAGTGAGCCGAGATCGTGCCACTGTACTCCAGCCTGGGTGACAGAGCGAAACTCTGTTGCAAAAAAAAAAAAAAAAAAAAAAGAAAGTACACTTGGAAGAGGGTCAAGCCAATGACTTGAAAGCCAAGCCAAGTGCACTGTTTAACCTTTTGACTTGGGGATTTATACATTGGCAAACTTCTGGGGTCTTGTGTCCCTTCTCCCCCTATTCTTCCCTTGGGGCTGGCTACCGGCATGTGCAGAGGCCTGCTAGTGCTTGGGAGGGGAGCATGCGCAGTGTGTTTCCTGGAGTTGTGCACTGCTCACTCAAGGCATTCTTCCCTTACCAGTCAAACGTCCCTAGGAGGTCATTTACCAGTTAAACTCCACCATTTTGCCTCTTAGTATGCATGTGGGGGCCTACTTGCCCAGTTCCTGAGATCTTATTACCAGTTTCAGGTTTTTCTTATCTACTGGGAGACTGCCGGTCCCTGATGCCAGATGCAACCAATTATTATTTTAGCGTAACAGCTTAACAACCACTTGACCCTCACCTGATGGTCACCTGACTTTCCTGGTTGAGAGGTGGGGCCTCTCCTGCCCTGCTCATGTCTGACCAGCTATCTACTGTAACAGTCACGGAAGGTGTTTGAGTGAGGGATGGATGGGGGGTTCTTCTTGTACTGCAGAAGGATTGGTTGTGAAGGGAGGCATCATGGAGATGCCAGAATGGGAGCCCGTCACTGTGAACCTGGCTGGAAAGGGGAAAAGGGGAAGACACCCCCAAAGGATGGCAGCAGGTGGATTCAGAGCTGGAACCTCAGAAGGCCGGGAAGAATGGCGTTCACTGGCTGAGTTTTGTGGATGAACTCGTGGATCTTGACGCATGTCTCCTCCTTCTCTAGCAAAGCCCCCTCGCAGCACCTGTGCAGAGCGGGGAGTGGGTCCTCAAACACTTCCTGGACTCTGGCCTGGGTCCCAGACTGGGGGCCAGCACTGTAGGCAGACCAAGAGCTGGCCCGAGGGAGGGAGACTCCGGAGCTCCTCTGACAGGGCCTGGCCGTGGCAGAAGGAGGTAGCTGAGCTTGCTGGAGTCCAGGGGTTGGCAATGGCAGCCTCCCTGCTGAGCGCCCTCTGTGGCCAGCACTTCCTTGGGGAAAACTCAGCAAAAATCTATTGGTTGAGAAAATGGAGGCAGGAGAGAAGCACACCACGGGTAGACAGACCCCACAGTCTTCATTCATTCATCCTTTCAGTCAGCAAACTAAGGACACTTTCCTAAGCTCCTTGGGTATAGTAGTCAAAATGAAGAGTCAAGGCTTGGTTCTTAGGCTGAGCACAGTGGCTCACTCCTGTAATCCTAGCACTTTGGGAGGCCGAGGCGGGAGGATTGCTTGAGATCAAGAGTTCAAGACCAACCCAGACAGCATAGCGAGACCCCTGTCTCTAAAAAAAAATAAAAATAAGACCTGGTTCTTGCCCTCCAGGGGCTCCCAGATAGGAAAGAGAGAGAGAGACATGTTTTGGTATGAGTCTAGTCGCAGAATTTTGGAGTCCAAAGCCTTATAGTACATGATACCTGTGGATTGAGGGCTGGAGCCCCAGAAGGCCAGGAAGAATGGGAAGGCCGGGAAGAAGTCCTCCCAGGGGAAGGAACAAAGCATGACTGGAAATATAAGTTGGAGTCTCAGTTTCCTCATTGGTGAATTGTAGGGGTTGGGTTGCTGGATTACTGTGGAGCCTTGGAGTTCTGACAACTCAGACATTTGAGATTGGCTGATGAGGGGGTGCTTTGTTGACATCGCCCCTCTCTCTACCTCTCAGCAAACCTAGAAGGCCTTAGGCTGGCCCCCAGGGCTAGTTGCATCAGCTAGAGGAAGGGCTGTGTTTTCCCAGAACTGGGGGAGGGGTGTGACAGGGGGGAAGTTGGGGGTGGGGCTGGACGGGAAGACCTGCCCCTGCTCCTGGTCCACTCTGGTCAGCCCTTCATAAGGTGCCTTTGTAACAGTAGAGTTCGCAGCAGATTCTCCGAACAGCAGAGATATTCCAGAGTAAGCAGGAAAGGTCTGGGCCTCTTAGCATGACTTAAGGACTCCAGAGAAGGGGCCCCACCACTCCCTCAAATAAATAGCTTTCCTTAGCTGGTTGTTTGGCTCATCATGCCTCAAAACCCTCCATTCAGAGGAACTGTGTTTTTTCAGCTTGGAAGATCCTGCACTTTCCAGATAGGAGACTGAGGCCTACAAAGGCAGACTGACTTGCTTAAGATCATGTCCAAGTTAGTTCTGTCCTTTTATTTTTTATTTATTTTTTTGAGACAAGGTTTCACTCTGTCATCCAGGCTGGAATGCAGTGGCAAAATCATGACTCACTGAAGCCTCAACCTCCTGGGCTCAAGCAATCCTCCCACCTCAGGTTCCTGGGTAGCTGAGACTACAGGCGAGTGCCACCATGCCAGGCTAATTTTTATTTTATTATTATTATTATTATTTGAGACAAGTCTTGCTCTGTCGCCCAGGCTGGAGTGCAGTAGTGCAATCTCAGCTCACTGCAGCCTCCACCTCCCGGGCTCAAGCAATTCTCCTACTTCAGCCTCCCAAGTAGCTGGGACTACAGGCATGCACCTCCACCCTCAGTTAATTTTTGTATTTTTTGTAGAGACAGGGTTTCACCATGTTGCGCAGGCTCGTCTTGAACTCCTGGACTCAAGTGATCCACCTGCCTCAGCCTCTCAAAGTGTTGGGATTACAGGCATAAGCCACTGCGCCTGGCTCAAATTTTTTTTTTGTAGAGGCAAAGTCTCACTATGTTGCCCAGGCTGGTCTCAAACTCCTGGGCTCAAGCAATCCTCCTGCCTTGGCCTCCCAAAGTGCTGAGATTACAGGCGTGAGCCACTGTGCCGGCCAGTTTTTTTTTGTTTTGTTTTGTTTTGTTTTTTGAGATGGAGTCTCACTCTGTTGCCCAGGCTGGAATTCAGTGGTGCGATCTCAACTCACTGCAACCTCTGCCTCCCTGGTTCAAGCAATTCTCTTGCCTCAGCCTCCCAAGTAACTGGGATTACAGGTGCGTGCCACCATGCCAGGCTAATTTTTGGATTTTTAGTAGAGACGGGGTTTCACCATGTTGGCCAGGCTGGTCTTGAACTCCTGGCCTCAAGTGATCTGCCCGCCTCAGCCTCTCAAAGTGTTGGGATTACAGGCGTGAGCCACTGTGCTGGCCAGTTGTATCTTTAAGGAGAATATTTTGTGATCAGTAGCACTTGCTCTTCCCTCTACCTGGATAGCAGATCTTCCAAAAGCTGAGAACATTCAGGTCTTAGCACAGCTGTTTCTTCTTCCTGGGCATAATAACCATGTTTGGAATTGGGCATCTTCAGAGGATCTTGTTGAAATGCAGTTCCAATTCAGTAGGTCCTGGCTGGGGCCTGAGAATCTGCATTCATGATGAGCTCTGGGGTAACTTGATGGATGGGGCTGGTCTGCAGATAACAGTGAGTAGTAAGGTTTGTTACCTTCTTTTCTTCTTCTTCTTCTTTTTTTTTTTTTTTTGAGATGGAGTCTTGCTCTGTCGCCCAGGCTGGAGTGCAGTGGTGCAATCTCAGCTCATTGTAACCTCTACCGGGTTCAAGTGATTCCCCTGCCTCAGCCTCCCGAGTAGCTGGGATTCCAGGCGCCCACCACGATGCACAGCTAATTTTTTTTGTGTGTGTATTTTTAGTAGAGATGGGGTTTCACCATGTTGACCGGGCTGGTCTCGAACTCCTGACCTCAAGTGATCCACCTGTGCTGGGTGTGAGCCACTGCACCTGGCCTCGTTACCTTATTTTCTTCCTAGTACAAGTCACAATGTGATGTTAACCATATTGATCTGTGCATTGTTGGTCATTGCTCTCTTCCAACTAGTTATAAGCTGCCCTGAGTGCAGGGACCATGCCTACCTCATGTCCTGTTATATCCCCAGGCCCAGCAGAGTGTTGGCACATAGTGGGCTCCCAATACAAGAACTCCCCTGAGGGACAAAGCAGAGGGTTGAAGCACACAACAGGGGTTGAGTGCCTGGGGACAGGAGTGGGGCAGATCATGAAAATAAGGCTCCTGTTTTTCTTCTCTTTTTTTTTTTTTGAGATGGAGTTTCGCTCTTGTTGCCAAGGCTGGAGTGTAATGGCACGATCTCGGCTCACTGCAACCTCGGCCTCCCAGGTTCAGGCGATTCTTCTGCCTCAGCCTCCCGAGTAGCTGGGATTACAGGCATGCGCCACCACGCCCAGCTAATTTTGTATTTTTAGTAGAGACGGGGTTTCTCCATGTTGGTCGCGAACTCCCGACCTCAGGTGATCTGCCCGCCTCGGCCTCCTAAAGTGCTGGGATGACAGGCGTAAGCCACCGCATCCAGCTTGTTCTTTTTTTTCTTAAGAGACAAAGTCTCACACTGTCGCCCAGGCTGAGTGCAGTGGCGTGATCATAGCTCACAGCAGTCTCAACCTCCCAGACTCAAGTGATCCTCCCGCTCCAGCCTCCCAAACAGGTGGGACTACAGGCATGTGCACCACACCTGGCAAATTGTGTTTATTTTTTGTAGAAAGGAGGTCTTGCCTATATTGCCCAAGCTGGTCTCAAACTCCTGGGCTGAAGCAGTGCTCCTGCCTCAGTCTCCCAAAGTACTTGGATTATAGGCGTGCACCCAGCCAGCCCCTGATTCTTTAAAAATCTTTAAATATATATAATATATGTATAATATAGCTTATATATGTATTATATATATAAATTATATGTGTATTATATATATATAAAAATACATATATATAAAATTATTTTTTTTTAAGAGACAAGGTCTCACTATATTGCTCAGGCTGGTCTCAAACTCTTGGGCTCAAGCAGTCCTCCCGCCTCAGCCTCCCAAAGTCTGAGATTACAGGTGTGAGCCACGGCACCTGGCCAGCTCCTGATGCTTGACCCCAGTAGTTCTGGACTGGTGTGACAAGGCAAAGAAAAACAGCCTGAAGCCCATAGCTATCAGGTGATGTGTGTATATATATAAATCATTTTTTAGGCCAGGCATGGTGGCTCATGCCTGTAATCCCAGCTTTGGGAGGCCAAGGTGGGCAGATCACCTGAGGTTAGGAGTTCGAGACGAGCCTGGCCAATATGGCGAAACTCCATCTCTACTAAAAACACAAACTTTAGCCGAGCATGGTGGTGAATGCCTGTAATCCCAGCTACTAGGGAGGCTGAGGCATGAGAATTGCTTGAACCCAGGAGGCGGAGGTTGCAGTGAGCCAAGATCGCACCACTGCACTCCAGCCTGGGCAACAGAGTGAGACTCTGTCTCAAAAATAAAAAAAAAGATATTTTATTGGCTACATTTATGAAATTGTCTCCCAGGCAGGAGAATCACTTGAGCTCAGGAGTTCAAGACCAGCCTGGGCAACATGGTGAAACCCTATATCTACAAAACATACAAAAAATTAGCCAGGCGTGGTGGTGGGTGCCTGTAGTCCCTGCTACTTGGGAGGCTGAGGTAGGAGAATCTCTTGAACCCAGGTGGCGGAGGTTGCAGTGAGCTGAGATCACATCACTGCACTCCAGCCTGTGCAACAGAGCAAGACTCTGTCTCAAAAAAATTTTTTTAAATCACTTGTTAAACTTGGAAGCTTTTCCCAACCTTGGCTGAATTCATTCTGTAGCTTCCTGGGGTCAAGCCCAGCCAGGGTTACTTAGGATTTGGCAGCCTCAGGCACCACTTGTTCATCTTGCCCCTTGCACCACATTCCCACACTGTTCCCAGCCTGTCCCTTGAGAGCGTTGACCCCAGTCCATCTGCGGCCAGTTCAGTTTGCCCAGCTTGGGGCATCCAGATCATCCAGATACTCTGGGGGTGAGGCCATAGGCAACGCTGCCAAACCCATTCTAGTAAGCACCTCATTCAGCCTCAGTTTCCCTGCAAGAGGGCGGGAGGGAAGACTTAAGAAACTGAATGAAGCCTGAGGTCTAGTCCAGGCTACTTCCCTTCTGTTACTTCCCTTCCCTTCTTTGCTGGAATTTTCTTTTCTTTTCTTTCTTTCTTTTTTTTTTTTTTTCTGAGACAGGGTCTTGATCTGTCACCCAGGCTGGAGTGCAGTGGTGCAGTCTTGGCTCACTGCAACCTTCACCTCCTGGGTTCAAGCAATCCTCCCACCTCAGCCTCCTGAGTAGCTGGGATTACAGGTGGCACCACAACACCCAGCTAATTTTTTTTTTTTTTTTTGAGACAGAGTCTCGCTCTGTCATGCCCAGGCTGGAGTACAGTGGCGCCATCTCGGCTCACTGCAAACTCTGCCTCCTAGGTTCAAGCAATTCTCCTGCCTCAGCCTCCCAAATAGCTGGGATTACAGGCGCCCGCCACCATGCCCAGGTAATTTTTTATATTTTTAGTAGAGACGGGGTTTCACCATGTTGGCCAGGCTGGTCTCAAGCTCCTGACCTTAGGTGATCCACTTACCTCAGCCTAATTTTTGTATTTTTAGTAGAGAGGAGGTTTTGCCATGTTGGCCAGGCTGGTCTCGAACTTTTGGCCTCAAGTGATCTACCTGCCTTGGCCTCCCAAAGTGCTGGGATTACAGGCATAAACCACTGCACCCTGACCCTTTGCTGGAATTTTCTATCTGCAATGGCTTGAGTGGACCAGATAACCTGTCAACCCTTGGATGTGGCATTTTTGAGCAGGAAGAACTGAGTCCCTGTGGAACCACTGTCCCACTATATCTCTTAAAGAGACCCTGCCACCCTCTACTCCTATAACTTGTCTGCATCTATGCCTGTCCCCGTAGAACACTCCTTCTGTCTTCTAATCTGACACGTGGCTAGCAGCATTTTATCTGGACCTTCTGTCTGCCAGGGAGACATGGAGGCAGCCTGGGTGCATAGCCTGCTGGGAGGGAGGGAATGACGGAGGGAGGCCTCCTCATGTGCTCTGCCCACAGCTCTTTTTTTCACCAAATTACTATACTAATTCATTCACTCTCTCCCTTTTCCACCAACACACTCATGTTCTCCCTTCCTCTTTCTGTCATTCCCTCCAGTTCAAGGCCAAGAACATGTCTGGGAATAGACTTGCCTCAAAAGGGGTTAAAATACACACATAGCCAGGCACAGGGGCTCATGCCTGTAATCCTAGCACTTTGGGAAGGTGAAGCAGGCAGATCACTTGAGGCCAGGAATTTGAGACCAGCCTGGCCAACATGGCGAAACCCCGTGTCTACTAAAAATATAAAAATTAAGGCTGGGTGTGGTGGCTCACGCCTGTAATCCCAGCACTTTAGGAGGCCGAGGCAGGTGGATCATTTGAGTTCAGGAGTTCAAGACCAGCCTGCCCAACATGGTGAGACCCTGTCTGTACTGAAAATACAAAAATTAGCCAGGCATGGTGGTGCTCGCCTGTAATCCTAGCTACTCGGGAGGGTGAGGTAGGAGAATCACTTGAACCTGGGAGGTGGAATTGCAATGAGCCGAGATCACGACACTGCACTCCAACCTGGGCAACAGAGCAAGACTCCATCTCAAAAAAATAAAATAAAATGCCCAGGCGCAGTGGCTCACGCCTATAATCCCAACACTTTAGGAGGCCGAGGTGGGCGGATCACGAGGTCAGGAGATTGAGACCATTCTGGCTAGCACGGTGAAACCCTGTCTCTACTAAAAAAAATAAAAAAAATTAGCTGGGCGTGGTGGCGGGCGCCTATAGTCCCAGCTGCTCCAGAGGCTGAGGCAGGAGAATGGCGTGAACCCGGGAGGTGGAGCTTGCAGTGAGCCGAGATCACGCCACTGCACTCCAGCCTGGGCGACAGAGTGAGACTCTGTCTCAAAAAAAAAAAAAAAATAGCCACATGTGGTGGTGGGTACCATAATTGCAGCTAGTCGGGAGGCTGGGGCAGAGAATCACGTGAACCCAGGAGGCTGCAGTGAGCCAAGATCACACCACTGCACTGCAGCCTAGGTGACACAGCAAGACTCTGTCTCAAAAAAAAAAAAAAAAAAAACCACACACACACATGCAGAATAACACGGAAAGGCACAAGGACGCTGCACTCAGGAGTTTCCCAAAGTCTGAGCTAGAGAGGAATTAACAAAGGTCGCCCTCTTGGTTATCTAGATGGGGTCAATGAGGCCCAGGGGGCCCAGGTCTGCTCCACACCACTGGGCAACAGAAGCAGGAGGCAGCTACTCTTGGGGCACCCTGGCCTGCCCACCACACTGGAGTCAGTGCTCCCAGCCCTGTCCACGCATGGATCATGTTTTCCAGTTCTGAGTTGGTGACCCTGAGGCTAAGTCCAAAATGCAAGAATTAAGGCAGAGAGTAATGCCCGTAGGGACCTGGACCTGGATACAAGAGTTACAAAATCGGGGCTGGAAGAGCCTTCGTGCAGAAATCTCCAAACTCCTCGTTTGACAGCGTGGATGCTAGAGCCCAGGGAGCCTGCTTGCAGGTGGCCCGGAGGCAGCACCAGAACCCAGTTACAGTCTCCAGCCTTGTGGTCTTTGCCTGTGCCCACTGCTCACCAATCCTGGATGTTCGAATACCAGGGAAGCCCCCACCTTTTTTAAAAATAGAGATGGGGTCTTGCTGTGTTGCCCAGGCTGGTCTCAAACTCCTGCTTCAAGTGATCTTCCCACGTTGGCCTCCAAAGTGGAAACCCCAGTTTCTTGAGGAGAAAAAATTCAACAAATTTTTCCCCAAATAAAGATTAGAGAAAAACAAAACAAAAGTGTTAGAGGGCTAAAAATGAATAAATCAGGCTGGGCGCAGTGGCTCACGCTTGTAATCCAGCACTTTGGGAGGCCGAGGTGGGCGGATCACCTGAGGTCAGGAGTTTGAGACCAGCTGGCCAACATGGTGAAACCCCGTCTCTACTAAAAATACAAAAATTAGCCAGGTGTGGTGGTGCATGCCTGTAATCCCAGTTACTTGGGAGGCTGTGGCAGAAGAATTGCTTGAACCCGGGAGGCAGAGGTTGCAGTGAGCCAAGACTCTGTCTCAAAAAAAAAAACCAAATTTTTTTTGTGTTTGAAACAGGGTCTCCCTCTGTCACCTAGGCTGGAGTGCAGTGGCATGCTCGTGGCTCACTGCAGCCTCCACCTTCTGGGTCCAAGCGATCCTTCCACCTCAGCCTCCCAGGTAGCTGAGACCACAGACGCTTGCCACCACACCTGGCTAGTTTTTTTTTATTTTTTGTAGAGATGGGGTTTTGCCATGTTGCCCATGTTGGTCTCAAACTCCTGGACTCAAACAATCCACCTGCCTTGGCCTCCCAAAGTGCTGGGCTTACAGGCATGAGCCACCATGCCTGGCCAGGTTACATTATTTAACCTAATACATTAATTTAGAAAAATTACTCTTTTCCATTTGTAGGTTAGGAAACAGTTTTATGCAAATTCTTCATTCTGCTGCTTGATTGAGGTAATGTTGGATTGTTATGTCTTGCTCACAGTAAAGTAGAGGAAAAGCACCCTGTATAATGAATATTGTCAGGATGTGAGTATGGCACCATCTTTTCTTTCTTAAGTAATAATTCTAGAAAAGAACGTCACCTTATAGTCAGGCCTGTGAGGTATTTTTGAACACCTGTCATTATATACAACTCCTGGGTGGCCACATGGTCCCTTGCCACACCAGAGGCCTCACTGCCGCCTCCCTCCAAGCCAGGGTAACTATTTTTCTTTTTCTTTTCTTTCTTTTGAAACAGAGTCTTGCTCTGTCACCCAGGCTGGAGTGCAGTGGCTTGATCTCTGCTCACTGCAACCTCGGCCTCCCGCGTTCAAGCGATTCTCCCACCTCAGCCTCCCAAGTAGCTGGGACTACAGGCATGTGCCACCATGCCCAGCTAATTTTTTTGTATTTTTAGTGGAGACAGGGTTTCATCATGTTGGCCAGGCTGGTCTTGAACTCCTGATCTCTATGATCCACCCGCCTCGGCCTCCCAAAGTGCTGGGATTACAGGCGTGAGCTACCACGTCCGGCCTGGGAACCTGCTTTTTGAGGTGACTGGACATTATAAACAAAGAACCTAGAATGTACTAGGAATTGAATCTAGGCTGAGTGCAATGGCTCAGGCCTGTAATCCACTGCAGTGCACTTCGGGAGGCCAAGGTGGGAGGATGGTTTGAGCTCAGGAGTTTGAGACCAACATGGGCAACATAGGGAGACCCAGTCTCTGCAAAAATAATAATTTTTAAAAAACTAGGCTGGGTGTGGTGGCTCATGCCTGTAATCCCAGCACTTTGGGAGGCCGAGGCAGGCAGATCACAAGATCAGGAGTTCAAGACCAGCCTGACCAATATGGTGAAACCCCATCTCCACTAAAAATACAAAAATTAGCCATGTGTGGTGGCGTTCGCCTGTAATCCCAGCTACTTGGGAGACTGAGGCAGGAGAATCACTTGAACCCAGGAGGTGGAGGTTGCAGTGAGCCGAGATCGCGCCACCACACTCCAGCCTGGGTGACAGGTGAGACTCCGTCTCAAAAAAAACAAAAAAAACCTGGCCAGATGTGATGGCTATTTGTGGTCACAGTTATCTGGGAGGTTGAGGTGGGAGGATTGCGTGGGCCCAGAAAGTGGAGATTGCAGTGAGCCATAATCATGCCACTGCACTCCAGCCTGGGTGACAGAGCCAGACCCTGTCTCAAAAAAAAAAAAAACTAGTAAATCTAATGGTCATCATACAGCCAATAGTTACTGAGCATTTGCAGTGATGAAATGTAGAGTGGCAAGTCCAGGCATGGAGAAATAAATGAGGAATGCAGGGAGCAGAGTCAGAAGGCAGAATCTGCTAGAAAGAAGGCAGTGCCTGCTTATTTTATTATTTTATTTTATTTTTTGTTGTTGTTGTTGTTGTTGAGATGGAATCTTGCTCTGTTGCCCAGGCGGGAGTGCAGTAGTGCGATCTAGGCTCACTGCAACCTCCACCTCCTGGGCTCAAGCAATTCTCCTGCTCAGCCTCCCGAGTAGCTGGGATTACAGGCACCCACCACCACGCCAGGCTAATTTTTTGTATTTTTAGTAGAAACAGGGTTTCACCATGTTGGCCAGCTGGTGTCGAACTCCTGACATCAGGTGATCCACCCACCTCGGCCTCCTAAAGTGCTTGGGATTACAGGCGTGAGCCACCGCGCCTGGCTCAGTGTCTGCTTATTGAGTCCCGCAGTCTCCTAGGCATTTCATAAATATCATCTCTCACCCCATCACACCCGTAGGGAAGAGTCAGGACACATTTCAACTCCTCTTTGCCAAGGAAGGAATAATGTGTGTTCCTTGGCTTATTGCTTTACCGTCTCAGGTCTCAGTTTCCTCATCTGTAAATGGGGTCTACCTACCACATACAATTGTTGTTCTGCTCTAAGAACTTTGTATATTGCCGGGCGCGGTGGCTCACACCTGTAATCCCAGCACTGGCCATCATGGTGAAAGCCCATCTCCACTAAAAATACAAAAATTATCCAGGTGTGGTGGAGGGCACCTGTAGCCCCAGCTACTCGGGAGGCTGAGGCAGGAGACTAACTTAAACCCAGGAGACGGAGGTTGCAATGAGCCAAGATCATGCCACTGCACTCCAGCCTGAGCGACAGAGTGACACCCTGTCTCAAAAAAAAAAAAAAAAAAAAAAAAAAGCTCAAGGTTAAAAAAAAAGAACTTTGCATATATAACTTAGCTTAGAATAATATGTCTTCAGTTATTGTTTGCCCTTATCATTATTACAACATATGAGGATGTCGAGGCTCAGGGAGGCTGGTGCTCTCTGTTTCCCTCCACCACTTGCAGTACACAGAGGGTTAAGGTGGAAGCTTTGCCCTCTGCAGCTGGCCCAGACCTGGATTTGGCTGCCTGTTCTGCCCTGGAGAAGCAAGGCCAACTGTCAACACAGGGTGACTTCAGGTCATCTGTGGCTATGCATGGCCAGCCTGCCAAGGGGACTTGACAAGAGGGAAGATCACTGCTTTCCTCTCAGGTCTGATGGAACTAGGGCAGGCCTACTCCTGTCATGTCCGAGCTATGAGACCTTGGGCAAGTACCTCTCCCTTTCTGAGTCTCAGTTTTGTCTCAGTTTTATCTTGGGATACTTATGTTTTTCTGTCTCAGGGCCCCTGTGGAAACTGAGTTGGCACACCACTCTGCTGTGCCAACATAAGCATAGTTAAGGCCAGTAACTCTGGGTGGGGTAAATATTACAATTTAAAGGGGAGGGGTTATAGGGAAGTAGAATATTTTTTTCTTTTTCTTTTTTTTTCGAGACAGGGTCTTGCTGTGTCACCCAGGCCAGAGTGCAGTGGTGCCATCACAGTTCACTGCAGCCTTGACCTCCCGGGCTCAAGCAATCCTCCCACCTCAGCCACTTGAGTAGCTGAGACCTCAGATATGTGCCATCACACCCAGCTGATTTTTTAAAATTAATTTTTTGTAGAGATAGGGTCTCATATGTTGCCCATGCTGGTCTCAAACTACTGGGTTCAAATGATCCTCCTGCCTCAGCCTTCCAAAGTACTGGGATTACAGGCATGAGCCACCATGCCGGGCTGGGAGGCGGAATTTTGTTCAGTCTAAAGATAAGCTTTTTCATAGCTCTGGCTGTAGTGGGAGGGAGCAGAGGAGTGAATGATTGTCAGTTGGGAGGGTGCAGAGTGGGCTCCTGCCCTAGGGTGGAGGTGAGGGTGGCTTAGGTGAGACAACACAGAGGCCCTGTTCAGCCCCACGTCCCCTCCCTGTGCTCCCTCCTCCTCTCTCCTCTCCTGCAGGCGTGGGAGGTATCATCATTCAGCAGATTTCACCAGAGGCAGTGGAGGAGGCAGGTACCTGAGCCAGAATTCAGAATGTCTTATTCTCCACTTGACTCTGCCACTAACTTGTTGTGCAACTTTGGGCCTTTCCCCAGGCCTTCATTTTCTTTTCTTTTCTTTTTCTTTTTTTTTTTTTGAGGCGGAGTCTCGCTATGTTGCCCAGGCTGGAGTGCAGTGGTGCAGCATCATCTCGGCTCACTGCAAGCTCCACCTTCTGAGTTCACGCCATTCTACTGCCTCAGCCTCCCGAGTAGCCGGGACTGCAGGCGCCCACCACCACGCCCGGCTTATTTTTTGTATTTTTAGTAGAGACAGGGTTTCACCACGTTAGCCAAGATGGTCTCGATCTCCTGACCTCGTGATCCACCCGCCTGGGCTTCCCAAAGTGCTGGGATTACAGGCGTGAGCCACTGCGCCCGGCCATTTTCTTAAATATCTAATAAAAAATATATAGCAAATGCAGTTTGTAAACTATGACAATATGACCACGCAAAAGATTATTATCTTCCAAGACTGCTGGTCCAAGGAAAGGTCAGTAATAAAGTGGAAGCATTGTAGCTTATGGAATGACTGGTTAGATTTGGGAGAAGCCTTAGCAATAATCTAGAATCTGCATAGATAATACATCTGAGGATTGGGCTTTGTGGTTTACAAAGCATTTTTTTTCCTCTTTTGATCCCAGCCGCTTGTCTGGACTGATACAAAGCATTTTTATTAGTTTGTCTTATTCAATCCTCACACCACCTCAAATTTACAGAGGATATGGATCTGGTTAACTTGTATGACTATGTAACCTCATGTCAGTCCACAGCACTGCCTGGAGGTGGGTAGAGGTGGTCCTGGGCTGGAATCCCAGCCCCAGTGGGACCTTGAGCAAGTTACTTTAGCTGTCTGCACCTAAATTTCCTCACTGGCAAAACAGGAATACTGGTGGTTCACACCTGCAATTCCAGCACTTTGGGAGGCTGAGGTGGGAGGATTGCTTGAGTCCAGAAGTTCAAAACCAGACTGGGCAACATAGCAAGACCATCTCTACAAAAATTAAATAAATAAAACATTTACAAGGGTTGTGGTGAAGATTAAATGAGATCACTCACGAAAAAGCTCAGCAGACCCTGATGTGCAGTAGGTGCTCAATAAATGTTAGCCAGCAAAAAACAAACAAAAAAAAACTCAGCTAGGAAATTGCAGTACTGGGCTTCTGACTCCAACCTCAGTGTTCCTTGCCCCACATCAAGCTGTTTCACTTCAAATCCTCTCCATTTCACAATGGAGTCACCCCAGGTTGAAGGAGTGAACTGTGCTTTGGAGGGCTGCCCTAAGCAGGCAGCAAAGAGACAGCTTGGTCTCCAGTGACCTGAAAGAATTATTTATTGCCCTGAAGTCCAGTATACCAGTTGCCAAAGGGAAAAGCTTCCTTCCAACTGGCTCAGCAAGCTGACAGAGGAAGAGTCGGGTTCTTGCTGGGGCAGTCATGCAGAGCTGGGATGACAAGTAGAAGGCTGGCAGATCTGTCTCTGGGCAGATGGATCACCTGATACAGATGCTGGGGCCTGAGCCCTGGGATTGGCCCAAAACAGGGCTGTGTTGACCCAACAGCTGGGCATTGGCATCCTGTCAATCTGCCGAGAGCCTAGAAATAGTGCGGGGGCAGTCTGCTGGTCTCATTGTGTCAGAGGAAGCAACCATGCAGGTGCTAACCAAGCGTTACCCCAAGAACTGCCTGCTGACCGTCATGGACCGGTATGCAGCCGAGGTGCACAACATGGAGCAGGTGGTGATGATCCCCAGCCTTCTGCGGGACGTGCAGCTGAGTGGGCCTGGGGGCCAGGCCCAGGCTGAGGCCCCTGATCTCTACACCTACTTCACCATGCTCAAGGCCATCTGTGTGGATGTGGACCATGGGCTGCTGCCGCGGGAGGAGTGGCAGGCCAAGGTGGCAGGCAGCGAAGAGAATGGAACCGCAGAGACAGAGGAAGTCGAGGACGAGAGTGCCTCAGGAGAGCTGGACCTGGAAGCCCAGTTCCACCTGCACTTCTCCAGCCTCCATCACATCCTCATGCACCTCACCGAGAAAGCCCAGGAGGTGACAAGGAAATACCAGGAAATGACGGGACAAGTTTGGTAGACCTTGGACACTAGGGAAGGTAATGGTGGCCATGCTGGTGGGTGTGAGTCTACAAAGGGACATTCCAGGAGAGGAGAGGGGGCAGTGGTGCAACCCACTGGGAGAGGAACAGCCTGACTTTCAGACAGAGCCACTCTTGGGTCAGGGTATTGGGACCACAACCTAGGAGGGCCTAAGACTAGGCCTGTGTTACTATCCTTCTGACCTCAAATTGGCAATTGCAATGAAGTGATATGGAAACAGAGGGAAAAGTGGCCTGTGAGGGCATATCTCATATGCACATATATGTGTTTGTGCATGTGTGCATTTATTAGTATGTGAATGCTTGTAAATGTGTGAATTGAATGAGTGTGTTCTCATCAGTGACTTTGTTAAGAATTTAATTGAAGAGGGGCCAGGCGCGGTGGCTCACACCAAAGCACTTTGGGAGGCCGAGGCGGGCGGATCATGAGGCCAGGAGATTGAGACCATCCTGGCTAACATGGTGAAACCCAATCTCTACTAAAAATACAAAAAATTAGCTGGGCGTGGTGGTGGGTGCCTGTAGTCCCAGCTACTCGGGAGGCTGAGGCAGGAGAATGGCATGAACCTGGGAGGCAGAGGTTGCAGTGAGCTGAGATTGTGCCACTGCACTCCAGCCTAGGTGACAGAGGGAGACTCCATCTCAAAAAAAAAAAAAAAACTTACCTAAGGCATGCACATTGATTTAAGTGAACATTGTGAATTCCATTTGTGTGACAGTGTTTCCCAACATTTTTTCAAGTCACAGAACATGGAAAATTATTATATGGCACATGGGGATACATAGGTGAGGCTGCTTGCAGTACTGCTACAACAGGCTGGGGGTACTCTGACCATCCCAGGTTGGAACCCACCAAACGGGAAGCCGAGGGACCAGTCATGGCACTCTAATCCATTCCAGGCAAACTGGAGTATGCAGACATGCCTGTTGGGAAGCCCTGTTGTATGTACATATGAATATGTGTTCCAGTCTAAGCCTACATGTCTATGCACAGAGGGGCTGGGGTGGTGAGTGTGGATGAGCAGCAAGCTAGACAAGCAGGTGGTGGCAGAGGGTAGGAGGTGGGAAGGGGCCCTAGCATGGTCACCACTAGTTCACTCATGGATAAAGACTAGTATTAATAGAAATTGGACCACAGCACCTGCCAGTTTTGATTCTGTGCCACCTGCCAGCCCTGCTCCCACAAACTGGTCTCATTAGTTGTAAACAACATCCACGTCCATTGCAATCTCAAAACCACCTGATGCAGCTATGTAGGAAAAGATTCTCATCCCCAGTTTACTAGTATGGAAATTGAAGCCAGAGAGGTGAAGTGACTCACCCAAAGTCACACAGTAAGGAGACAAAAGTAAGACTGGCCTCAACTTTGAGCTGAGTGTTCTTTCCATCGTACCCACTGTCTGCCATTTTGTGTTATCTTCATAATCTGTGTGAAGGCTGCTCTGTAATTATGCGGAATAAACATGGGACCCCCAAACACAGAGCCTATGGAGAGCTCTGCTCCAGGCATTTTCTCAGCCATTTTTCCTTCTCCCGCTTCAAACCCAAACTGTCAACCTCAACCCTTCTTCCCTCTCCCGTTGAGGCTCCCTGAGTTGCCTCACAGAGGTTCTTCTTGAATTAGATGGGGCTGTGTCAACAGCTCTGGGTTCACGTTCTGATTCTATCACTAATGAGCTGTGGGGCCTTGGGCAAGCTAATTCATTTCTCTGGGTTTCAGCTTCTTCACTGAATAATAACAGTGGTTGTAAAACTAACAACTGGCATTTGAATAGTTTTAAGATCACTTTGCATATCCATTATCTAATGGAATTATCATCCCCCCCCACCTTTTTAAATTTTGAGACGGAGTCTCACCCTGTCCCCCAGGTTGGAGTGCAATGTGCAATCTCAGCTCACTGCCACCTCCACCTCCCAGGTTCAAGAGATTTTCCTCAGCTTCCAAAGTAGCTGGGATTACAGGCGTGTGCCACCACACCCAGCTAATTTTTTTAAAATCTTTAGTAGAGACCGGGTTTCACCATGTTGGCCAGGCTGGTCTTGAACTCCTGACCTCGTGATCCACCTGCCTCGGCCTCCCGAAGTGCTGGGATTACAGGCATGAGCCACCGCGCCCAGCCTATCATTCCCTTTTGCAGATGAGAAAACTGGAGGCCTGAGAAGTAAAATGAGTCCAAGTTTACTCAGTAAATAACAGCCAAGATGTGAACCCTGGCCTAATTAGTCTAATTCTTTTCCTCTACAGTGGTATTCCTTAGAGCCTTAGACTTTTGCAGAGTGGGCTCAAAGTGGGAACTGGGCATGGCAGAGTGGGTAGAAACCACACTCTGACTCACTCAGTTGCTTCAAAGGCCAGAGCAGCAACTCTACGCCATAACGTTTCAACACACCCTAACCTGATTTTCATTCAGAGGCAATATGGTATAGCAACAGTTAAAAATCTGGGCTCTTGTTCTGGCTCTTCCATTGACTTCTGTATTATCCTAGACAACTTTTTTTTTGAGATGGAGTCTCACCCTATTGCCAGGCTGGAGTGCAGTGGCGCGATCTCAGCTCACTGCAACCTCCACCTCCCGATTCAAGCAATTCTCCTGCCTCAGCCACCCGAGTAGTTGGGACTACAGGTGCACGCCACTACACCCAGCTAATTTTTTGTATTTTTAGTAGAGATGGGGTTTCACCATGTTGGCCAAGATGGTCTCAATCTCCTGACCTTGTGATCCTCCCCGCTCGGCTTCCCAAAGTGCTGGGATTACAGGCGTGAGCCACCGCACCCAACCTTTTTTTTTTTTTTGAGATGGAGTCTTGCTCTTGTCACCCAGGCTGGAGTGCAGTGGCGCCACCTTGGCTCACTACAACCTCTGCCTCCCAGATTCAAGCAAGTCTCCTGCCTCAGCCTCCCGAGTAGCTGGGATTACAGGCTCACGCCACCATGCCTGGCTAATTTTTGTACTTTTAGTAGAGACAGGGTTTCACCATGTTGGCCAGGCTGATCTCGAACTCCTGACCTCAAATGATCCACCCACCTTGGCCTCCCAAAGTGCTGGGATTACAGGCGTGAGCCACCACGCCCGGCCCTAGACAACTTATCTTACCTTTCTGTATCTGTTTCCCTGTTAGTAAAATATAGCAGAGAAATCAAATGAGTTATTCCAGCTCTGACAACCTAGGATTCTCCTTACAGTGCTGAGGCACTGCCAGTTTTCCAACAGCAACATCAGCATTGTTCTTCCTGCTTCAATGGGCATGTGACAGTATCTTGGTTGTTTGAATTGATACTGACTTGGCCTTTTAAAAATTTCTTCACTCCACAGATCCCTTCACATGATAGAAGACAGACTCTTTGATGAGGTCGGCGGAGCAGTTCACTAGCCAATGATGAGAGCAGAAAGGCCTAGACCTGCAGCCAGAAGTGAAGGCGGCTCAGTTCTCCGGGATGCTTCTCTACCTCCTGAGCACCAATTCCTGGATTCCAGTCACTGGCTCACCTTTAGAATGTCTGTTGCTATTCACTGCTCCCCTCGCTCCTCTTAACAGCTTGGGGAGGTGACCAGTGGTTCAGGAGGGACTAGACAATTACCTGTCCAGTGTGGTATGGTAGGAAGAGTGTAGGTGTTGGCACGTGACCAAAATTCACATCCCTCCTCATGGCAGTCATTCAGTATGTGTACTTGTACAAGTTATTTAACCCATTGGAGCCTAAATTCCCTCATCTATAAAATGGGGATAATATTATCTACCTCACAAGCTTATGAAAACTAAACATGATGAATCAAAAGCACTTGGCATGTGAGGGCTATTAAAATAGCCTGATTTTTTTTTTCTCCCCCTCTCCCCAATGTATTTGCTCTGGCCCTTGCTTTTTACCCTCCAGAGCTAAGAGGTAGCAGAGTCTCTTGGGATGAGTGATTCACCCTCTTACTTGGCGACCACTGATGAGATCAACAACAGGTGAACTATAAACCTATTATTTATTGCAGAACTAATAAAAAATCCAAAGCCTTGTATTTGTACATCTTTATTATTTCTAAAGCACTTTCCTCAACCTAATTTCAGTTTTTACAATTGGTACTCAAGAAAATAGAGACAGAAATCATTTGATTTTGCCCAGAAACCATCTGCTTATATTTATAAGGCCACCTAATTTGAAATCACATATAGACCAGGCGCGGTGGCTCACGCCTGTAATTCCAACACTTTGGAAGGCCAAGGCAGGTGGATCACAAGGTCAAGAGATTGAGACCATCTTGGCCAACATGGTGAAACCCCGTCTCTACTAAAAACACAAAAATCAGCTGGGCGTCGTGGCATGCACCTGTAGTCCCAGCTACTCGGGAGGCTGAGGCAGGAGAATTGCTTGAACCCAGGAGGTGGAGGTTGCAGTGAGCCGAAATTGCGCCACTGCACTCCAGCCTGATGACAGAGCAAGACTGTCGTCTCAAAAAAAAAAAAAAAAATACCACATATACTTTATCTCCAAAACCTAATCTGATTATAAATTCTAAGCTAGGAAACAAAAACTTTTGGGACAAGTACTTTTTTTTTTGACGGGGTCTCCTTTGTCACCCAGGCTGGAGTGTCACCCAGGCTGCAGTGAACTGTGACACAACCACAATTAATTGCATCCTCGAATTCCAGGGCTCAATAGATCCTCCCACCTCAGCCTTATGAGTAGCTGGGATTGCAGGAACGTGCCACCACGCCCAGCTAATTTTTGTATTTTATGTAGAGACAGTGTTTCACCATGTTGCCCAAGTTGGTCTCGAACTCCTGGGCTCATGCAATCTGCCCTGCCTCAGCCTCTCAAAGTGCTGGGATTACAGGCATGAGCCACTGCATCGGGCCAGGACAAGCATTTGATAAGCCATAAAAAGTAACCTCATTCCAGTTAGGTACAGTCTTTTGCTTCTAATTGCACCAAGCTCCACTGTAGACAGTATTAGCTCCTGAGTCCATTTTCTCCAGGATAACCCACCTAAGAGCAAAGACAACTTGGCAACATAAGATTTCTGTTTTCCTTGTCTGGAGTCTCCTCCTTCGAAACCACCTTCTATATCATTCATTATAGACAGCTCAGAAATACAAACCTGACTGTATGATTTAAAACGCCTTAATGACTTAATACCTACAGGATGAAGTCAAAATTATTTGGCAAGAGTCACAGAATCCTCCATAATCTGGCTCACTCTAAATTCACTTTGCACTAGGACAGGGGCAGGCAAACCTTTTCTGAAAGGGCTACATATTAATTAGGCTTTGCAGGCCATAGGTCTCTATCACAACTACTCAATTCTGCTCTTGCAGCATGGCAGTCGCCATAAACAACATGTAAACAAATGAGCATGGCTGTGTTCCAATGAGACTTTATTGGCAGTGGGCCAGATTTGGGTAGTCTGCTAACTCTAAACTAGAATTCAACCTCATCTTAAAATCTTTCAGATGGGTGAATGGAAACTGACCATTCTCTGATGATGAACTATTTTTCTTACAACAATAAAGAGTCAGAGTACTCATGGTACGTATTTTAATTACAAGGTGTCAACATACAGATTAGCATAAGCTTCAACTGTCATAAGAAACATGTTCCATCAAATTCAGAAACAGCAGGTATCAGTGAAACTGGAGCAAGCATTTTGAAGACTTCAACGTATTGGATGGAATTTTTCAAAAATTTCACCATATGTTTTCTTATCTATAAAAGGAAAGATCATAAAAGATTTATTTTAAAAATATGTTTTAAAAATTGTATTTCCTAAACGAAAATTAACACTCACTAATCTTATGATTGAAATCCTGCTGTGGTCTGAATGTTCATGTCCCCCCAAAGTTCATAAATTGAAATGTAACCCCCAAGATAACGATATTAAGAGGTTAGGACTTTGGGAGGTGATTAGGTCACAAAGGCTCTGTCCTCATGAGGGGGATCGGCTTAGGGGACCTTGTTTGCCTCTTCTACCATGTGAGGACACAGCAAGATGGCATCATCTATGAAGCAGAGTGGGCCCTCAGCAGACACCAACTGTGCTGGTACCCTGATCTTGGACTTCCCAGCCTCCAGAATTGCAAGCAATAAATTTCTATTACTTATATATTACCCAGTCTATTCTGCAATTATACAGGTGGTAAGAAAAACAAAGTTAAAAAATTTTTTTTAATTACCCAGTTTAAGGCATTTTGTTATAGTAGGCCAAACGGACTAAGACAAACCCCTAAGAATTTCCTTATTTTCTTGTCCTTGACTATGGCTTGGTAATCACTGAAGGATTTTCTTTCATTGACTGAAGAATAACTTTGGAGGAATCTGTGATGACAACCAAATGACTGCCAAGAGGGACAAGGTGCTGCCAGGAGTATCCTGACTGAAGAGGTGAAGGAAGAAATAAACACAGAGGGGCACAGGTCAGCTAGGAGAGGCCAACAGCCAATGTGGTCAAGCTCTCCGGGCTCCCACTGTCTGTGCATGAGGCTCTTGGCACAACTGCCACTAATCTGCAGCTCAGAAAGAGAATGAGCCCTGAAGCTATACACACTCCTGCAGACACAGGGAACTCATGGAACTATGTCTAGGCAAAGAGCCAGAGGTCTGAGACTGAAGACTCCTCAAGCCACTGGGCCTCACTCCTAGTAATCAATATATCCAAGATGACTTCCAGCTCTAACATTTAACGGTTCTGGGTATTATGCATTCCCGATACATCCACTATTCATGGCTTTGTGCTAGTCTTTAAGCTCTTCTTTGGCAAAAAAAGAAACTGTATCTTTCTGATCCACCATAAATATCATATATGTGACTGAAGGCTGTGGGAATATTAAAGAGTAATAAAATTTTAGAGCTAAATAAGACCTTAGAGATCATTCAGTGTAATGAAATTTAAATGTTTTATATCACGCATTTACATTAACAGAAGAATTTTTTTTTTTTTTTTTTTTTGAGACAGGGTCTCGCTCTGTCACCTAGGCTGGAATGCAGTGGTGTGATCACGGCTCACGGCACCTTGTCCTCCCAGGCTCAAGTAATCCTCCTGCCTCAGCCTCCCAAGTCAATGGGTCTATAGGCATGTGCCACCTCACCCAGCTAATTTTTTAATTTTCTGTAGAGATGAGGTCTCACTATGTTGCCGAGACTGGGGAAAATCTATTTATGTTTACAAGTTCAAATTTTTTCTATACTCATTCATTTACACATTTAATAAGGCTATGTGTGCCAAACCCCTGGGGAAACCAAAAAAAACTGTCGTAGTAGTTAAACTCCCAGCCTACAGATACTCATATATGTGCACATCTGTGTTGTGTATATGTGTGTAAAACACAGGTGAGAAAAGTTATATTACAACTATTAATAGATTCATAGCAGACTAGAGATAGAGCACCCTGAGGGAATGCCTGACTGTAGCTGGGTGAAAGCTTCACTGAGATAATAAAAGCAGAAATTTGCTAGGTGGATGGGGTGGAAACAGGGGCAAGAGGAAGAATAACATAGCAGGAAGAAGGTACAACATGTATAAAGTAATATAGGGCAGGTTCGGGACAAAGCATTTCACCAGGCAAATGATGAGTGATGAGGAATGAGGAAGTATTCCATACGGTTCATATCCACTATTATGCATAAGTAAGTGCCTGCTATGTGTAGGCTCTATACAAGAGGCTGGGGAAACAAAGACGAAGCTACAATCCATGAAGAACACACACATGTGTATATCATATGGTAGATAAGAATGTGGGTAAAGTGTTTCTACCAGAGGACAGGCAATTAGCTAACCTGGAGTAAATGAGCCATCCTAAGGAGTCTGGATTTTATCCACTAGGCAATGGATGACTTATTTATTTTATTTTAATTTTATTTTATTTTTTGAGACACAGTCTTGCTGTGACACCCAGGCTGGAGTGCAATGGCGCGATCTCAGCTCACTGCAACCTCCGCCTCCCAGGTTCAAGCGATTCTCCTGCCTCAGCCTCCCAAGTAGCTGGGCTTACAGGCACCCGCCATCATGCCCGGCTAATTTTTGTATTTCTAATAGAGACAGGGTTTCGCCATGTTGGCCAGGCTGGTCTCAAACTCCTGACCTCAGGTGATCTGCCCCGCTCGGCCCCCCAAAGTGCTGGGATTACAGGCGTGAGCCACTGCGACCAGCCGGATGACTATTTTAAACAGATGTGATCAGATTTGCTGTCATTGGAAATAAGACCAAAGCAAGTGGTGAGTTAAGAGGCAAGTGCAACAGTCCAAGCAAGAGATTAACAAGGCCTGAACCAGGGTAGTGGTAGTGGGAGAGGAGAGTTCAAAGTTAAGAAATATTTAGGAAGTAGAACTGATAAGACCTGATGACTAATGGGAAGTGAAAGAGAAAGACTTGATGATTCTCAGGCTTCTGGCTTGAGTGTCCAGGTGGACAGTAGTGCCATTCTCTGAAGCAGGACACAGAGGAGCAGGAGGTTTGGGAAGGCAGAGGGGATATGAGTTTTGTTTGCTGTCCAAAGGACACGGAGGTAGTCAGAAACTGGATATATTAATTCAAGAGAATTTTGGTCTATAGACTAAGATGTGGGAGTCAACAGAATTTAGAAGGTATCTAAAGCCATACACATGGATAAGATTAACCAGGGAAAATAATAATACAGTAAACACAGATTATCTAAAATTAACTTGAAATACCTTCTTCAGGAAAATCCTCTGGATGTAATTTCATATATCCAAACATTTCACGGTCCCTCACAGCATACAGGTAGTCTTCACGTTTTACAAGATAATATCCAGCAAAAAAAAAGGCCGTAATATATAGAAGCTGGCGATGCAAACCTGAAATTCAAATGACAAATCCCAAAGAAAGCAAAAATTAGTCCATGTGTATTAAGAGTTACATTTTTGGCTGGACGCAGTGGCTCACACCTGTAATCCCAGCACTTTGGGAGGCCAAGACAGGTGGATCACCTGAGGTCAGGAGTTCGAGACCAGCCTGGCCAACATGGTGAAACCCTGTCTCTACTAAAAATACAAAATTTGGCTGGGGGTGGTGGCGGGTGCCTGTAGTCTCAGCTACTTGGGAGGCTGAGGCAGGCGAATCATTGGAACCTGGGAGGCAGAGGTTGCAGTAAGCTGATATTGCGCCATTGCACTCCAGCCTGGGTGACAAAGCGCCTGGCCTGTTATGGCATTTCTTAAAAAAATAAAAATAAAAAAAGCACTGGGCTCAGTGGCTCACGCCTGTAATACCAGCACTTTGGGAGGCTGAGGCAGGTGGATCACCTGAGGTCAGGAGTACAAGACCAGTTCACATGGTGAAACCCTGTCTCTACTAAAAATACAAAAATCAGCCAGATGTGGTGGTGGGCACCTGTAATCCCAACTACTTGGGTGGCTGAGGCAGGAGAATTGTTAGAACCCGGGAGGCAGAGGTTGCAGTGAGCCGAGATCGCGCCGTTGCACTCCAGCCTGGGGGACGGAGTGAGGCTCTGTCTCAAAAAAAAAAAAAAAAAAAAAAAGCTATTCTGAACAAACCGCCTTGATCCCTGACTTTGAGACACCCTACATATTCTTTTTTTTTTTTGAGACAGGGTCTAGCTCTGTCGCCCAGGCTGGCGTGCAGTGGCACAATCACAGCTCACTGCAGCCTCAACCTCCTAGGCTCAAGCAATCCTCTCACCTCAGCTTCCCAAGTAGCTGGGACCAAAAGCGTGCACCACCATGCCTTTTTTCTTTCTTTCTTTCTTTCTTTTTTTTTTAAGAGGGGTCTTGCTATGTTTCCCAGACTGGTCTTGAACTCCTGGGCTCAAGCGATCCCCCTGCCTCAGCCTCCCAAAGTGTTAGGATTACAGGAATGAGCCACCACACTCGGCCCACATTATCACTTCTTTAAAGGTTAACAAATCTAAAATATTACATGCAATGTATATTTTAGCATATAGCACTTAATATTTATTTAATAAATGAATGAACAGCCTTGGGCAATTCAATTTACTACCTCTAAAACATAGACAAGACCTATCCTGGCTGGGCGTGGTGGCTCACAACTGTAATCCCAGCACTTTGGGAGGCCGAGGTGGGTGGATCACCTGAGGTCAGGAGTTCAAGACCAGCCTGGCCAACATGGTGAAACTCCGTCTCTACTAAAAATACAAAAATTAGCCGGGCGTGGTAGCACGCACCTGTAGTCCCAGCTACTCAGGAGGCTGAGGCTGGAGAATCGCTTGAAGCCAGGAGGTGGAGATTGCAGTGAGCCAAGATCACACCACTGAACTCTAGCCTGGGCGACAGAATGAGACTCTGTCTCAAAAAAAAAAACAAAAAAAGACCTATCCTATCTTTCTCACAGTAGTAGCATATAAAACAAGACATATGCATATAAAAGTATTTCCGAAAATGTATAAAACAATAAAAATGAAAAATATTCCTATGTTCTAGAACTGGACAGAGCACTCTCTCTTACCCCAAACAGCCACTGCTTTCCATAATGGGCTACCCGCCATATAGCAAACCAAAGAGTGCATGTTCTCCCATGTGCCACTGGACTGCAGAGACACACAGAACCAGACTCTCTCTACGCTGACCCATGTTCCTCACAGAAAGACTCCATAAGCGTTCGAGATGATGATGTCAGCATCCTAGCCCTAAAGGCATGGCTTGGCCTCTTGCCAAGGCCCCATTTTCCTAACCTCTCTCCTCATTCTCTCTTAGTGGTCGACCTCTCACTACCTGCACACCCCATCTACAATCATTTTCCCATTGTTTACTCAGTGAGTCTAACCCCGGCAGCTATTGTGCTCTTTGAAGAACATCATAAATTACTGATAAACTAGAGATCAATAAATATTTAATTTTGTGGGCTATACTTAGCATACCAACTAACTCTAAATTTCGGGCACATTAAGTGGTAACCAGCAAGAAGGTTAAGTTTTAAAAAACAGATGATGAGAGAAAAACTTATAAAAAAATTCTATTTATTGATAGTACAGTAGGGTGACTACAGTTAATAATAATTTGTTGTATAGTTCAAAATTGCTGAAGGAGAGGAATTTGAATGTTCCCAACATAAAGAAGGGGTGAATGTTTGGGGTGATGGATGTCCCATTTGCCCCAGTTTCAACATTACACATTGTATGCATGTATCAAAATACCACATGTACCCCCAAAATACGTACAACTTATTTTTAAAGTCTTATTCTTAAGGAATTATTTTAACATTTCCTGCTAATTTGAAAAAGAGCTACACAATTTTATTTCATTGATAGAAATTCATTATTATGAGACATATTCATTATTATGAGACAGAATCTTGCTCTGTCACTTAGGCTAGAATACAGAGGCATGATCACACTCACTGCAGCCTCAACCACCCAGGCTCAAGTGATCCTCTTACTTCAGTCTCCCAAGTAGCTGGGATCACAGGTGCATGCCACCACGTCCAGATAGCTTAAAAAAATTTCTTTTGTAGAGACAAAGTTTCCCTGTGTTTCCCAGGCTGGTCTTGAAACCTGGGCTCAAGCAATCCTCCCACCTCAGCCTTCCAAAGTGTTGGGATTACAGGTGTGAGCCACGGTGTCCGGCCAGAATATCCCATTACTCACAGAATGCCAGGTACTCGCCAGGGCTGTAGTTTGAAAATCTACCATATCTCTTCCACCACTCCTCCAACTGTCTTAGAAACATCATTTATGTGACACACACCTTCACTCTATATGCACAATCTTGTACCACAATTTGTCTTTTTAATGGATATGGCCATCTGGTCTGTAAACCTTTGGAGGATTGGGACCATGTTTTATATTCCTTGTAATCTACATATACTTATTCACTCAATACTACTTTTTTTTTTTTTTAAAGACAGAGTCTCAGTCTGTCGCCCAGGCTGGAGTGCAATGGCACAATCTCGGCTCACTGAAATCTCCACCTCCCAGGTTCAAGCAATTCTCCAGCCTCTGCCTCCCGAGTAGCTGGGATTACAGGCATGTGCCATCACGCCTGGCTAATTTTTGTATTTTTAGTAAAGACAGGGTTTCACCATGTTGGTCAGGCTGGTCTTGAACTCTTGACTTCAGGTGATCCACCCGCCTCAGCCTCCCAAAATGTTGGGATTACAGGCATGAGCCACCACACGTGACCTCACTCAATACTTACTGAACACCTACTATAGATATTAGACACTGAGCTAGATAAACACAATATGCATTCAGTAAATGCTGTTGAGGACAACCATTTCAACAAAGTCCTAGGACCTAAATCTTCCAAAGCAATTTAGGGAAGCTCTGGGAACTCAGGAAGTCTGATCCCTACTCCTGGGCTAAGCAGTTTATATTCATTATCTCATCCAGTCCTCAGAGATAGGTAACTTCCTCAGAATCAAATTACTAGTAGGGTGGAGGTGATGTCAAACCCCAAAGCATATGCTCTTAACTGCTATACTCTTCTGTCTCCCAGAAAGGCACAAACGGCTAAACTAACAACGAGATTAAGTGGTACATACGTCACATTTCAGCCAACCTTTACTTCCTCTAGAGCATTCTCCCTCCCAACTGTATCTCCTTTGTGCTCCTAAAGTGCTTTCTGCTCACCCACCTCTATCAAAACATGTATCTATCATACCAAGATCAGCAACAGGCTGTTTACCTGTTTGTCTCCCTGATTTCACTAGGAGCTCCATAGGGCACATAACAGAGAAACAGTTAAGTAAGGCCAGGCACAGTGGCTCACACCTATAACCCCAGCACTCTGGGAGGCCGAGGTGGCAGGATCACTTGAGGCCAGAAGTTTGAGACCAGCCTGGCCAAGATGGCAAGACCCCATCTCTACAAAAAATTTTAAAATTGGCCAGGCCTGGTGGTATGTACCTGTAGTCCCAGCTACTTGGAAGGCTAGGATAGGAGGATCGCCTGAGCCCAGGAGGTCGAGGCTGCAGTGAGCCATGAGTGCACCACTGCCCTCTAGCCTGGGTGACAGAGTGAGACCCTGTCTCAAAAAAAAAAAAAGGGTTCTGTAAATGAACAATTTACAAATATATGGTAAACTGTTTGCATAACAAGAGCTAAGGAAGGGGAACTCTGTCCAGCACCTTTTGCATGTCAGACATTTTACCTACAGAATCTCACTCAATTCTCACAACAAATATGCAAAAATTAATTATTCTTATTTTATAGATGAGGAAACTTTGGCTCTGATCGACCTGACCATGTAACTTGCCCAAAGTGACACAGCTGGAAAGCAGCAGAGCAAGTCTGTTTATTTATTTATTTATTGGAGACAAGGTCTCAACTTTGTTGCCCAGGCTGGAGTGCAGTGGTGCAATCGTGGCTCGCTGCAGCCTCAACCTCCTGGGCTCAAGTGATTCTCCTCCCTTAGCTTCCTGAGTACCTGGGACTACAAGTGCACATCACCATGCCTGGCTAATTTTTTAAATTTTTTTGTAGAGACAGGGTCTCACTATGTTGCCCAGGCTGGTCTTGAACTCCTGGCCTCAAGAGATGTTCCTGCCTTGGTCTCCCAAAGTGCTGGGATTACAGGTGTGAACCACAGTGCCTGTGCCTAGTGAGCAAGTTTGTTTAGTTCCAAAGTGGAGCTCTTTTCATTACACCAAGTGACAGTCTTGGGCAAATATGAAGTGGTGATGAAAAGGGAAAACCTCGAGTCCTCAGAGGCATAAACGGACAAAGATGACTCCTTTCTGAAGTGAGGAGTTATGTCCAAGGGAGATAGGACTTCAATACTATTTGAGCACTGGAAATGTGGGATTTGATGGGTTGGGAGCTGACCTTCAGGCATGACATACAGCTGTAAGAAGGCAAAAGAGGTACAAGTGTGGTGACTCCTAATTGCCTGAACCATTGCCTGAGCTTTTTTCCTGATTGTGCTTCTTGGCTCCAATCAACGCCTCACATTGCTGACAAAGATGACTTTTTAAAATACAGAGCTCATCACTGCACCCTTGCAGCTCTCAAAAGCTTACAAAGTTCCTGACTGCCTAGAAAATAAATTGCCATGCTCTGCTAAAATCTCCCTTGCAGTTTTATCTAAACCTGAACACTCACTCAATCATCAAACACCCTCCATTCAGAGGTCCTTGCCCCCATTAGCTCCCACTAGCCCCACGGGCCTAGAAAGCTGTCTGTCTCTCAGTCCTGCCTGATAATCAAAGTTAACTTCAAAGACCCCTCTTCCAAAGTTCCTCTCCTCTTTTCCCTCTGGAAATCCATAGAGCTTAGCAAAGCTACTGTGGTGGTTATTATCAGAATAGTCAGTGTCTCTGATAGGAAGCCAGTGACATACTACTGGGAAGTACAGCACACTGGTTTAGAGCCTCCTATTCAAACCGTGGTCCTCAGACCAGCAGCAGCAGTGTTTGAGCGCTTGTTGTTAACATCAAGTTCCTCCCCAGACCTCATGAATCAGGATCCGCTTTTTTTTTTTTTTTGAGACAGGGTCTCACTTTGTTGCACAGGTTGGAGTGCAATGGTGCAATCTCGGCTTACTGCAACCTCTGCCTTCCAGGCTCAAACGACCCTCCTGCCTCAGCCTCCCTCAGCCTGGGACCACAGGCGTGCACCACCACGCCCGGCTAACTTTTGTATTTTTTTGTAGGGACGGGTTTTCGCCCTATTGCCCATACTGGTATCGAATT
This sequence comes from Homo sapiens, assembly GCF_000001405.40. Taxonomy (NCBI): domain Eukaryota; kingdom Metazoa; phylum Chordata; class Mammalia; order Primates; family Hominidae; genus Homo; species Homo sapiens. The sequence continues at coordinate 78,078,951 of NC_000011.10, forward strand.
CCTGAGCTCAGGCGATCCGCCCGCCACGGCCTCCCAAGGCGCTGGGATTACAGGTGTGAGCCACCTCGCGCAGCCCAGAATCCGAATTTTAACAAGACACCTATGCTATTCGTATGCACATTAAGTTTGAGAAGCACTGGTGTCCAATATCCATTCAGAGGTCAAAAAAAAAAAAAACCAAGCTCTGCTACTTAATAGCCATATGACCTTGGGCAAGCTGCTGTTAATCTGTTAGGCTCGGTTTCCTCGTTGTGAATAATACATCCCTAAAAGTGTTTTAAGGCCGAAATGCTATCAATAATGCCCACAGTGTGAGTAGTGCATGGCATGGAGTCATGGCTCATTTGCGCACACAGCACAACACGAACTGAGGAGAGTAGTTTCGGGTCCTTCACAGACTCAGTTCCTGCTTCACTGCACCTCAGTTTCTTCAAGTGCCAAATGACACTCTGGCTCTGCTTGATTCTAAAGAGCTAATGGGGCGCGGACTCCCCGGAAAGGCGAGATGGGGCCAGCTAGGCAAAAAGGCACGGAAAAGCAGAGCACCTCAGGGGGGCCTACGGCCGGGCCAGTCTGCAGCCCTACGACCCCTTCTCCTCCCAGCCGATCCCGGCCGCGCAGCACTCACCAGCCGTCGCGATCGGCCTCCGCCGGATTAGGTTATCAATCAGGCCGGAGCAGTAGCCCAAGAAGCCGATGTAGAGGAGCCGCGGGTCGGTCAGCTTGGGCGGGGGCAGGCTCCGGGCCTCATCCGGCAGAAACCGTAAGGGTTCTGGGTTCCGCCGTGCGATCATGGTGACGCCGTTTCCACTTGAGGCCTGGTCTCAGACCACGAACTACAAGGAAAACCACGACGACCACTACCCCGGCCTAAGCGGTCAGCTTTCTCCTCCTCCTCTGCGCGCCGGACTCACGGGCACGGCGCAGCGCGGTGCAGCGCCCAAACGCTTCCCGGTACGTGTTGCTGCGGGAACCCGGCACGCGAAGTTCCGGGCTACTAAGTTTCACTTTGCTCGTCCGCCCGCGCTAATTCTCTGGTGGGAGTGGGATTCACGGGCCTGGTAACGCGGGGTCGAGGAGTACCCCAAACGAGCCAAACTGGGCGAAGACTAGGAGATACTGATTTTCTTTTCTCCCAACTTCCCCAACCAGAATTGCCTCTCCCTCCCCTGCCCCTTCTGGAAAGATTTATCTTTTCATCCAATACCCACAAATGGGCATGATGCGTAGTTTTGATAAACGTAATTAATTGAAATTCCATAAAAGCTAGTTTTCGTTTTCTGAGTTTTCAGTCGTTCATTCGCATAGACACTCCCTCCAAAGCCTAAAATTAAGGTCTGGCCAGCAACAAAAGAATTTAGAGAAGCCCAGGACTGGATCGTTTTAGTCTATTGTTGAAATTCAGATTCGGAGGCAGCACCCTAAAATGTTTCACCTCTGGGTCTTCACGTCGTTACACATGGCTGAGTGAGGAGGTGTTCCCTAAAGGTTTGAGTAATGAGGCCAGGCGCCGTCACTCACGCCTGTAATCCCATCACTTTGGGAGGCTGAAGTGAGCGGATCACTTCAGGAGTTCAAGACCAGCTTGGCCAACATGGTGAAATCCCATCTCTACGAAAAATACAAAAAATTAGCTGGGCGTGGTGGCGGGTGCCTGTAGTCCCAGCTACTGGGAAGGCTGAGGCAGCATAATCGGCTGCTCGGGAAGCTGAGGGGGGAGAATCGCTTGAACCTGGGAGGTGGAGGTTGCAGTGAGCCGAGATCGCACCATTGCATTCCAGCCTGGTCAACAAGAGCGAAACTTCGTCTCAAAAAGAAAAAAAAAAAGGTTTGAGTAATGAAAGAAGGAATTTATAATTCTGTTAAGCAATTTTCCAGTCTCTGCTGTCAGGCCTCTCAGCCGAAGCTCAACCATTGTAACCCCTGTGACTTGCACATATGCGTCCAGATGGCCTGCGGGAGCCAAGAAGTCTGGGGCAGCCAAAAACCCACAAAAGAAGTAAAACAGCCACTTCCTGCCTTAACTGATTAACAAACATTCCACCATTGTGACTGGTCCCTGCCCTACCTTAACTGATCAACCATCCTTGTGACATTCTTCTTCTGGACAATAAGTCTTATGATCTCCCCATCATGTACCTTGTGACCCCCTCCCCTGCTAACAATAGATAACAACCACCTTTTACTGTAATTTTCCATTACCTACCTAAATCCTATAAAGCAACCCCTTCCCCATCTCCCTTCATTGATTCTCTTTTCGGACTCAGCCCACTTGCACCCAAGTGAATAAACAGCCTTGTTGCTCACACAAAGCCTGTTGGTGGTCTCTTCACACGGATGCATTTGACATTTGGTGCTATGACTTGGATCGGGGGACCTTCCTTGGGAGATCAATCCCCTGTCCTCCCGCTCTTTGCTCCGTGAGGAAGATCTACCTACGACCTCGGGTCCTCAGACCAGCCCAAGGAACATCTCACCAATTTTAAATCGGGTAAGTGGCCTCTTTCTACTCTCTTCTTCAACCTCTTTCACTATCCCTCAACCTCTTTCTCCTTTCAATTTCGGCACCACCCTTCAGTCTCTCCCTTCCCTTAATTTCGGTTCCTTTCCCTGTCTGGTAGAGACAGAGGAGACCCGTTTTATCTGTGGACCCAAAACTCTGGCGCTGGTCATGGACTCGGGAAGACTGTCTTCCCTTGTGTTTAGTCACTGCAGGGACGCCTGCCTGATTATTCACCCACATTTCAGAGGTGTTCGATCACTGCGGGGACACCTGTTTTGATCTTCCACCTTGGTGGCAAGTACCACTTCCCCTGGGTGGCAAGTACCACCCCCCCTCTCTCCATGTCTCAACCTCCTCCTTTCTCTAAACTTACCTTTTTACTATGGGCAACCTTCAGCCCTCCATTCCTTCTTCTTCCTCTCTTAGCCTGTGTTCTTAAAAACTTAAAACCTCTTCAACTCTCACCTGACCTAAAACCTAAGTGTCTTATTTTCTTCTGCAACACCACTTGGCCCCAATACAAACTTGATAATGGCTCTAAATGGCCAGAAAAGAGCACTTTCGATTTCTCCAGCCTACAAGATCTAGATAATTTTTGTCATAAAATGGGCAAATGGTCTGAGGTGCCCTACATCCAGGCATTTTTTACACTTCGTTCCTTCCCTAATCTCTGTTCCCAGTGCGACTTGCCGCAAATCTTCCTTCTTTCCCTCCCGCCTGTCCCTTCAGTCCCAACCTGAAGTGCCGGTGAGTCTTTTGAATATTTCTTTTCTACCGACCCATCTGACTTCTACCCTCCTCCCTAGACTGCTCCTCCTCAGGTCGCTCCCCACCAGGCTGAATCAGCTTCCAACTCTTCCTCAGCCTCCACTTCCCCACCCTACAACCCTTCTATCATCTCCCCTCCCCACACCTGGTCCAGCTTACAATTTCGTTCTGCGGCAAATACTCCCCCACCTGCCCAATAATTTCCTCTTCAAGAAGTGGCTGGAACTGAGGGCATCGTCAGAGTGCATGTACCATTTTCTCTATCAGACCTTTCCCAAATTAATCAACACTTAGGCTCCTTCTCGTCAGACCCCACCAAATATATACATGAATTCCAGTATTTAACCCAGTCTTACAATTTAACCTGGAGTGGCTTAAATGTCATCCTAATTTCTACCCTCTCCCCAGATGAATGGGAAAGAGTGTTTCCTCTAGCCTAGTCCCACACAGACACCCACTGGCATTATGAGCCAGGCCTCCAGGAAGGTATTACAGACGGTTCCCTGAGAAGATCCCCAGTGGCACTATCAGGCAGGTTCCTCAGGTATAGCTAGGTGAGATTACATGATTTCCTGCCTAGTTGAAGGGCTTAAAAAGGCAGCATACAAATCTGTTAATTATGACAAACTTAAAGAAACTACCCAAGGTAAAGATGAAGACCCAGCCCAGTTCATGGCCTGTTTGGTGGCTACCCTTAGATGCTTTATAGCCCTAGACCCTGAAGGGCCAGAAGGCTGTCTTATTCTTGATATGCATTTCATCACCCAGTCAGCTCCTGACATCAGAAAAAAGCTTCAAAAATTTGAATCTGGCCCTCAAACCCCACAACAGGAATTAATCAACCTCGCCTTCAATGTGTACAATAATAGAGAAGAGGCAGCCAAGCAGAAACACATTTCTGAGTTACAATTACTTGCCTCTGCTGTGAGACAAAACCCAGCTGCACCTCCGGCACACAAGAACTTCAAAATGCCTAAGCTGCAGTGGTCAGGCTTTCCTACAGGACCTCCTCCCTCAGGATCTTGCTTCAAGTGCCAGAAATCTGGCCAGTGGGCCAAGGAATGCCTGCAGCCCAGGATTCCTCCCAAGCCATGTTCCATCTGTGCAGTGACCCACTGGAAATCAGACCGCCCAGCTCACCCGGCAGCCACTTCCAGAGCCCAGCCCCTAAAGCTCTGGCCCAAGGGTCTCTGACTGACTCCTTACCAGACCTGCTCAGCTTAGTGGCTGAAGACTGACGCTGCCCAATCACCTTGGAAGCCCCCTGGACCATCATGGATGCCAAGCTTCGGGTAACTTTCACAGTGGAGGGTAAGTCTGTCCCCTTTTTAATCGATACAGGGGCTACCCACTCCACATTACCTTATTTTCAAGGACCTGTTTCCCTTGCCCACATAACCATTGTGGGTATTGACAGCCAGGCTTCTAAACCTCTTAAAACTCCCCAACTTTGGTGACAACTTGTACAACATTCTTTTATGCACTCCTTTTTAGTTATTCCCACCTGCTCAGTTCCCTTATTAGGTTGAGATGTTTTAACAAAATTATCCACCACCCTGACTATTCCTGGACGACAGCCACATCTCATTGCCACCCTTCTTCCCAACCCAAAGCCTCCTTCACTTCTTCCTCTTGTATCCCCCCACCTTAACCCACAAGTATGGGATACCTCTACTCCCTCCCTAGCAACCGATCACACACCCATTACTATCCTATTAAAACCTAATCACTCTTACCCCCCTCAGTGCCAGTGTCCCATCCCACAACAGACTTTAAAGGGACTAAAGCCTATTATCTCTCGTCTGCTACAGTATGGGCTTCTAAAGCCTCCAAACTCTCCTTACAATTCCCCCATTTTACCTGTCCAAAAACCGGACAAGTATTACAAGTTAATTCAGGATCTGTGCCTTATCAACCAAATTGTTTTGCCTATCCACTCTGTGGTGCCCAACCCGTACACTCTTTTGTCCTCAATACCTTCCTCCACAACTATTCCGTTCTTGATCTTAAAGATGCTTTTTTCACTATTCCCCTGCACCCCTCGTCCCAGCCCTCTTTGCTTTTACCTGGATTGACCCTGACACCCATCAGTCCCAGCAACTTACCTGGGCTGTACTGCCACGAGGCTTCAGGGACAGCCCTCATTCCTTCAGCCAAGCTCTTTCTCATGATTTACTTTCTTTCCACCCCTCTGCTTCTCACCTTATTCAATATATTGATGACCTTCTACTTTGTAGCCCCTCCTTTAAATCTTCTCAACAAGACACCCTCCTGCTCCTTCAACATTTATTCTCGAAACCATTATATAAACTCAGAAAGGGAAACCTAGCCAACCCCACAGATCCTAAATCCTTTCCCCACTCCTCTTTCCATTCCTTGAAAACAGCTCTAGAAACTGCTACCACACTAGCTCTCCCTGACTCATCCCAACCCTTTTCATTACACACAGCTGAAGTACAGGGCTGTGTGGTCGGAATTCTTACACAAGGACCGGGACCGCGCCCTGTAGCCTTTTTGTCTGAACAACTTGACCTTACTGTTTTAGGCTGGCCCTCATGTTTGCGTGTGGCAGCTGCCACCGCTCTAATACTTTTAGAGGCCCTTAAAATCGCAAACTATGCTCAACTCACTCTCTACAGTTCTCATAACTTTCAAAATCTATTTTCTTCCTCAAACCTGATGCATATACTTTCTGCCCCTCCAGCTCCTTCAGCTATACTCACTCTTTGTTGAGTCTCCCATAATTACCATTGTTCCTGGCCCAGACTTCAATCCGGCCTCCCACATTATTCCTGATACCACACCTGACCCCCATGACTGTATCTCTCTGACCTACCTGGCATTTCAACTTCTGTCACAACCTTCCATTGTCTTTCTAATGACTTTCCTGCTAGCATTACAGATATATCACAAACTTTATCAGTCCTTCGGGCCCAGGTCGGTTCCTTAGTCGCAGTTGTCCTCCAAAATCACCAAGGCCTTGACCTACTCACTGCTGAAAAAGGAGAACTCTGCATATTTTTAAATGAAGAATGTTGTTTTTATCTAAATCAATCCAGCCTGCTATATGACAACATAAAAAAGCTTAAAGTTAGGGCCCCAAAACTCGCCAGCCAGGCAAATAATTATGCTGGACCTACCTGGGCACTTTTTAACTGGGCGTCTTGGCTCCTTCCTACTCTTAGTCCCCTGGTACCTGTTTTTCTCCTTCTCTTATTTGGGCCTTTTGTCTTTCATTTAGTCCCTCAATTCACACAAAACCGCATCCAGGCCATCACCAATCATTCCATACTGCAGTTGCTGCTTCTAACAACCCCATGGTACTATCCGGTGCCCCAAAATCTCCCCACAGCCTAAACTTCTATTCCTCGTCCTATTATACTCCTTCTCACCTTTAGGACTAAACCAGTGATGAACTCCTGGCAACATCCAGACAAGACCAAGCTTCTGTGCAACACCCCCTCCAAACGGCTGTCCAAACATACTTCCAGGCCTGCTTCACCCGTTCCTCTAAACCATAATCTCTGAGGACCTGCTGTCTATAAAAACAACTTCCTTCAGGCCTTGTCCTCCAAAATGTTCCCCACCCCCAAAATCAAAGACCTCTGAATTAAAAATCTAAAATGCCTGGGGTGGCAGCTGTCAAATCCTTGCCCATGGGGTCCTCAGGCCTACTCATATAGAAATGACCAGCAATATGCATATAGAGGACCAGTTCCACATATCTGGCACTCAGGTCAACATCCAGGACGACACATGGTCTGTCATTGGTTATTAGAAGGCCTAGGACATTTCTCTCTTTGCCAGCCCCAACTTATTCCAGGAGACAGGGACTATTGTACTTACTGTCTTTCCTGTATAGGGTCTGCAGTAAGGACTATTGAACTCCTCCATTCAAAACACCACTCACACCTTTGGGAAAAAAGTAACATAATAGACTTTTGGCTCGATGCCAGGGGATCCTATTCATATGATGGCAAATGGGGACAAAAGGCCTTGGTATATAAAACGTTATTCCTACCTTGGCCTAAAAACTCACTGCCACCTACCTTAAAGCTATTATGCTTAATTGCTATTTTTAGATAATTTATTCTACTAGGAGAATTCCAAGCTCAAAAATATGCTAACTGGTGCCTTGTTAGCCACACAAAATTGTACCCGAAAACTTTCTAGACCAACTCACTATAAAATTAAATTTTCTTTAGGTGTCCATGCTGCCCCTAAGTCATGCCTGAAGCAGCCCTGAGAAACATCGCCCCTGCCCCAATAATCCCCAGTAAAAACTTATATTTTCTTTATCTTTTCTTATAACTTTATATTTTATAAATAAAAAGACAGGAATGTCAGGCCTCTGCGCCGAAGCTCAGCCATTGTAACCCCTGTGACTTGCACATATGTGTCCAGATGGCCTGCAGGAGCCAAGAAGTCTGGGGCAGCTGAAAAACCACAAAAGAAGTAAAACAGCCAGTTCCTGCCTTAACAGATTAACCAACATTCCACCATTCCACCATTGTGACTGGTCCCTGCCCTACCTTAATGGATCGATTGACCTTGTGACATTCTTCTTCTGGACAATGAGTCTTATGATCTCCCTACCATGTACCTTGTGACCCCCCTCCTCTGCTAACAATAGATAACCACCTTTTAGTGTAATTTTCCATTACCTACCCAACTCCTATAGGGCAACCCCTTCCCCATCTCCCTTCGCTGACTCTCTTTTCAGACTCAGCCCACTTGCACCCAAGTGAATAAACAGCCTTGTTGCTCACACAAAGCCTGTTGGTGGCGTCTTCACACAGACATGCGTGACATCTGCTCACCCACCTCTAATACTGCAGATTGAACAGTTCCCTTTGGAAAGCCCTTCCTGATGTTGAGCTAAAATGTCTTCCTGTCATGTCCATTCATTAGTAGAATAAACATTTTATCCAAATGAGGCTGATTAAACCAGAGGTTTATGCAAAGGTGTATGCATCAAAGATAGTGATTTCCTGAGTGGAAGAATTAAATACCAGCTAAGAGTGATTACATAAAGCATGGACCTTTTATCTCTATAGAAAAAACGCTACCTGACAATATTTCAAGTTAGAATTTTGCTTTTCTTTTTCTCAAGTCAGGGTCTCATTCTGTCACACAGACTGGAGTGCAGTGGTGCGATCATGCTGGCTAATTTTTAAATTTTTTGTAGACAGGGTCTGCTATGTTGCCCAGGTTGGTCTAGAGCTCCTGGGCTCAAGGGATCCTCCTACCTTGGCCTCCCAAAGTGCTGGGATTACAGGCATGAGGCACCTCGCCCAGCCCAAATTAGGATTTTTCTGGAGTGTATATTAGCACTTTCCTGAAAGGCAGCAAATGTTTCAAAAGTTCACACCCTTTAACTCAATAATTACACATCTAGGAATCTTATTCTCTGAAAATAGTATAGCATGGAAAACGTTTTTTGCACAAATTTTTGTTTTTTTAACCACAGTGTTTCTTTTAAAATGTTATTAAAAGAATAAAAACAACCAAAAATGTTCCTCAGAAGCAATATGTAAATTCTGAATACCAGATAAACTACTAGGCAAGCATCTAAAATAAAGTTTACAGATTTTCTTAAAACATGATGAAATACTTGTGTATTCAATGGATATTCCAAGGCTCAGCTTCTATAAAAAAAATCTAACTCTGAGTAAGGGGATCCATAACAGAAGCCTAGCCCACTGCTCCTCAACACATAACCCCCACAATCTTCTGGGCCTGTTTTTTTATGAGACAGAGGTTCACTTTGTCGCCCAGGTTGGAGTGCAGTGGCGCGATGTCAGCTAACTGCAACTTCTGCCTCCCTGGTTCAAGCAATTCTCTTGCCTCAGCCTCCCCAGTAGCTGGGATTACAGGTGTGTGCCACCATGTCCTGCTAATTTTTGTATTTTTAGTAAAGATGGGGTTTCGCCCTGTTGGCCAGGCTGTTCTCAAACTCCTGACCTCAAGTGATCTGCCCACCTCGGCTTCCCAAAGTGCTGGGATTACAGGCGTGAGCTACTGCAACTGGCCCTGTTTTGTTTTGCTTTGTGGGGTTTTTTTTTTTTTTTTTTGAGACCGAGTCTCACTCTGTCACCCAGGCTGGAGTCCAGTGGCACAATATCGGCTCACTGCAAGCTCCGCCTCGGGTTCATGCCAATCTCCCGCCTCAGCCTTCCGAGTAGCTGGGACTACAGGTGCCCGCCACCACACCCAGCTAATTTTTTGTATTTTTAGTAGAGACGGGGTTTCACCGTGTTGGCCAGGATGGTCTCGATCTCCTGACCTCATGATCTGCCCACCTTGGCCTCCCAAAGTGCTAGGATTACAGGCGTGAGCCACTGCACCCGGCTGTTTGTTTTGTTTTTTTGAGACGGAGTGTCACTCTTGTTGCCTATGCTGGAGTGCAATGGTGCGATCTTGGCTCACCACAATCTCTACCTCCTGGGTTCAAGTGATTCTCCTGCCTCAGCCTCCCGAGTAGCTGGGATTACAGGCATGCGCCACCACGCCTGGCTACTTTTGTATTTTAGTAGAGATGGGGTTTCTCCATGTTGGTCAGGCTGGTCTCGAACTCCTGAACTCAAGTGATCCACCTGCCTCGGCCTCCCAAAGTGCTGGGATTACAGGTGTGAGCCACCACGCTTGGCCCAGATCTATGATGTGCAAATATTTTCTTCCATTCTGTAAGCTGCGTTTTCACTCTGCTTCCTTTGATGTACAGGAGTTTTAAAGTTTGATGTATTCCCGGCCGGGCGCAGTGGCTCACACTCCTAGCACTTTGGGAGGCTGAGGCAGGCGGATTGCCTGAGCTCAGGAGGTCGGGACCAGCCTGGGCAACATGGTGAAACACCGTCTCTACTAAAATACAAAAAATTAGCCGGGCGTGGTGGCGGGCGCCTGTATTCCCAGCTATTCAGGAGGCTGAGGCTGGAGAATCACTTGAACCCAGGAGGTGGAGGTTGCAGTGAGCCGAGATCATGCCACTGCACTCCAACCTGGGTGACAGAGCAAGACTCCATCTCCAAAAAAAAAAAAAAGTTTGATGTAGTCCCATTTGTCTAGTGTTGCTTTTGTTACCTATATTTTTGGTGTCATATCCAAGAAATCATTGCAAAATCCAGTGTTCTGAAGCTGTTTTCTTTTCTTTTCCTTTTTTTTTTTTTTTTTTTTTTTTTTGAGACAGGGTCTCAGTGTCGCCCAGGCTGGAGTGCAATGGCACAATCTTGGCTGACTACAACATCCGCCTCCTGGGTTCAAGTGATTCTCCCACCTCAGGTTCCCAAGTAGTTGCGATTATAGGCGTGAGACATCACACCAGTTAATTTTTTTGTATTTTTAGTAGAGACAGGGTTTCGCCATGTTGGCCAGGCTGGTCTCAAACTCCTGGCCTCAAGTGATCCACCTGCCTCGGCCCCCCAAAGTGCTGGGATTACAGGCATGAGCCGCCACGCCTGGCCTGAAGTTGTATTTTCTTCTAGGAGTTTTAGATCTTATAGTTAGGCCTTTAATCCATTTTGAGTTGGTTTTTTTTTTTTTTTTTTTTTTTTTCTGAGACAGAGTCTTACTCTGTCACCCAAGCTGGAGTGCAGTGGCGCAGTCTCGGTTCACTGCAACCTCCACTTCCCGGGTTCAAGCAATTCTCCTGCCTCAGCCTCCCAAGTAGCTGAGATTACAGGTGCCTACCACCATGCCTGGTTAATTTTTGAATTTTTAATAGAGACAGGGTTTCACCATGTTGGCCAGGCTGATCACGAACTCCTGACCTCAGGTGATGCACCCACCTTGGCCTCCCAAAGTGCTGGGATTACAGGTGTGAGCCACCATGCCTGACCATTTTAATTTTTGTACGTGGTATAAGGTAAGGTTCCAACTTCATCTTTTGCATGTGGATATTCAGTTTTCCCAACACAGACTATCCTTTCCCCCGTGTATAGTCTTGGCACTCTTGATGAAGATCACTTGGCCATATACACAATGGTTTATTTCTAGGCTCTCTATTCTGTACCATTGGGTCTATCTATGTGTGTATGCCAGTACCATATCATCTTTTTTTTTTTTTTTTTTTTTTTTTTTGAGATGGAGTCTTGCTCTGTTGCCCAGGCTGGAGTGCAGTGGCACGATCTCGGCTCACTGCAACCTCCACCTCCCGGGTTCAAGCGATTCTCCTGCCTCAGCCTCCCAAGTAGCTGGGACTACAGGTGCATGCCACCACACCCGGCTAATTTTTTTGTATTTTTAATAGAGGTGGGGTTTCACCGTGTTAGTGAGGATGGTCTCGATCTCCTGACCTGGTGATCTGCTGAGTCTGTCCCGCAGACTCTGGCTGAGCAATGGATGAAAGAAGTACACTGACACAGGTGTTTTGCCTGACAGCGCAGCTAGGGCTCAGCACCACTGACGAGAGAGTGCAGCAGCCACCGAGAGAGTGCAGTCCCAATAAGCTGGCCCTGCTCGCATTTATGTAGTACATATTTAATGACAAAGGGTTGAAGCAAACACAGTTTGTGGGTAATAAACATTGTTGACCCCCCAGGTAGAGAGCAGTCCTGTGCTCGAATGATCAAAGGTTGGTTTCTGGAGACAGAAGTAAACAAATTTATCTAGATAAGTTTCTTTACATTCCCTTGTTATCTGCCCTTTGCTCTCAGGCTCCGGATAAGAAAATTTGACTGCCTTCAGCCATAATTCCCTTCCGAAGCTTTTGGAAAACCTCCCGGCCTTCCAAGAAGGTTTGCGTCTTTCCCTATAACTTTTTCTTACAACTTTTCCCACCACCCTGACAGAACTCCTACAGTGATCCACCCGCCTCAGCCTCCCAAATTGCTAGGATTACAGGTGTGAGCCACCACACCCAGCCCCGCCCCGCCCTTTTTTTTTTTTGAGTCAGTCTTACTCTTTGGTGCAGGCTGGAGTCCAGTGGCATGATCATGGCTCACTGCAGCCTCAACCTCCTGGGCTCAAGAGATCCTCCCACCTCAGCCTCCTAAGTAGCTGGGGCTACAGGCCTACACCACCCCAGCTGCCTAATTTTTTTTTTTTTTTTTTTGAGACAGAGTCTTGCTTTATCGCCCAGGAAGGAGTGCAGTGGCGCGATCTCGGCTCACTGCAAGCTCTGCCTCCCAAGCTCACACCATTCTCCTGCCTCAGCCTCCCAAAGTGCTGGGATTACAGGTGTGAGCTACCACACCCGGCCTTCAGCTGGCTAATTTTTTAAATTTTTTGTAGAGATGGAGCCTCACTATGTTGTCCAGAATGGTCTTGAGCTCCTGGGCTCAAGCAATCCTTCCACCTCGGCCTCCCAAAGCATTGGGATTACAGGTGTGAGCCACTGTGCTAGCCTTATATATACACTCTGATGCTAATCTTTTGTTAAATATATGGCAGATATCTTTTCCAACTATTCTGCTTGCCTTTGAATGTTATTTATGGAGTCTGGGGTGGTTGTCATAAAGTGTAAACTATTGGTTTAGTAAAATGTATCAATCTTTTTCTTTGTTGTCTATGTTTTTAATATTATTAAGAAGCCTTGTTTTTTCTAAGACCATAAAGATATGCTCAGATATTTTCTTCCCAAGTTTTAGCTTTGCATGTTTAATCCATTCGAATTTTTGTTTTTGTGTTGAGTGTGAGGAATATTACACGTGAAAACTGGCCGAACATCATTTATTATTAAAGTCCATCTTTTCCCTACTAGTATTTAATGCCTCCTTTAATACACATCACGTTCTCACAAATGCCATGGTCTATTTCTGAAATCTACTTTGTTCCACAGTTCTCTTTACCAATTACTATACCCATATCATACAATCTAATAACCATAGTGTTGAATTGTTCTTTAATATCTGATAGGGTGTATCATCTACTTTTTTTCAAAGCTAATACATGTTAGCAATTATTATTATTACTATTCGTACACCTTTAGACTTCCTTATGATTTTAAAATCACCTTGTCAAGTTATTTGAAAAATCTCATTAGGGTATTGATTAGAATTTCATTAAATTTATAGACTCCTATGGAAAGAACTGATATATTTAAAATGCTGAGTCTTCTGATCTATGAACATGGTATATATTTATGCATTTATTCAAATTTCCTTTTATATCCCTCAATAAACCATTAGCATTTTCTCTACAAAATTCTTGAACATTTTCACTAGTATGTCTCTAGATATTTATAGTTTTTGTTACTGTTGCAAATATCTTTATATTCTATTACTTTTCTAATTGGTTAATTAGAATGCTGCTCTTGTAGTCAGCAATTTTGCTACACTTTCCTATTAGTTCCAATAGTTTTCCACTTGATTCTGTTGGGTTTCCCCATATCCTTGGCAACCTTTGCCTGTTGTCTGTTGCCATTGCCGAACTTTAATTTTTGCCAGTCTTCTAGTAGAAATGTTATTTCACTATGGTTTTGCTTTTCCTTTATTATTAGCAAAGCTGAATATATTTTCATATTTATTGATTCTTCTATAGTTTCCTCTTCCATGAATGAATTGGTTGTTCATCTTTTACCCATTTTTTAAAAATGTTTTAATTTTTTTTGAAGAGATGGGATTTCACCATGTTGCCTCAGCTGGTCTCGAACTCCTGGGCTCAAACAATTCAACCGCCTTGGTCTCCCAAAGTGTTGGGATTACAGGCATCAGCCACCACACCCAGCCAATCTTTTTCTTTATGGTTTATAGTGTGTCTTTAAAAATTCTTTCTGGCTGGGCCTGGTGGCTCACGCTTGTAACCCCAGCACTTTGGGAGGACAAGGCAGGTGGATCACTTCAGGTCAGGAGTTTGAAACCAACCTGGCCAACATGGTGAAACTCTGTCTCTACTAAAAATACAAAAATTACCTGGGCGTGGGGACTTGTGTTGGTAATCCCAGCAACTTGGGAGGCTGAGGCAGAAGAATTGCTTGAACCTGGGAGGTGGAGGTTGCAGTGAGCTGAGATCGCGCCACTGCACTCCAGTCTGGCCGACAGAGTGAGACTCTGTCTCAAAGAAAAAATGGCAAAGAATATCAACACAGTACTCAGGAGAGAAAACACAAATGGCTACGCTGAGCACAGTGGCTCACACCTGTAATCCCAGCACTTTGGAAGGTGAGGTGAAAGGATCGCTTGAGCCCAGGAGTTCAAGACCAACCTCAGCAATCTAATAAACCATTTCTATTTAAAAAATAATGAAAATAGGGTCAGGTATGGTAGCTCATGCCTGTAATCCCAGCACTTTGGGAGGCCAAGGCAAGTGGATCACTGGAGGTCAGGAGTTCAAGACCAGCCTAAGCAACATGGTGAAACCCTGTCCCTACTAAAAATACAAAAATGAGCTGGGCGTGATGGTGCACACCTGTAGTTCCAGCTACTCAGGTGGCTAAGGCAGGAGAATCTTTTGAATCTGGGAGGTGGAGGTTGCAGTGTGCCGTGATCGTGCCACTGCACTCCAGCCTGGGTGAGGAGCAAGACTCCGTCTCAATCAATCAATCAAATACAAATGGCTTTTAAACATATAAGAAGTTTCTAACCTCTCTCATAAGAGAAATACAAATGAAGATAACAGATGTCACTGGCAAAGCTTGATGACACAGTAAATTGGCAAATGTGTGAATAGGCATCCTTATACATTGCCTGTGAAACAAACTGATGCAACTTCTATCACCAATTTGGCAACATCTATCGAAATTACAACTGAGCATAGCCTTCAATATAGAAATTCTAGTTCTGGCCGGGTGTGGTGGCTTATACCTGTAATCCCAGCACTTTGGGAGGCCGAGGCGGGCGGATTACCTAAGGTCAGGAGTTCGAGATCAGCCTGACCAACATGGAGAAACTCCATCTCTACTAAAAATACAAAAAAAAAAAAAAAAAGAAATTCTAGTTCTATTAAGCATATTCTGAGAGTGAAAAAAAAAGAGAAATTCTAGTTCTAGAAATTTAATTCAACAACATGTGCAGTCCTAGCACACAGGCAGAATGGAATACTGATATTGATATTGATTGCAGTGTTATTCATACTGTCAAAAATGGAAACAACTTAAATGTCCACTAAGAGAAATCTTGTTAAATAAATTCTGGTCCATCTATACAATAGACACTGTAATGAACAGACTCTAAGATGGCCCCAATTATCTCTGCTTCCTGGAACTCATGCTGGTAATCCCCTCCCATACATGTGGGTTGGACATGTAAGTTCTTCTAACAGAATGTGGCAAAGGTGACAGGATGTCACTTTCATGATTACATTACACAAGATCATGACATATTATTATTTTTTGAGACAAGGTCTGGCTCTATCACCGAGGCTGGAGTGCAGTGGTGCAATCTTGGCTCACCGTAACCTCCCCCTCCCAGGTTCAAGCCATCCTCTCACCTCAGCCTCCTGAGTAGCTGGGACTACCATGACCAGCTAATTTTTGTATATTTTGTAGTGACAGTGTTTTGCCCTGTTGCCCATGCTGGTCTCAAACTCATGAGCTCAAGGGATCCATCTGCCTCAGTCTCCCAAAGTGCTGGGATTATAGGCGTTAGTCACCCTGCCTGCCCAAGATCATGACAGCTATCTTGATAGCCAACTTCCTTCCTTGATGTCTTTGATGAAGCTAGCTGCCATGTTGTGACTACCCCATGAAGCGGGTCAATTGACAAGGAATTGAGGGTTGGTTTCCACCCAAAAGCCAACAAGAAACTGAGGCCCTCAGTCCTACAACCCATAGAGAATTGAATTCTGCCAACAACCGTGGAAGCAGATCTTTTCTCAGTCAAACCTTGGGATGAGACCACAACTCTGGGTGGCACCTTGATTGCAGCCTTGTGAGAGATCCTGAAGCAGAGGACCAAGATAAGCTGTGCCTAGACTCCTGACTTACAGAAACTATGAGACAGTAAATGTGTTTTTTTCAGCCACTATGTTGTTACACAGCAATAGATAACTAATACAGATAATATGCAGCTCTTAAAAGAATGATGCAGTTCTATATGTACTGATAACAGAATAAACTCCAAAATATACTAAGCATACAAACACACACACACACACACACACACACACACACAAAAGTGAGGTCAGCAGGCACAGTGGCTCACACCTGTAATCCCAGCACTTTGGGAGGCCGAGGTGGGTGGACTGCTTGAGCCAGGAGCTCAAGACCAGCCTGGGCAAAATGGTGAAACCCCATCTCTACAAAAAATACAAAAATTATCTGGTCCTGGTCATGCCTCCTGTAATCCCAGCTACTTGGGAGGCTGAGGTGGAGGTTGCAGTGAACCGAGACTGCACCACTGTACTCCAGCCTGGGCAACAAAGCAGGACCCTGTCAAAAAATAAATAATAAAAAATGTGAGGTCAAAAGTGTGTATAATGTTTTCATTTATGTACATAAAAATACTTGTCTATGCATAGAATATCTCTGGCATCTCTGGAATGATACATTAAAAAATTGGTAACAATGGTTGCCTCTTGGTAGGGGAACTGGGTAGCTGGGGACCTCACGAATTTTGCTCCATCTACATGAAAGTATAACTCAGAAAATCTGAAAACCATTTGTTCCCATTTGACTTAAAATCAAATTCCCACATGATTTGGGCGCTGCCTACTTCTTCATCTTCAATTTATACCACTCTTCTTTGCTCTTAGGACCCTCTAGCCACTAGAATATAAATTCCTTGTAGGCAGGAATATGGCTTTCTTGTCCACTTTTTGATCTCCAGCACTGAGCACAATGTATAACACTCAATAGAAATTCATTAAATATTTTTGTGAAGTGATAATGGATTTCATTTGCAGTTTTAGTAGGGATTAAGAGATGTAATGTCTAGCACCGTACTTGGCACATAACAGTATGGGGTTTTCCTTCTGTGTATCACTTGAAGGGCTGTTATTTAAATATGAGTAGACCTTCAGTACGTTCTGCTCCAGAAACCAGTAGGAGAAAGTCAGAGAAGGAAAAATACTAATTCATCATTAAAAATGCCCTAACAAACAGCTGCACATATGGGAGGGGCTGCTTTGAGAGGTGAACACTCCCATCCTGCTTTAATCAGCTATCTTTGTCAGAAAAACACTTAAAAAATTAATAAATCTGGTCGGGTGCAGTGACTTATGCCTGTAATCCCAGCACTTTGGGAGGCTGAGGCAGGCGGATTGCCTGAGCTCAGGAGTTCAAGACCAGCTTGGGCAACACGGTGAAACCCTCTTTACTAAAATACAAAAAATTAGCTGGGCGTGGCGGCGTGCTACTCGGGAGGCTGAGGCAGGAAACGCTTGAACCCGGGAGGCAGAGGTTGCAGTGAGCCAAGATTGCCCGGGCGACAGAGTGAGACTCTGTCTTCAAACAATAATAATAATAAATAAAAATAAAAAATATGTGGAATGTACTTCTGAAAGCCTTTCTAGGACTCTGAAATTCTTATAAACAGTCTCTTTTCAGAGCATTGTACAGAGGTATATTGAGTCTTGTCCCTTTCATAGTCACTTTATCAGTACAAATATTTTTGTTGTTTTTTTTTTTAAAGACAGAGTCTAGTTCTGTCACCCAGGCTGGAGTGCAGTGGTGCAATCTCAGTTCACTCCAACCTCCGCCTTCCGGGTTCAAGTAATTCTCCTGCCTCGGCCTCCTGAGTAGCTGGGATTACAGGCACCCACTACCCCGCCTGGCTAATTTTTGTGTTTTTAGTAGAGATGGAGTTTCACCATGTTGGCCAGGCTGGTCTCAAACTCCTGACCTCAAGTGATTCACCTGCCTCAGCCTCCCAAAGTACTGGGGTTACAGGCGTGAGCCACCACACCCAACATATATTGTTTTTTTTTAAGATGGAGTCTCGCTCTGTTGCCTAGGCTGGAGTGCAGTGGCACGATCTCGGCTCACTGCAAGCTCTGCCTCCCGGGTTCACGCCATTCTCCTGCCTCAGCCTCCCAAGTAGCTGGGACTACAGGCGCTCGCCACCACGCCCGGCTAATTTTTTGTATTTTTAGTAGAGATGGGGTTTCAACGTATTAGCCAGGATGGTCTTGATCTCCTGACCTTGTGATCCGCCCGCCTCGGCCTCCAACATATATTGTTTTTGTTTCTGACTCCACAGTTTGAAAAAAAAATTAGTACCTTTATTGACTTTTGTATAAAATGGAGATGCTGAATATGGGACTTCATTGTGAGAAATGAATGGCTATACTGCTTCAAGCTTTTAAGGTTTACATGATCATTCCAATCTTAACTGCCATTAGCACAGTAGCCAATTTCTTTGGAGAACAAACAAAGGGATAGGTGGATTTTTTAAAAAACCAGCATCATGCTATAAGTGTAATTTCATCAAAATCTTAAAGAGAAATATATCTAAAAACAAACGTTCAAACTCTTTTTAACAGATGACTCATGATGCAATTAAAATCAAAATATGTGCATAAAATTGACATTTTAATCAAAAATACATATTTTTCAAAGGTCATTATTTTATTGGCATGTTTTCTTTCCTATTAACTGCAAACAGAAGCTGCATGGGCTATACCTAGGGGGCATTTCTGATACTGAGTGCTTCCTTCACAAAGTTTCAGGGTGGAAGTCTATAACACTATACAAGTCTAAAACACTTAACAAGAAACACTATACCAGAGTTGGGCTAGAAAGACAGCACATCTTCCTAGTAGTTCCCGCCCAGTTCTGGCTCTATGCCTCCACCTGGGGAAAGATACAGTGACCAAGAACACGAAGTCCCACCACTTATTCTTTTATCTTCTTAAATTGTGGCACATTGCATATACATTAATTAGTAGGTAAGAAATGAGTTATGTATCTTATTTGTTTACATTTTGATAATACTATCTTGTTCTTAAACTTTGCTTAATTCCCAATTTCAAAATATTTTGAAACAGCATTTCTTTTTTTTTTAAGATGGGGTCTTGCTGTGTCACCCAGGCTGGAGTGCATTGGCAGGATCATGGCTCACTGCAGCCTCAAATGCCTGGGCTCAAGTGATTCTCCCACTTCAGCTTCCTGAGTAGCTGAGATTACAGGCACGGGCCATCACGCCTGGCTAATTTTTATTTTTGTAGAGACAGGTCTCACTATGTTGCCCAGGCTGGTCTTGAACTCCTGGACTCCAGTGATCCTCCTGCCTCGGTGTCCCAAAGCGCTATGAGCCACCACACGCCACCAGCACTTCATTTATTGACTGAAATTTAGGAATTTGTTGTTGAAAACCACCCATATCTCTGTAAAGTTTTAAAACATGATTACAAAGTATAGTGTTTGGAAAAGAATAAAAGAATCTTGGGCTCTAGACAAAAAGTCTAGATTCTAGTCTGTGTTGGCACCAACAAGGTATTCTTCAGAGTCTGGAGCCATTTCCCTCCCGGTAATATAAGACATTGACTTTTTTTTTTTTTTTTTTTTTTTTTTGAGACAGGGTCTTGCTTACTTCCCCAGTCTGGAATACAGTGGTGTGAACACAGCTCACTTAGCCTCGACTTCCAGGATTCAAGTGATCCTCCCACCTCAGTCTCTTGAGTAGCTGGGACTACAGCGCATGTCACCAGGCTTGGCTAATTTTTTGATTTTTTGTAGACAAAGGGTCTCACTATGTTGCCCAGGCTGGTCTTGAACTCCTGGGCTCAAGTGATCTGTCTGCCTCAGGCTCCCAAAGTGCTGGGATTACAAGTGTGGGTCACTGTGCTCAGCTGAACTGCTTTAAGGCTATATTTGGACTTTGAAGTCAAATGAAAATGTATATGAAGCCATGTGAATATATGAAACAGATCAAAGCTATTTACTATGGACAGAGCCCAGGGCCTCTGAGGCAACACTGAAGAACCTCCAGTGCTCTACAGAACATTCTGGAAATCCCTACACTAGATGAGCTCTTCCCGTTCTGACATCACATCACTTTCATAATAACAACCAAAAAAGTAAATTTGGTCAGGTTGAAATCCATCCAAATTCATCTTCTACTTTTTTTTTTTTTTGGCTTGGACAACAGCAAAGACGTGAGGAACTATACTGGTCCTTTGTGTTAATGCTTGTACTAGTAAAATATTTAGGTTTTAATCATGGCTGGTTTGGTGTGCTTCATTCATTCATTCAACTGTGCTAAAAACTGGGGCTATGAAGACAAGTGTGGTCTCAAACTGCTAGTCTCCTGGGGAAAAGAGGTAAACAAGCATAACACAGTATTACAGCAGTTAATGGTATCAGCAGACTCCTGGCACAGTGGGAGCAACTCAATTCTGCAGGAGGAGGGAAGGTAGAGGGATAGGAAAAGATTCACATAAATAGCAATGCTATTGACCGAGCACTTAAAATGCATCAGGCAGTGTTCTTAATCTTTTATGTAATCATTTTAGAGATGAGAACATTCAGATAAAAGATGGTTAAATAACCTGCCTACAGATTTTAAAAAAAATGATGGAGGCAAGATTTACAACCAGGACATACGACTTTAAGGCCCTACTCTTAATCACTACACCATTCTGCCTTTATATTGACAGACATGGTAGCAGTTAAGCTGAATCTTGAAGAGGTTCATATAATCAGATGACAGGGTAGAAGTCAGCAGAGAGGAGAGGAAGCAGCATGAATGAAAGGGAACAGAGGTACAAGACAGCATGGCACACGGGGAGTTTGAAGTTGTTAGGCCAGCTGGAACACAGGGTGGAGGAGAGTCTGTGGGCAGGAAAACAGGTTAGAGGCGCTACGCTTCCCTCCCCCTTTGGCAAGATCCCCATCTTTGTCTCTGCAATAACAGACCAAAAAGAAGTCTTAGAAAATGGAGTAGACGGAAGAGATGGAATAACTGGATTCCATCTCAGAATGCCATTGACCTTGGAGTCTCTCTGATCTTAGGGGATAATGGGTAAATAAAATGTATGAATTCTGCCTGAGGGCTGAAAAAAAATAGAAATAAAATAAAATGTGTGAAAGTTCCTACTGTTGACTAGATAAACGTTGGCTGAATCTGAATGTGTGGCAGATATTACACAAATTGGGGTCCTGGATAAAAAGCGTATATGAAGTACTCTTAAGGAAGGGAAAGGATAAGAACCAGACTGCAAAAATCACTTCAGTTCCTGCGCATGATGAAAGGTTTAAGTGGCTGCCTTATAAAAACTGCAGTGCTTGCTGTTAGAATAAATGAGCTGCACGAGATATCCTTAAATCAATGTAAAGTAGCTGTGGTTTGTAGTTTCTGCTGCCTGGCCAAACCAGTACCTTAACTACTCCCCTTGGCTTTGTGAGTATTGTCACTGTATAATTTCAAACAAAAAAAATCTCGAACAAGGTGTACAGAATGGGGACAGTACACCATCTGCCTGTGTACACGCCAAGAGGAAAATGTAGGAGCTGGTAACGATCCAGAAGTTTTTTTGTGCATACAAAATAGCATTTCATTTATATTTCCTTAGCACAGGATTCTAATTATGCTTTATATCCTCACAATGGTTAGCATAGGCTACAAATAATTATGCGGTTAATCAGATTCCCTGTTTGGCTTGAGCAAGCACAGCAGTCTGAACGATCTCAGACAATTTTAATAGGGAAAGGTGAGTTTTTTTCAGATGTGTTTCAGTGCTTATGGAGGGCCAGTGGCTTCTCACCATGGTGACAATCCGGTTGCTAGGCTGGGCAAGACCAAGTGTGGAAGAATGGTGCTCTGAACAGTTCTACTGAAACAAATGGCTGATGCCACTGGCAACTTTCTTCAAGTTCTGGTTAATTTCCCATGAAATAATTGCTTGGCACATATCTAAGCAGTTCCTTTATTCATTGTTTCTTTGTCTTGCCAATAGCAGAGTCAATCAATACTGAAACATACAGTTTGAACCAAGCATATGTGATGCCTACTGCACAATACACTGAGGTTAGTAACAAAGGGATGAAGGGGTACTTCACCTTCCAGGAGGTGAAAGGGAATACAAATTCACAGCAGACTTCCAGAGGCCCCAGGCCAAGCAGGTAGAAAGTTTCCATCCAATTAAAAAGAGGTTTTTCTTTTCTGAAGGAAAAAAGAGAGAAAAGTCTGATTTTAGATGAGTCATCCTGGTTTAGCAAACATTTCCTAGCTAAAGCTTCCCCATCTGCACTGTCTTGCTGTCAATTATTATAGCCAAGGCCAGAGTCAAGAGTATATTAAATTTCACATTTAGGGCCAAGTGCAGAGGCTCATGCCTGTAATCCCAGCACTTTGGGAGGCCAAGGCAGGTGGATCACCTGAGGTCAGGAGTTCTAGACTAACCTGGCCAACATGGAGAAACCCCATCTCTACTAAAAATACAAAAATTAGCCGACCAGGGTGGCACAGGCCTGTAATTCCAGCTACTTGGGAGGCTGAGGCAGGAGAACTGCTTTAACTGGGTTGCAGTGAGTCGATATGGCACCACTGCACTCTAGCCTGGGCGACAGAGTGAGACTCTGTCTCAAAAAATAAATAAAAATAAAAAATAAGTTTCACATTTAGAAAAAAATGATAATTATATACGTTATATTATCTCAACAATCTAAATTTACTCCACCATTGACCTATGCTGTTATTTAGCTCAAGCTGCTCAGAGAGAATTAGTTCTGCATTTGAAAGAGGTAAAGGGGTTGGGTGCTGTGACATTGGAATAAGAACATGAGAAACAATATAGAATTGAAGATTTAAAAAAAATTTTCTTTTTGAGATGGAGCGTTGCTCTGTCACCCAGACTGGAGTGCAGTGGTGCAATCTCAGCTTACTGCAACCTCCACCTCCTGGGTTCAAGCGATTCTCTTGCCTCAGCCTCCCAAGTAGCTGGGATTACAGGCGCCTGCCACCATGCCCAGCTAATTTTTGTATTTTCTATAGAGACAAGGTTTCACCAGATTTTTAAAATATTTTTTATTTTGGTAAAATATATATAACATGAAATTTGCTATTTGTTTAACCATTTTTAAGTATACAGTTTGATGGTATTAAGTAGATCAATAATATGCGCCCATCGCCACTATCCACCTTCAAAATATTTTCGTGACCCCAAACAGAAACTCTGGAACCATTAACAATAACTTCCCATCCCCCTGTTCCCTCAACCTCTAATCTACTTTCTGTCTCTATGTTTGTTTATTCTAGAATTTCCTATCAGTGGAACGATATGATATTTGTTCTATTCTCTCGTTTCTTTCACTTAGCATGTTTTCAAGATTCATTCATGTAGCATGTATTGGAACTTCATTCTTTTCTTTGGCTGAATAATCCACTATATGTATATATCACACTTTATCATGTATTTGTTGATGGACATTGGGTTGTTTCCATCTTTTAGCTAGTATGAATAATGCTACAATGAATACTGATGTACAAGTATCTGTTGAGTCCCTGTTTCCATTCTTTTGGGTATAGGGGTGGAATTGCTGGGTCACATGGCTATAACTGCATTTTAACATAGTTAATTATATAAGTTTTTATGGACACAGTTATGAACCATAAGCAAGCTTTAAAAAATTACAGTTGGCCGGGCATGGTGGCTCACACCTGTAATGCCAGCACTTTGGGAGGCCAAGGACGGTGGATCACCTGAGGTCAGGAGTTTGAGACCAGCCTGACCAACATGGAGAAACCCATCTCTACTAAAAATACAAAATCAGCTGGGTGTGGTGGCGCATGCTTGTAATCCTAGCTGCTAGGGAGGCTGAGGCAGGAGAATCGCTTGAACCTGGGAGGCGGAGGTTTCAGTTAGCTGAGATCGTGCCATTGCACTCCAGCCTGGGCAACAAGGGTGAAACTCCGTCTCAAAAAAAAAAAAAAAAAATTATAGTTAACATTACATACAGTTTAGAAGAGAAAAAGTTTCCATCTATAATTCTGTAGTAAAATTTGTACATAGTTGGGTGCGGTGGCTCAACGCCTGTAATCCCAGCACTTTGGGAGGCCGAGGTGGGTGGATCACCTGAGGTTGGGAGTTCAAGACCAGCCTGACCAACACAGAGAAACCCCATCTCTAATAAAAATACAAAATTAGCCGGGCACAGCAGCTCACGCCTGTACTTCCAGCACTATGGGAGGCCAAGGTAAGTGGATCACCTGACGTCAGGAGCTCGAGAGCAGCCTGGCCAACATGGTGAAACCCCACCTCTACTAAAAATATAAAAAATTAGCCAGGTGTGGTAGTGATGCATACCTATAATCTCAGCTACTCAGGAGGCTGAGGCTGGAGAATCGCTTGAACCCAGGAGGCGGAAGTTGCAGTGAGTGGAGATCGCGCCACTGCACTCCAGCCTGGGCGACAAGAGTGAAACTCCGTCTCCAAAAAAAAAAAAATTAGCTGGGCATGGTGGCGCATGCCTGTAATCCCAGTAACTTGGGAGGCTGAGGCAGGAGAATAGCTTGAACCCGGTAGGCGGAGGGTGTGGTGAGCCGAGATCACGCCATTGCCCTCCAGCCTGGGCAACAAGAGCAAAACTCCGTCTCAAAAAAACGAACAAAAAAAATTTGTACATAGTATCTTTTAGTTTTTTCCATATCTATCTGTATTTAATAGTTTTATTCATAAAGCATATTTTACATTCAGTTTTTGAGTTTTCATATAGGATTTTAATTTAAGTAGTCCTCCTCAAATACTCCCCCAAACTAAAGACACAAACTATGTTGTCTCGACTGAGTGATGGGATTGAGTGATTTCTCCCTCTATTTACCAATTTTTTTTGTAATGTTGTCATATTACTGTTATAACTTAAAAATAAAATTTAAAGAGCTTATTTGACCACTTAGGTGTAAACATTTCACAAGAGTAAGTATAATTTTAAACATTTTTTTGATTACCTGAATAAAGTCTTCAGTGACGAAATACTATATATGGTGAATAGTAACATGAGTAAGATTTTAATGGGAAGTTCTGTTAAAAGAATAGAAAAAAAAAGATAATTTAGCTGATGACAGAAAGACTTATGATGCTGAAAGTAATATAAGCACACTGACACAGCTATATAGTGCTAATAATACTTTTTAAGTTTAATTTTACATTTTTGTGACATCTAGAGATGCTGAGAATTACAGGAAATTGGAGGTTTTATTTAAGAGGATGAATGATCTCTATCCAAGAGATTTTAGAGTTGTTTAAATTAGATGTATTAATCTGTGGGCCTCGATGAAAAGGTTGTGATAGTCAAATATATTTTTCTCAGAAGACGCTGTTTACCTGGTGCAGTGAAGAGCAGAGGAAAGAGGGAATAATGTCCTGTTGTGGTCAGAATCAGAAAAATCGAAGCGTCTCCTGCTTTTCCCACAGACAAAAGGCTAAAAATAAAAATAATTTCTTAAAACAACAACTGTTATTACACTTGCAAATAGCTTAAATAAACTGCATCTCCTATTACATTAGAACTGGCTGAGGCATAGAAGAACATGCTGATTTTGGCACAAGTTCAATTTAGTTGAGAATATTAATTTTTTAGTAGGAAATTTTAAGCAATCAATAGCATGTATCAAACTGAATCAGGGGTATCGTAAAAGAATCTTGCTTCTGGCCGGGGACAGTGGCTCATGCCTTTAATCCCAGCACTTTGGGAGGCCGAGGCGGGAGGATCACCTGAGGTCAGGAATTCAAGAGCAGCCTGGCCAACATGGTGAAACCCTGTCTCTGCTAAAAATACAAAAATTAGCTGGGCATGGTGGCGGGTGCTTGTAATCCCAGCTACTCAGGAGGCTGAGGCAGGAGAATTGCTTGAACCTGGGAGGCAGAGGATGCAGTGAGCCGAGATCGCGCCACTGCACTCCAGCCTGGGCAACAGAGCGAGACTCTGTCTCAAAAAAAAAAAAAAAAGAATCTTGCTTCCCTGAGTAATTGCCTTCTCCAAAGACAGGAATGTTGTGGGATTGGGAGCTGCCTAGTGGTGGCAGTCAGGGAAACAGGACTTGGAGTTTCATTTCCAACCCTATAGCTCATCTCTTGGACAATGCCCTTCACCTGCTGGTGTTTGGTGTGAATTCAGACTAAAGACATTAAAAGTTTTTGCTTTACTTTTTAATTTGGAAACTCCAAGCTGCTAAATAAACCCAGACAAGCCACATACTGGCCTGACAAATTTGCTTAATATATGTTCAGAGCTTAAATGATTTCTCAAGATTCAAGAAAAATATAAAGAAAGAGGCTATTATTACCATTTATTTATCTATTGGGTTTCAACTATGCCTAAACTGGACACTTACATTTAAAATGGTTTTTTTAGCATGGCATAGTGAAAAGATCATAGATTCAACATCATAAGATTCAGGTCCTAACTCTAATTCTTGCGACCTGTATGACTTTGGACAAGTCACAAACATTTTGAGCCCTAGATTCTTCAGATGTTAAGACAGGGAATAAGCCTGTTTTGTTGGCTCACATCTGCAATCCCAGCACTTTGGGAGGCTGAGGTAGGAAGACTGCTTGTGCCCAGTAGTTTGAGACCAGCCTAGGCAACATGGCAAGACCCTGTCTCTACCAAAAAGTAAAAAAAAAAAAAAGAAAGGAAAAAAAAGGGAATAATACCCATTTATTTTAACTATCTTTTTTTTTTTTCTTTTTTTGAGACAGGGTCTCACTCTATTGCCCCAGGCTGGAGTGCAGTGGCGCCATCTTGGCTCACTGCAACCTTCACCTCCCAGGTTCAAAGGATCTTCATGCCTCAGCCTCCCAAGTAGCTGGGATTACAGGCATGCACCACCATGCCTGGCTAATTTTTGTATTTTTAGTAGAGATGGGATTTTGCCATGTTGGCCAGGCTGATCTCAAACTCCTGGCATCAAGTGAACCACCGCTTCAGCCTCCGAAAGTACTGGGATTGCAGATGTGAGCCACCATGCCTGGCCAATTATCTTAAAGATTATTGTGAGGCGCAAAAGAAAGAATGCAAAACAAAAACAGTTCTGGAAAATCTGAAATGTAGTACAGTATCAGGTATTATTCCAGAATAGACTAAATCCTTACTTTGACTAACAACACTTAACAAGGAACCATGGGACCTTATTTTCAGACGGGATGACACCAAAGCCCAAGTTTTTTCTTTTTTTCATTTTTGAGACAGAGTCTCCTTCGGTCACCCAGAATGGAATGCAGTGGTGCGATCTCGGCTCACTGCAACCTCTTCCTCCCGGGTTCAAGCAATTCTCCTGCCTCAGCCTCCCGAGTAGCTGGGACTACAGGCATGTGCCACTATGCCCAGCTAATTTTTTGTATTTTTAGTAGAGATGGGGTTTCACCATGTTAGCCAGGATAGTCTCGATCTCCTGACCTCGTGATCTGCCCGCCTTGGCCTCCCTAAGTGCTGGGATTACAGGCGTGAGCTACCGCGCCCGGCCAGCCCAGGTTTTTTCTATAACATACTGTCCCTCAATGATCAGATCTAAAAGCCGGCTTTCATGGTACTTAATCACTACAGTGCTTCTTTCCAAAAACGCAGAAACAGAAATAGTACATGCATTTTTGCATACCTTCATGGGTCCAAGAATCTCAAGTTAAGCATCCCTGTCCTGTCCTAGTGGACATCTGTTCCTATACATCTTTGTTTTTGCCTATCCTGGTGAACATGACAAGAAGGGACAGAGCAAATAGAAAATAGGATCATTGTGAAATATGCCAAAATGCTCACTGGCTGAGCTATCTGCTTACCTCATTGGGAGAATTGCTAGAAGTATGGCTTTTTCATGAACATGCCACCCAAACATAAAGGAGCTCAAGGCACAAAGAGTTAGACATCGGAGAAAGCCTCTGGGCCCTTGGGGTTTAAACCAAAGACAGAAAATAGAGGGCTAGAAACAACAGGCAAAGATAAACTTCAGTATCATTTGAAACAGACTTTACAGAAACAGAGTTCAGGTGAATACAATTTGCATCATCTCTGAAAGACAGCCAATCTTAGACAATTCTTCATGAAACCGAATCATTCATCACTTTGTGCACAGTCTAACAAAAGTTAACATAAAAGCAACAACTCAGAAAAAATTGGCATTTGATGTGTATATATATATTTTTATATGTAAATAAATATATTTTATATGTAAATATATATATATATATATATATATAATTTTTTGTTTTTTTGAGACGGAGTCTCGCTTTGTTGCCAAGGCTGGAGTGCAGTGGTGCGATCTCGGCTCACTGCAACCTCCACCTCCTGGGTTCAAGCGATTTTCCTGCCTCAACCTCCCAAGTAGCTGGGATTACAGGTGCCTGCCACCACGCCCAGCTAATTTTTGTATTTTTAATAGAGACGGGGTTTCACCATGTTGGCCAGGCTGGTCTCAAAATCCTGACCTCGTGATCTGCCTGCCTTGGCCTCCCAAAGTGCTGGGATTACAGGTTTGAGCCACCGCACCTAGCCTTGATGTATATATTTAACTCATTAAAATTAATTCTACTGGCTGGGCATGGTGGCTCATGCCTATAATCCCAGCACTTTGGGAGGCCAAGGCAGGCAGATCACTTGAGGTTAGGAGTTCAAGAACAGCCTGACCAACATAGTGAAACCCCATCTCTACTAAAAATACAAAAAAAACTAGCTGGGCGTGGTGGTACATACCTGTATTCCCAGGTACTCTGGAGGCTGAGGCAGGAGAATCGCTTGAACCTGGGAGGCAGAGGTTGCAGTGAGCTGAAATTGCGCCACTGCACTCCAGCCTAGGTGACAGACCGAGACTGTCTCAAAAAAAAAAAAAAAAAAAAAAATTGGCCGGGCCTAGTGACTCACGCCTGTAATCCCAGAACTTTGGGAGGCTGATGCAAGTCGATTACGAGGTCAGGAGTTCAAGACCAGCCTGGCCAAGATGGTGAAACCCTGTCTCTACTAAAAACTACAAAAAAGGCCGGGTGTGGTGGCTCAGGCCTATAATCCCAGCACTTTGGGAGGCCGAGGTGGGCGGATCACGAGGTCAGGAGATCGAGACCATCCTGGACAACATGGTGAAACCCTGTCTCTACTAAAATACAAAAAAAATTAGCCGGGCGTGGTGGTGCATGCCTGTAGTTCCAGCTACTCAGGAGGCTGAAGCAGGGGAATCGCTTGAACCCAGGAGGTGGGGGTTGCAGTGAGCTGAGATCGTACCACTACACTCCAGCCTGGCAACAGAACAAGACTCCCGTCTCAAAAAACAAAAACAAAAACAAAAACAAAACTACTGCAAAACAATTAGCTGGGTGCAGTGGCAGGCGCCTGTAATCCCAGCTACTTGGGAGGCTGAGGCAGGAGAATCGCCACTGCACTCCAGCCTGGATGACGGAGTGAGACTCTGTCTCAAAAAAAAAAGAAATTAATTATACTATCAAAATTAATAATTAAGTTCTGGGATGTACAGTCTAACAACTTATTACATCTTCATAATTAGTTTACTAATAGTTCATTTATTAATGAACCTAATAGGTCAAACTACAGAAGTCCATAGATGCTTTTGAGCCAATAAATTAGATTTACCATATTAATAAATACTTAGTTTTATTGGCTGGAAGGCCATAGAAACTATATGTACCTCATAAGGCTGAAATTTTAGGAAAAATGTTTTACCTCAATTAAAATATGTGAACAAACAGCCCAACAGAGCTTAATTATCTACATACCTGTACTGTCATGTAATTAAGTGGAATCAGGTGGTTGCTAGCAGGTTTGAAACATTCAGAAACCAAAATTAAAGATGAGTGTAATTATCGATAGGATTGAGTTGTTTATATTGAATTCTACTAAAATTATACCATGAAATTGAGGTCACTGCAATCACTAATGAAATTTTAGAAATTAAAGTTTCTAAAGTACTTAGAATGAGGCCTCTAAGAGCATCTTACTCATATTAGGCTCATCTTAGGCTCAAAAAGCCTTTGTCGACTCTCTCAACTCATTATCACCATCAAGACAAAACATCCACGCTGTCCAGATACATTTGGAATTTTGATGATTTAGCTAACGGTGAGAAAAACAAACCAAATCTGGATGTCCCTGCCACAAACATTTCCTTCTTTCTCTGCAGCATGATCCATGCCTCTTCCTCTCTGGGCTTTTCTTTTTCCCTTCCCCCGGGTGAACAGATGGTCTAACAGCCACTGGCAAGAATCTCTCACAAAGGCTTTACTGGTAATCCTTCCTTATGGTATTCAAAGTTACTCTAAGAATTGCTAGGAAATGCTTCAATCTGCAGAAGGATTACAGGCATGAAATTTATCCTACAGTTGGAAGAGCTTGAAAGTTGAAATTTAATCAGCCAGACAAAAGAAAAGCAGAGAAAACTCAAGAAATGAGCACCATCTGTTGAGTTCTTACCAATATGGCAATCAGTGTGCAGATGAGGGTTGCCAAGGGAGTCACTGAGGGAAGGACTGTGTGTTGGAACTGCTGAACCAAACCACTTGTCATTGAGGCCTTGGGAATATTGTTGGGATCAAGAAATTTCAATTTCAAACCTATTAAACAGATATTTTGTTTTGTTTTATTTTTATCTTTATTACTGAGATACCATATATTAACAATCAATTCCTTGAGGAATAAAAAGTAAGCTACTAAATCTTATTGCTGCTTAAAGGCTAAGATTTCATGAATTTAATCCTATACTATTCTACCCAAAATGCCTCTGGTCTTAAGATTATAATATATAAAGCAGCTCTTTGCATTGGAACAGGGAATTTGTGCAGCTTATAGGAAACTTGCTGGCAGGCAGCACAAATGGTAATCTGCTCTCACCTCTGAAAGCAAGCTTCTAGAACAGTCTGAGCATGTCATGAAGGAACTTTGAATCCTTCATCTCCTATGGGAGAAACCCTCTATTCCTAAACATAGTATCCAGTGTCTTCCATGATCTCATCGCCCCTTCCCCCCTGTTCAATCTCATCTTTACTTTGTTAAATGCGGCTTGGCCACAATGAAGTAACTGTGAGTCCTCAATATACCACTCTCAACACCTGTGTCCCTCTGCCCAGGCAACTCCCTTTGCCAAATTAACTTCTAATTCAATCACCTGAGAAAGCTCCTAAATCAATAAGCAGAACTGATTTTCTTGTGAGCTCACTTTTTTTTTTTGAGATGGAGTCTTACTCTGTCACCCAGAGACAGAGGCTGGAATGCAGTGGCGCAATCTCAGCTCACTGCAGCCTCTGCCTCCCAGGTTCCAGGTTCCAGCGATTCTCCTGCCTCAGCCTCCCCATTAACTGGGATTACAGGCATGTGCCACCATGCCCGGCTAATTTTTGTATTTTTAGTAGAGACGGGGTGTCACCATGTTGGCCAGGCTGGTCTCGAGCTCCTGACTTCAGGTGATCCGCCCATCTCAGCCTCCCAAAGTGCTAGGATTACAGGCCTGAGCCAACGTGCACAGCTGAGTGAGCTCACTCTAACAGTGTTCACCACAAGGCACTGCACTTGTTTATGTGCTCATTTCCTCTACTATACTGTATTCCTTGAAGGCAGGAATGATGATGAGTTCATTTCTATCCCCAGTACATAGGAGCTCAATAAATACTTGGTTATTAAATAAATCAATTCAGAGAATGACAATACAAGCCCCAACAAGCTCTGGCTAATAGGACAGTCAGAGACAGTTTGAGCACCTATAGGGCCTGTCAAATGCCAGTGAAAATGAATACAATGTGGGAAAGATGTACCAAAATATTTTCTACTTACTAACCTCTTCCCCTTTCCCCTTTGGCCTGCTGATTCTCTCTTACAGCTAATAACTATCTCCCTAAAACAAAGTTGTCTAACTCTGACACTGACTTTCCATGTAAAACATCTTCAAAGACACAAACATACAAGTGAGGGTACAGTACAGCTTCCTGACTCAGACAAGGCAACTGGCCCTTGTACCTCATACTATGCTGGCTGTTTAAAGCTTTTTTTGAAATATGAATGTTAGGAATTACTCTGTAAGAATGCCATGTACATCAAGGCTAGATTCACAGTGAGCAACACGGTGACACAATGTATAAGTCATCACATAGGCAGTGTATGATCTCCTCCAAGTACTTATCAAAAACAGTAATAGTGGCCACCATGCATGGAGCGTCTACCATGTGCCCAGGGCTCTGCACTTACTACTTTTAGCCCCCTGAGGTACAGAGATGGAGTAACCTGCCCAAAGTCACACAACTAATAGGTGGTAAAACTGAACTCAGGTTTGTCTGGCTCCAAAGTCTCTGCTACTGATAACCTAGTACTTTTTAAATTTTGCTTCTGTTCCTCACAACACACTGTATAGGTACAGGTAAAGTACTAGTATGTCTTTCGTATAGTGAGGAAAGTTAGACGAAAGGAAGCAAATGACTTGTCAATGCCACACACTGCAATAGCAATTTACACAGGTGAGCCTCCAAACCAAGTCATCAGACTCTAGGTCTGGAGTCCACAAACTATAGGCCAACAGCCAAATGTAGCCTGTGCCCAGTTTTTGCACAGCACTGAAGTATGAATGGTTTTTACTTTTATAAGGTTTTAAACAAATGTGTGCATACACAAATACAGACACAGACACACATACACACACACACACTGTGTGTGGCCTGCATAGCTTAAAATATTATCTGGCCAGTTACAGAAAAAGTTTGCTGACCACCACTCTTGATCATGCCATTTTCCCACCAAGCTAGATTGTATTCACAAATGAGAGACTGTGTTATCCAGAGTGAGTTATTTTTAGTAGAACCATCTCAAACCATAACTTATTTTTCATTACGACCCAATTTTAAAAACCATAGCCTGGGTTTTTCATTTCTTCTCACCTCATGTTAAAATGCAGGGTTATTTTCCTTACTGGTTTAATACCGAGAGTCACAACTTACATATTCTTCTTTCTTGTATGTTTAGGTTTAAAAGTGGGGTAGGCCAGGCATGGTGGCTTGTGCTGGTAATCCCAGCACTTTGGGAAGCCAAGGTGGGAGGATCATTTGAGACCAGAAGTTTGATCCCACTCTGGGCAACATAGTGAGACCCTCATCTCTAAAAAACAAAAATTTAAAAATCAGCCAGGTGTGGTGGTATGCACCTGTGGTCCCAGCAACTCAGGAGGCTGAGACAAGAGGACTGTTTGAGCCCAGGAATTTAAGGCTGCAGTGCACTATGATCTCAACACCATTGCACTCCATCCTGGGTGACAGTGAGACCCTGTCTCTAAAAATAAGTAGGGGTTTGAATAGGAATGGTGAGAAGGGGGGAAAAAAAGCAGGGTTAACTGCTGCTGCTGAATAGTTTTTTAATTAAGGCAAAAATTACCTTTATAGAGTGTCTACATATTTTATTTTTTCCCCAGGAAAGGATCAATAACCTCATTACCACAAGGAGCTTTTATAAGGAAAACAGTCTGTTTACTGCACTAAAGCCTCAGTCCCAAGAACTGCTCCCCCTGTTCATCCTGAAAGCTGAAATGCAGGACTGGAGAACAAACAATTCAGCCACATTCAAAACACAAAGGTTTTTCCATTTCTCCATGTGCCTAAGTCCTTTCAATATTCAGAGTCTGAGTAAAAAATGCTCGCTACCATACCGATGACAGACAGCACTTTGTCCAAAGCATTGTACAAAGCCCAGAAGTTTGGAGCCCAATATGCATGACAGAGGCCCCTCTTGAAAGGAAAGAGTCGGGAAAAGACTTGAGGCAGCTGATTCTGTTGAAAAGAGAAATGAAACTGATTAAACAGTCATCAATCTTTTTCAAATTCAAAAAGAGAACTAGGGAACTCTCTATGGTATAGTGTGTAGAAAGTTATGGGGTCTGGGTTCTAGTAAGTAAGTGGTTATATGCTCACCACAATGTAAGTTCACAGAACCTTCTTTTGGTCTCACTTTGTCCACTGTCCAGTGGGACAATATACATAAAAATACTCTGAATACCCGTCCATACTATTATAATAACAGAAGAATTTACAAGCTACAAAGCAGAACACAGACTGCAGCTTATCCATGTCTACTAGGGTGAAGGGGAGAGCTGGGAAACTACAAAAGATGTGACGCGTTTCAGTTTTAGTAAGAATTAAAATTAATTAGTTGATTTCAGGGCAGGGAAGAAGAGGAAGAAAGAAAACATCTGAACATCTGTTAAATTCTATGCACTTTAGAATGTCTGCTGTCCATGTAAGACTGCAAAATTATTGATTTTGTTACAAATACATTTTATCAAGTAAGTAAACTTACAAGTACAGAATACACAAATAATGAAGATCAATTCTGTGTTTGTGTATGTGTAATGTACAGTTAAACATATACATGTATATATATATACATATTTGAATGTGCACAAAAATGTCTGAAAGAATACTACCTTATCGGGCCAAGAGCGGTGGCTCATGCCTTTAATCCCAGCACGTTGGGAGGCTGAGGCAGGTGGATCACCTGAGGTCAGAAGTTCGAGTCCAGCCTGACCAACATGTTGAAACCCTGTCTCTACTAAAAATACAAAAATTAGCCAGGCATGGTGGCATGTGCCTGTAATCCCACCTACTCAGGAGGCTGAGACAGGAGAATCGCTTGAATCCAGGAGGTGGAGGTTGCAGTGAGCCGAGATCACGCCACTGCATTCCAGCCTGGGCGACACAGTGAGACTCCATCTTAAACAAAAACAAAAAAAAAAAAGGAATACTGCCCTATCTTTGGGGAGTCACGTTGGGTAAGGAGTAAGAAAAAAGTAGCTTTTACTTATTTTACATATTCCTGGCTTTATTAGGTTTTCTAAACACCAACAAAGAACATGTATTAATTGAAAAAAAAAAAAAAAAAGGCTTACCAAGGCCAGGAAAGGACCCAATGAAAGAGCAGAAACTAAGAAAACAACCAGTCCCAGGGAAATAACACGAACAAAGCTGAAACTCTTCCATCGAATAGACCCATCTACAGAAAAGGAACATTATCAGTAACCAGGAAGATGGAAAGGAACATTAACCATAACCTATATCATGTGCTAAAACTAGAAGTATCCCACAATAGTATACCAATCTATTCATGATGTGGCAAGAGCAGAGAAAAGCGAGAATGGGTAAAGGGCTTACAGGATTAGCAGCTGAGATATCTGCTGTGCTTCATAAAACCTTCTTATCAAGCAAGCCACCAAGTCAACACAGTAAGGGAAAAATCGAAAATGTTTTTGCTATTATTACCAAAACTTGCCTGGTTTATTTGCAGTGAAACAGTAGGATCGCAGCAGATATACACCATAAGCTGGTGCTACATAGAGGTAGATATGCTTGAAATGTAGGAGAACAGCAAAGAGAAATGCTCCTTCCATATGCCTTTTCTAGGAGATTTAAAAGGGAAATATCACTTTAAAATTCAGGGTAAATGAAATGCAATAATGTGGTATTCTAGATTGAATCCTGGAACAGAACAAGGACATTAAAGGAAAAACGGGTGAAATTCAAATGCATCAATATTGCTTTCTTAGTCTTGATGAATGTACCATGGTTATGTAAGGTGGTAATGGGGGAAAATGGGTGAGGGATATATAGGAACTCTCTGTACTATTTCTACAACTTTTCTGGAAAGCTAAAATTATCCTACAAAAAGGTTATTTAAAAAACTAAAATTAGGCTAAGTGTGGTGACTCACACCTGCAATCCCAGCACTTTGGTAAGCCGACGTGGAAGGATTGCTTGACCCCAGGAGTTCAAGACCAGCCTGGACAAAATAGGGAGGCCCTGTCTCTACAAAAAAATAAAAAATAAAAAAAATTAGCTAGGCGTGATGGCTTGCACCTGTAGCACCAGCTACTCTGGAGGCTGAGGTGAGAGAATCTGCTTTAGCCCAGGAGGTGGAGGCTGCAATGAGCCATGATGACGACACTGCACTCCAACTTGGGTGACAGAGTGAGACCCTGTCTCCAAAATGAATAAATAAATAACAAAAATAAACAATACCTACTTTTTTAAATTTTTATTTTATTTTATTTTATTTGAGATGGAGTCTCCCTCTGTCTTACCCAGGCTGAAGTGCAGTGGCACAATCCTGACTCACTGCAGCCTCCGCCTCCTCGGTTCAAGCAATTCTCCTGTCTCAGCCTCCCGAGTAGCTGGGACTACAGGCGTGTGCCAACACACCCGGCTAATTTTTGTATTTTTTAGTAGAGACAGGGTTTCACCATGTTGGCCAGGCTGGTCTCAAACTCCTGACCTCAGGTGATCCACCTGCCTCGGCCTCCCAAAGTGCTGGGATTACAGGCGTGAACCGCCATGCTTGGCCCAAGGTAAATATTCTATAACCAGTATAAGGAAAACATAGGCAAGTGATTCCAGCTAGCTTTTTTTTTGAGACGGAGTTTTGTTCTTGTTGCCCAGGCTGGAGTGCAATGGCACGGTCTCGTTTACTGCAACCTCCACTTTCCGGGTTCAAGTAATTCTCCTGCCTCAGCCTCCCAAGTAGCTGGGATTACAAGTGCCCACCACCACGCCTGGCTAATTTTTTTGTATTTTTAGTAGAGATGGGGTTTCACCATGTTGGCCAGGCTGGTCTCAAACTCCTGGCCTCAACTGATCCACCTGTCTCAGCCTCCCAAAGTGCTGGGATTACAGGCATGAGCCACTGCGACCAGCCCAGCTAGCTTTTATACTGAGTCTAATGTGTTCATAAATTCACTATTCCAACAAAGATTTATCACATACTAAGCCTTATGCTGAGATCATATCCTACATGTCATCAGTAATAACATACTGCAAACTCTCCTTTAGGAATTAGAGCCCAGAGAATTAAATTACCTTCACCCCTCACAGTTTCAGAATAGCTGGAGTTGATTTCCAAAGAAGGGCTGGGAATGAGAACATGAACAAATATATAGGATGCTATGCTACCAAAAAAATCAATTGAATTTTATATTGTAGATTAGGTAACTTATATAGCACTATCAGGCTGAAGGCACCAGTCACTGCACTTGATACAAACACTACTTAGGAAAACTAAAGGTATTCTGATGTAAAAAGAACAAACAAAGGCCAGGCGTGGTGGCTCATGCCTATAATCCCAGCACTTTGGGAGACCGAGGCGGGTGGATCACTTGAGGTCAGGAGTTTGAGACCAGCCTGGCCAACATAGTGAAACCCTGTCTCTACTAAAAATACAAAAAATTAGCCAGGCATGGTGGTGGGTGCCTGTAATCCCAGCTACTTGGGAGGCTGAGACACGAGAATCACGTGAGGTGGAGGTTGCAGTGAGGTGGAGGTTGCAGTGAGCTGAGATCGCGCCACTGCACTCCAGCCTGGGTGACAATGCAAGATGCTATCTCCAAAACAAACAAACAAACAAACAAAACAAAACCAGCTTACTATAACTAAGAAGTTATAGTAAGAATTTGGCTGGGTGGGGTGGCTGACACCTGTAATCCCAGCACTTTGAGAGGCTGAAGTGGGTGGATCACGAAGTCAGGAGATCCAGACCATCTTGGCTAACATGGCGAAACCCCGTCTCTAGTAAAAATACAAAAAATTAGCCGGGAGTGGTGGTGTGCACCTGTGGTCCCAGCTAACTGGAGGCTGAGGCAGGAGGACTGTTTGAGCCCAGGAGGTTGAGGTTACAGTGTGCTGTGACTCCACCACTGCATTCTCCAGCCTGGGTGACACAGCATGACGTTGTCTTCAAAAAAAAAGAAAGTCTGAAATCTATCCACCTCACAGGAATTTCGGAAGGATTAAATGAGATAACAGTCCTGATGTTCTGCAGGGGAAACTGCCACAGGGACCATGAAAGGCCAGTTTCCTTCTCTCATCAGGTGCGGTCTAGAATTGGTAGCTTTAGGAGTAATAACAAAAAAGAGTGGGAATGCTTCTAGGTCTCTCTTCAATTTTATAACTTATTTAAGATCTGGGTAAGGTCTAGCTGATTCCATAGTCAAATTTTATTTGTTCAATAAGCATCCAACAAATATTCATTGAACACCAGTTATATTCTAATTACTATGAAGCTTTTTATGGTTAAAAGAGAAAAGTTTATCCAGACATTTATAGTTGACAAAGAACTTTAGATTATCAAATTTGATCTTTCCAATGTCCCTGTGAGGTAAGTAGCCCCATTTTACAACTAAGAATGTAGCGGTAAATTTCATTTTATGGGGAAAATGAGGCTAGGAGGGTTAAATAACTTGCCTTCAGTTAATGGTTCTCAAGCCTGATGGTGTATCAAAATTCCTTAGAGAGTCTTAAGCCCCATTCCCAGAGACTTCGATTCCATGTACAAAGGGATGGCCCCAAAATCTGAATTTCTGATTTCCTCCTCTATAGGAGGAATAATAATTCTAACAACTTCACAGAATGGTTCTGAAGTTTACTCAATAAGATATATGTAAGCCAGGTGTGGTGGCACACATCTGTAATCCCAGAGACTCAGAAGCAGAGGTAGGAGGATTGTTCAAGGCCAGGAGTTCAAGACCTGTCTCTAATCCTAGCACTTTGGGAGGCCAGAGTGGGAGGATCACTTGTGGTCAGGAGTTTAAGACCAGCCTGGACAACATAGTGAAACCTCCTTCTCTACCAAAAAAAAAAAAAAAAATTAGCCAGGTATGGTGGTGTGCACCTGTAATTCTAGCGACTCAGGAGGCTGAGGTGAGAGAATTGCTTGAGCCCAGGAGTTTGAGGAGGCAGTGAGCCATGATTGCGCCAGTGCACTCCAGCCTGGGTGACAGAGCAAGACTCCAACTCTTAAGAAAAAAAAAAGACCGGGAGCGGTGGCTCACGTCTGTAATCCCAGCACTTTGGGAGGCCGAGGTGGGCAGATCACGAGGTCAGGAGATCAAGACCATACTGTAAATGGTGAAACTCCGTCTCTACTAAAAATACAAAAAATTAGCCGGGCGTGGTGGCAGGCGCCTGTAGTCCCAGCTACTCGGGAGGCTGAGGCGGGAGAATGGCGTGAACCCAGGAGAAGGAGCTTGCAGTGAGCCAAGATCGCGCCACTGCACTCCAGCCTGGGAGACAGGGCGAGACTCCGTCTCAAAAAAAAAAAAAAAGAAAAAAAAATACATGGAATGTATGTAATCTTAGTAGCCATGTATTTGAGTAAGCCCTGAGTTGCATAGCTCATTAACATTAGTCAGGATTACACACAGTTCTTCTGATTCCAAATCCCTTTCTATTACATTAATCTTCATGCTGCTGACAGTAAAGTATCACTATCATAGTTATTATATTGTAAAGACTGCTGCTAGAGACTTCATTTGTACATAAATTATCCCAACCAGACAAAATGTAATTTCGGGGCTGGGCACAGTGGCTCATGCCTGTAATCCCAGCACTTTGGGAGGCTGAGGCGGGCGGAACACTTGAGGTCAGGAGTTTGAGACCAGCCTGGCCAACATGTTGAAACCCCATCTCTAATAAAAATACAAAAATTAGCCAGGCATGGTGGTGGGCGCCTGTAATCCCAGCTACTTGGGAGGCTGAGGCACAAGAATTGCTTGAACCTGGGAGGCAGAGGTTGCAGTGAGCCGGGATTGTGCCATCGCACTCCAGCCTGGGCGATAGAGCGAGACTCATTCTCAAAAAAAAAAAAAAAAAAAAAACAAAAGCAAAGAAAATGTAATTTAGGGCAGGCACAGGGGCTCATGCTTATAATTCCAGCACTTTGGGAGGCCGAGGCAGGAGGATCACTTGAGGTCAGGAGTTCGAGCCAACATGGCAAGACCCTGTCTCTACTAAAAATGCAAAAATTAGCCAGGTGTGGTGGTGTGCACCTGTAATCCCAGCTACTCATGAGGCTTGAACCCAAGAGGCAGAGGTTGCAGTGAGCTGAGATTGCACCACTGTACTCCAGTCTGGGTGACAGAGTGAGACTGTTTCAAAACACAAACAAACAAAAACTCAATTTAATTCAGGCCTGCCGCATGCTAACAAGCTTTTGGAGTACAATTGTCTCATCTGTTAAATGAAGAAAATTATGGTCAAAAGAGAAGATGGAATTTGTGAGAAATACCTAATAAAAGTGTCTATCGCACTTGGCAGCTCAAAACAGTCAAATAAATTTACCTATCACCCACTACACTGTTCCCTTTACAATCTAAAAACTAATCTAAAAGGGAAAAAATCTAATTAAACAATTATGTTTACCTGAAATAATCGTGCAATGGAGAGTAGCATTAATCCAAATAAAAAGCCATTGTACTGAAAATGAATATCTGGACTTAGGTCAAGGAAAGACAACAGAGGACACCAAATTCATAATGAACTATACCAGCTGATGGAGTATAGAAATTCCAAATGCTTTAATAGCAAAATTAAAGACAAAAAATACTACTACTAATGTGGACTGCTCATAAATATGTTTTCTATAAACAGATTCAAATTTTTTTTTTAATTTTTTTTTTTTTTTTTTGAGATGGAGTCTCACTCTGTCACCCAGGCTGGAGTGCAATGGCACAGTCTTGGCTCACTGCAGCCTCTGCCTCCTGGGTCCAAGCGATTCTCCTGCTTCAGCCTCCCGAGTAGCTGGGACTACAGGCACATACCACCACACCCAGCTAATTTTTTTGTACTTTTAGTAGAGACGGGGTTTCACTATGTTGGCCAGGCTGGTTTCGAACTCCTGACCTCGTGATTCCCCAACCTTGGCTTCCCAAAGTGCTGGGATTACAGGCGTCAGCCACTGCACCCGGCCTAAACACATATTTTTATTTTTGCTAATCTCTGTATCATTCCAATTTTGCTGAAGCAAACACCATAGTCAGATCTTTAATTGAAACTTACATTTGGGGGTGTGGTGGCTCACACCTGTAATCCCAGCATTTTGGGAGGCTGACATGGGCAGATCACTTGGGACCAGGCGTTCAAGATCAGCCTGGTTAACATGGCAAACCCCCGTCTCTACCGAAAATACAAAACTTAGTCAGATGTGGTGGCACACACCTGTAGTCCCAGCTACTCGGGAGGCTGAAGCATGAGAATCACCTGAACCCAGGAGGCGGACACTGCAGTGAGCTGAGATTGTGCCACTGCACTCCAGTCTGGGTGACAGAGCAAGAATGTCTCAAATTAAAAAAAAAAGAAAAGGAAAGAAACTTATGTTTAATGACATCTTAGACTAGATGATTTAAAATATATAAATTTTTTTTATTTAAAAACAAATTTATGTTTAAGAAGAAAAACAAAACTTTCCCAGGTTTTTCCTACCTTTTCTACCTTAAAGGCCCCGCAGCTCAGGGGCAAGAAGTTTTTTGTTTTTTAGAATTAGGGATGAGAAAGGAATGGACCTAACTGCTACTAAGGCCACCAGCATGCAGCATTGCATTGTTTATAGGACATATACAATCTTATGTATTAAGCCTCACAATGAACCTGTGAGGTATTTAGAATTTTCCTCTTTAGAGATACTTTAGAGATTAAGAAATTAAGCCTCAGAGACATTCATCTACTCATGGTTCTAAAGCTGCTAATGGCAACTAAGATTTGGGTCCAGGTTACATTGAAACCAGAGGCTGGGTGCTTTCCTCCACACCAGGCTACCTTTATGAAAACTGCAACTATTAGTTTCCATTACAAGGATTTTAATTACATCCAGAAGCCTTGAATTTAAAAACTTTGCCTTTTAATATGTGGTAAGCCAAGATGGTAGAAAAGCACAAATGCCTGACCATTCCCACACGCACACTGTGATATGCCTTTTCCAATTAAAGGTATTTGGAATAATGTGTTACAAAACTATTTAATATATATGTATCAGATTAATCTAAAAATAGTTCACAATCTCAGTACATTGTTTTATTGATGATTTAGCTGGTTCTCACATATCCCACTAATTTTTCAGAAATGAAATACTCTAACCTCAGAGTCCAGTGAAGTTGGGCAGAGACCACAGTTAAGTGAGCCTACTAACCCACCCCACACTCATTTTCAGAAGGAGCTCACATCTCCAATCATTATTATAGAAAACATTAATCTTGTATTAGTATACATCAGAATTAGTAAGGGAATAGTACATAGAATATCAAGGATACGGTCCACAATTAATAACCCGAAGTTCCACAGAAGTAATACCGACAGAATAAATTTTGGCTTTTCTGTAAGTTCTTTACCCACTTTTTTTCCATCAATGCATTTACAGCACCTACATTGAAACATTAGGAAAGAAACAGAAACAACTTTGATCTTCATCGGAACATCACTTCTGCAGAGTAAACTATGATACATTAGTCATTCCTGACAAACTACATGCCATTCTTTTTTTTTTTTTTTTCCAATTTTTCTTTTTCTTTTTTTAGAAGGGATGGGGTATCACTGTTGCCCAGGCTGATCTCGAACTCCTGGGCTCAAGCAATCCTCCTGCCCTGGCACCCCAAAGTCCATGCCATTCTTTATTTCTTAAAAAGGTCACAGCAAGCCGAGCAGGGTGGCAGGTGCCTGGCTACTCAGGAGGCTGAAGTGAGAGGACCACTTGAGCTTGGGGTCTGAGGCCAGCCTGGGCGACATAGTAAGACCTTCTCACTAGAAAAAAAAAAAAAAAGAAAAAATGGTAGCACAAACAAGGACCTCGGGGCCTGTTCCACGTCTTTTTCTAAGCTGTGCTGATCTAAAACAAAGTCTTCATTTAACAAAATTAAAAATAAAAAGCCACGTAAACCCCAAAGTAAGGATTTTGAAAACTGAGAGAGCATACATTATTTCA
Source organism: Homo sapiens (assembly GCF_000001405.40). Classification (NCBI taxonomy): domain Eukaryota; kingdom Metazoa; phylum Chordata; class Mammalia; order Primates; family Hominidae; genus Homo; species Homo sapiens. Next base: position 78,121,733 of record NC_000011.10, read on the forward strand.
GTCCTTAAGAGTAAAAACTGCAGACCAGGCTAATTTAACACTCTAAATTATATATCATAATACCAGCCAAATTAAGAACAGAACTGCAAATGTGCACCTCCTGACTGTCCAAATTATAATTTAAAAACCTTTATGTAAAAATGTATGTCATTTAAATGTTGAGATATATTACTAAGTGACAATAACAGGTGACAAAACAGTAAGATCCTATTTTTATTTTATGAAAATTATATTCGAACACAGAAAAGAGACTGAACTAACATACACCAAAATGTTAATAGTGATTAGTATACGTGGGGGAGTATGACTCATTTTTACTTTGCATGTGTGTGTGCTTTTCCAAAGTTTTTACAATGGGGATGTATTATTCTATAAAAAGACGATATTGAAAATGTGCTACATTTGAAGAGTGGCAAATTTTAACAATAAATCTAAAACAAATAATAGATGCAATTAAAGGGGGACTAGCAAAGGTATCCTCCTTTCGCCCTATGGAGCCTCAGTTCCCTCATGAATAGAGGCAGTAAACTTACAGGGTCACTGAGAAAATTAAATAAGTTAATAATCTGTATATCATGCTTGGTTCTGGGAACTGACACAGAGATTTCAATTTTTTTTTTTTTTTTTTGAGACAGGGTCTCAGTCTGTCGCCTAGGATGGAGTGCAGTGGCGTAATCACAGCTCACTGCAGCCTTGACCACCCAGGTTCAAGAGATCCTCTGCCTCAGGCTCCCAAGTAGCTGGGACAACAGTCCCCGGCAACCACAGCTGGCTAATTTTTGTATTTTTAGTAGAGGCAGGGTTTCACCATGTTATCCAGGCTGGTCTCAAACTCCTGAGCTCAAGCAATACACTAGCCTTGGCCTCCCAAAGTGCTGGGATTAAAGGCATGAGACACTATGCCTGGCCTTTCAACAATCTTTTTAACTATTCCCTCTACTTTGCAGATGGAAATGAATTCTATTTCCTCTCCCTTTGTGCTTGTATACTCTTCCCCTGGAAGCTTGAATTCAAACATTTTGAGTTAAAAAGAGTATATTAAAAATTACCTTCCCTTTCAACTCTTGCCAGGTCATAAACAGATTGAAAGGAAGGGTTTCAAACAGGATTATTCAATGAGAATGCGCAAGGGTTAAAGACATTCCCAAGGGACTCTTTACTGAGTGGGGCAAGGGTTCAGTGTAGAGGGCCTCACAAACAGAAACGATCCATTTATGACAAGGGTCACTGAATGAACACCAGTCACTGTTCTGTCACAATCACACCAGCGAGCTTAAGAGTTAGGAAAGAATGAGGTCGGTGCAGCGGCTCATGCCTGTAATCCCAGCACTTTGGGAGGCCGAGGCGGGTGGATCACGAGGTCAGGAGTTCAAGACCAGCCTGGCCAACATGGTGAAACCCTGTCTCTACTAAAAATACAAAAATTAGCCTGCCATGGTGGTGTGCACCTGTAATCCAAGCTACTTGGGAGGCTGAGGCAGGAGAACTGCTTGAACCCGAGAGGCAGTTGCAGTGAGCCGAGATCGCGCCACAATACTCTAGCCTGGGCGACAGAGCAAGATTCCATCTCAGGGAAAAAAAAGAAAAAAAAAAAAAAAAAAAAAGAAAAAAAAGAATTAGGAAAGAATGGAAACTGACATTAACTGAAACTTAGTACTTGGAAGTCACTGTGCAAGACATTCTATATATGTGTATTCAATACTTAAAATTAACTTATAAGTAAAAGTTGTAAAACATAAAAATTTAAAATATAAGCATAACTTAAAATAACAAAGAGTCTTCATGAAGGAAAGTATATGGAAACAACTAAAAGCACTCAGTGAAATTTCTTGAGTTTACTAGAATGAAAGCTCCGTAAAAGCAGACTTTGGTGGTTAGCACAATCCATACGTGTGCGCTACTGTGCATGTACTGTGTGCATACCCTAAGATAGGGTAGGTGATGGAAGCCTCTGGCGGCCTGCTGCAAGGAAGCAAAGAAAAACATATGGAGCTATTCTGGGTGGGAGAAATGGCCCTAGAACTATACTTGGGACTACTTCTTTTCACAACATTCATAATCTCTTGTTCTACCTCTGCCTTGTAACTCCACCTTATCCCCATTTCTTCCACAAGATTCAGCTAGAGTGCTTTAAACATGTAGTTTAAAGCACAATACAATTTTTCATTGTTTTAGCATTTGCTATCATATAAACTTTGTTCCTCCTAAATTGGGAGTAAGTTAATACTACTTAACACTGTACTATTTTTTCAATACCTTCCATACAAAATGACATGCTCCAGACTTACTCACGGACAGCATACACAAAGAGTACATCCATAAAGATGACGGAAAATCTCTGGAAAAGTAAGGTCCTTGAGCTGGAGTAATTCAAATTATGGACATTCAGCATTTCTTGATCAAAATATTTGGCAACATGTGACAGGATATACTCAAACCATGCAAAGAAAGGGGGGTAATCCAACGTCCACTCTGAAGTTGCCTGTGATAAAAATAGAAGATCAGACATATCCTAAATAACTGAATAAACAAAGATGGTGCAACGATTTAAAATTTTTCATTCTCTGGTCTTTAAAACAGCACAATAAGGCTGGGCGTGGTAGCTCACACCTGTAACCCCAGCACTTTGGGAGGACAAGGCAGGCAGATCGCTTGAGCCCAGGAGTTCAAGACCAGTCTGGGCAACATGGTAAAACCCTGTCTCTATTTTTAATTAAAAACAAACGAACAAAAATCACAGTGAAATGCTGTTGCACTTAAAATATGCCCTAAATTAATAGAACAATTCCTATGTAAGACTGAACAGAACACTAAAACCTGTCTTGTAAATTATTTAACATGGTCTTCAATTTCCTTAAATAGAGTCAACTACACTTAAAGGAAATTAATTTGAAACCTGGAGATGATAAACTTGGTTATGACATGGTTCTACTCATCTAAATAACAAATAATTCACTAACTTAGGTTCAAATTCTGTCTTAGAGACACAATTTCCCTATTTGTAAAATGAGGTATTATGAAGATTAAATGAGATAATACATATGAAATATATTTATAAACAACAAAATAATACACAAATGCTATTATATTTTGTTTCAGTAAGTTATATGATCCTGGAGAATAGAAACTATCCTTTATCATTTTGTATCCTCAGCATTTAGTAAGTGCCTGACATATTGCTTGGGATAAAATAACCACTAGTTAAAGGAACAGTTGCTAATGAGTAAATGAAAACAGAAATCATATGAAAATATACAAGCTTTAGAATAGTATATTTTGTTAGATTTCTCTCTCAGTTTTCTTTTTCTTTTTTTTTTTGAGATGGAGTCTTGCTCTGTCACCCAGGCTGGAGTGCAGTGGCGCGATCTTGGCTCACTGTAAGCTCCGCCTCCCGGGTTCACACCATTCTCCTGCCTCAGCCTCCCGAGTAGCTGGGACTACAGGAGCCCGCCACCACACCCGGCTAATTTTTTGTATTTTTAGTAGAGACGGGGTTTCACCATGTTAGCCAGGACGGTCTCGATCTCCTGACTTCGTGATCCGCCCACTTCGGCCTCCCAAAGTGCTGGGATTACAGGCGTGAGCCACCGCGCCCAGCCTAAGTCTCACTTTTTGCACCTATACAACAGGGATAGTAGTATCTACCTCATGGGTTATGGTATTCCATTTTATATATACATATAAAATACTATATATGGTATCGAAACTCATAGGAAACTTGCAAAAAATTTGCCTTAAAAAAAACTCCCTGGGCCGGGCATAGTGGCTCACACCTGTAATCCCAGCACTTTGGAAGGCCGAGGCAGGTGGATCACCTGAGGTCAGGAGTTCAAAACCAGCCTGACCAACGTGGTGAAACCCTGTCTCTACTAAAAATACAAAAAAAAAAAAAAAATTTCCTGGGCATGGTAGTGGGTGCCTGTAATCCCAGCTACTCAGGAGGCTAAGGCAGGAGAATCGCTTACTCAGGAGGCTAAAGGCAGGAGAATCACTTGAACCCAGGAGGCAGAGGTCGCCAGTCAGCCGAGATCGTGCCATTGCACTCCGGCCTGGGTGAGAGTGAGACTTCGTCTCAAAAGAAAAGAAAACAAAACAAAATCCAACTCCCTGTCAGCAGAGTACTGCTTTTCATCAAGAAATTTCTGGGCCGGGCGCAGTGGCTCACGCCTGTAATCCCAGCACTTTGGGAGGCCGAGGCGGGCAGATCACAAGGTCAGGAGATCGAGACCATCCTGGCTAATATGGTGAAACCCCGTCTCTACTAAAAATACAAAAAATTAGCCTGGCATGGTGGCGGGCGCCTGTAGTCCCAGCTACTCAGGAGGCTGAGGCAGGAGAATGGCGTGAACCTGGGAGGCGGAGCTTGCAGTGAGCAGAGATCGCGCCACTGCACTCCAGCCTGGGCAACAGAGCGAGACTCCGTCTCAAAAAAAAAAGAAGAAATTTCTGGAGTAATGTCTGTTTTTCATAAAGTATTACACACAGTTTAGTAATTCATACCAGAAACAAAAATACAAGCTGGGTGCAGTGGCTCACGCCTGTAATCCCAGCAGTTTGGGAGGCCAAGGTGGGTGGATCACCTGAGGTCCGGAGTTCGAGACCAGCCTGGCCAACATGGGGAAACCCCCTCTTTACTAAAAATACAAAAATTAACTGGGGCATGGTGGCGGGCGCCTGTAATCCCAGCTACTTGGGAGGCCGAGGCAGGAGAATCGCTTGAACCCGGGAGGCGGAGGTTGCAGTGAGCTGAGATTGTGCCACTGCACTCCAGCCTGGGTGACAAGAGCGAGACTCTGTCTCAAAAAAAAAAAAAAGGAAAAGAAAAAGAAATAAAAATACAGACATAGTTTTTATAAACAATATGAGAGAATGGTTTGTATATTACCTGATGTCTACACATCACATTTGATTATTCCTTTCCTCACAAAATCACAAAACATTAGGAACAGACAGGATCTTAGAAATAATTCACTCCAAATCCTCATGTGCCAGATGAGACACTAAGGCCCAGAGACATGAAGTATCTTTTCTCTATGTAACTAGATAGTGGCAGAGCCAGGCCTAAGAATCCAGTTCTTCCTCTTTCCCAGTCCACTATTCTTTCAAAAAGTGTGGTAGATATTATACCTCCCAATTTATAGACTGGGAAACTCATTTTGAAGTAAGGGGATTCCCTAGTAGTGCAAGAGGACAGAACTGAGAAGAGACCACAATTTTTATAAAGATTAATTAGATCTATGATTGCAAGAAAATTTTTTTTTTTTTGAGACAGAGTCTCACTCTGTCACCCAGGCTGGAGTGCAGTGGCGCGATCTCGGCTCACTGCAACCTCCGCCTCCCAGGTTCAAGTGATTTTCCTGCCTCAGCTCCTGAGTAGCTGGGATTACAGGTGCCCACCACCACACCCAGCTAATTTTTGTATTTTTAGTAGAGACAGGGTTTCACTGTGTTGGCCAGGCTGGTCTCCAACCCCTGACCTCATGATCTGCCCGCCTTGGCCTCCCAAAGTGCTGGGATTACAAGCGTGAGCCACCGCACCCAGCCAGAAAACATTTTTAATATCAGTAATATTTACCTAGTTTATAGATGAATCTTAAAAAAAAAAAGGTGAAAATTAAAACTTACCTCATAATACCACTGTGATATTGGCAAACTGTGAGTGATAGCAAGCCAGTTTCGGTGTACTTCAAAATCTGTGGAATGGCTACTCAAAACAATTAGATAAATAAAATGAGATTTTGCAATATTTATCAATTTCTAATTCCCATAGTTATGCTTTTAAATGGACTGACATTCCCTAAGCTGTCACAGCTCACTGTCCTATAGAGACACAAATAGACATTACATAATCCTGTAAAACCTCATTTATCTGGAGGTCAGATCTTCTAGAAAGTTGTTGAGCAATCTACAAGTCAGTGAAAAGGGTCTCAGAACTACCTAAAGGGCTGACAAGAAGCCCAGACTTTCTCTTTTTCTTTTCTTTTTTTTTTTTTTTGAGGCGGAGTCTCCTTCTGTCACCCAGGCTGGAGTGTAGTGGACCCATCTCAGCTCACTGCAACTGCCGCCCCCCGGGTTCACGCGAGTCTCCTGTCTCAGCCTCCCGAGCAGCTGAGACTACAGGCATGTACCACCAATCCTGGCTAATTTTTAGTAGAGGTGGGGTTTCGCCATGTTGGCCAGGCTGGTCTCAAACTCCTGACCTCAGGTGATCCACCTGCCTCAGTCTCCCAAAGTGCTGGGATTACAGGCGTGAGCCACCACGCCCGGCCTAGCCCAAACTTTTTCTTACAGGCGGCCCTCAGGCCTTTGCTCAGAAGTGACTTCCTCTTGCTCACAAACAATTCTAACAAAATTCATTACCTGAAAAAGGCCTCATATACCAAGACATAAGGATGAGGAGTTCATCTGACAGAGAAGGTGGGAAAAGATCCTTGCTTTGCCTTTCCCATGTCTCCAAATTCTCCCTCTTCCCATCACTATACATATCTAAGGATCACCTATCTTTAGAAAAAATCTTTTCCTGTTTGTCCACTGCTGTACCTCCCCTCCACATTTAGAACAGTACCTGACGCATGGACAAGCTCAATACATTCTTGCTGAATATCCACTCACCAAAGTGAACAATGAGTTCCACAGCAAAGCCCAATTTACCCTTTCCAACATTTTACACAACCTTTCCACAATGACAACTTTCTCCTACCTCCAGCCAACCCTTCTTTCTCAGTCATGGCTTTCCCTTCCTATATTCATCAGGGACATGTTGATATTCCCCTAGGTTCAGTTCTTGGTCCCCTTTTTACGCAACTTATTCTGCTCTGGACAATCTTATGCAAACTTTCTGGTTCCACTGTCAATTGTATAATGATGACTCCCAAATTACTTTTTTTTTTTTTTTTGGAGACGGAGTCTCGCTCTGTTGCCAGGCTGGAGTGCAGTAGTGCGATCTTGGCTCACTGCAAACTCCGTCTCCCAGGTTCAAACGACTCCCCTGCCCCAGCCACCCAAGTAGCTGGGACTACAGGTGCGCGGCACCACGCCTGGCTAATTTTTTTTTTTGTATTTTAGTAGAGATGGGGTTTTACTGTGTTGGCCAGGATGGTCTTGATCTCCTGACCTCGTGATCAGCCTGCCTCGGCCTCCCAAAGTGCTGGGATTACAGGCATGAGCCACCATGCCTGGCCTACTCCCAAATTTCAATATGCAACATTGGCTTCTTTACTAAGTTGTGGAGACAGACACCTCCAACTTCCTGTTAACAATCTCACTTGAATTTCCTACAGATATTTCAAAATCTCCACTCAGAACTGAATTGATGACCCATCCATCCCAAGTCTAAGTACGTATACCCAACAGAAATGCATAGTATGCTCACTAAAAGACACGTACTGTAAGAATGTGCAAAGTGGGGCCGGGCGCGGTGGCTCACACCTGTAATTCCAGCACTTTGGGAGGCTGAGGCAGGCGGATCACGAGGTCAGGAGATCAAGACCATCCTGGCTAACATGGTGAAACCCCATCTCTAGTAAAAATATAAAAAATTAGCTGGGTGTGGTGGTGGGCGCCTGTAGTCCCAGCTACTCAGGAGGTTGAGGCAGGAGAATGGCATGAACCCAGGAGGCGGAGCTTGCAGTGAGCTGAGATCGCGCCACTGCACTCCAGCCTGGGCGACAGAGCAAGACTCCGTCTCAAAAAAAAAAAAAAAATGTGCAAAGTAAAACTATTTGCAACAGGTAAAAAGTGGAGATAAATGTCCACAAACAGCAGAATAGCTAAATAAATTGTGGTGTTTTCACACAATGGAATACTGTAGAGCAGCAGTTCTCAAAGTGTGATTCAGGGACTCACAGGGAGACCCTTTCAAGGAGTTTGAAATATGTACTATTTTCATAATAATATTCAGATGTAATTTGTTCTACTTTCACTCATTCTCTCACAAGTATACAGTGATGTTCTAGAGGCTACATAATGTGATGTCATCACTCTGAAGGCCAGTGAAATTTGTGCTTGTATATTCTTGTGCTTGAACAATTTGTTTTAATTTCTAAAATGGTAATTATCTATTATACAGCCCACATAAACATATAGCTCTTTGTGACCCTCAATTATTTTTAAGAAGTGATTCTGACTAAAAAGTTTGAGAACCATGCTATCTAGTGATAAGAATGAAAAAACAGTAATTACACAACAACGCACAAACTTAATGTTGAGTGAAAGCCAGACCCAAGAGAATAGATTGTATGATTACATTTGTATAAAATTCAAAAACAAACAAAAAAAACCCAAACAAAAATTCAAAAACAGGCAAAATTTAACCTATGCGGTTAAAAGAACATCAGAGGCCAGGCATGATGGCTCACGCCTGTAATCCCAACACTTCGGGAGGCCAAGGCGGGTGGATCACTTGAGCTCAGGAGTTCAAGACCAGCCTGGGTAACAATGAGACCCCATCTCTCAAAAAATTTAAAAATTAGCCAGGCATGGCGGCACGCCCCTGTAGTCCCAGCTACTCAAGAGGTTGAGGTGGGAGGACTGCCTGAGCCCAAGAGGCTGAGGCTACAGTGAGCCAAGTTTGCACCACTGCACTCCAGCATGGGAGACAGAGCAAGACCCGGTCTCAAAAAAAAAAAAAAAAAAAGGTGAGAATATCAATACCTTTAGTGGGGTGGGGTTGTGGGGAGTGGCTGGAAAGATGCCCGAGGGATAATATTCTGCTTATTGATCTATATGCTTTTTACAGATGTATTCACTTTGCAAAAATTCAGTGAGCTGTACATTTATGATTTGCACTTCTGGTATTTTATACTGGATTTTGTATGGAATTCTAGGTTGAAATTTACTTCCACTGAACTTTGGAAGCTTATTCCATTGGTTTTTAGTATAAAATGTTGATGTTGGTAAGTCTCTTTACTTTATGGTTTTCCCTTCATCTCTGGAAGTTTCCTGTTTCTCCTTTTTATCCATAGCAGTCTGAAATGTCTAGTGATTAATGTCTTCATGAGGGTCTTTTTTCATTAATTATGCTGAGTATGTAGTGCCTTCAGCTCTGGGAAATTTATTATTTGTTAATCTCCTCCCCTGTGTTTTTTTTCTGAAATTTTTTTAGATGGATGCTAGACACCCTAGATTGAACTTATAATTTTTATCTTTTCTCTTATATTTTTGAAAGATTTACTCAATTTGTCCTTAATTTTGGCAATAACATTTTCTATTAACCACTGTTTCTCTGATAATTCCTGTTTCATAGCATCTGTTCTTGTTTTATAGACATGTCTTTTTTACTCTCTTTGGAGACAGCATTTACAAAATCTGAGTGAGTTTGGGGACACTTTCTTTTCCTATATAGTTGTACTATATAGACTTTTTCCAGTCTCTTTTTTGGGTGCTTTATTTTGTTGTTTCCTATTCAAAACTGTTGGAGACTTCACTTTTGTTGGAGTGCTGGGATTACAGGCGTGAGCCACTGCACCCATCAGTAAAAGTAATCTTAATTGCTGAAATGACACTTGAAAAAAAAAGCAAAACTAAGACTAGAGACATAATGATAAATAGTAACTACTTTTTTAAATTGCATTAACAAAATCTACAATCAGCCGAGCACAATGGTTCATGCCTATAATCCCAGTACTTTGGGAGGCCATGGTGGGAGGATAGCTTGAGGTTGGAAGTTCAAGACCAGCCTGGGCAACATAATGAGACTCCCATCTCTACAAAAAACTTAAAAATTAGCTGGTGTGGTGGTGTGCACCTGTAGTCCCAGCTACTCAGGAGGCTGAGGCCAGAGGACGGCTTGAGCCCAGGAATTTGAGGCTGCAGTGAGCTATGACTGTGCCACTGTAATCTAGCCTGAGCAACAGAGTTAGACTCTGTCTCTAAAATTTTTGACCACCATCTCCAGCTAATTCTTTGTATTTTTTGTAGAGACGGGGTTTCATTATGTTGCCCAGGCTGGTCCCAAACTCCCAAGCTCAAGCAATCTGCCTGCCTTGGCCTTCCAAAGTGCTGGGATTACAGGTGTGAGCCACTGCACCCAGCCCTGTCTCTAAAAATTAAAACAAACAAAAACCTACCATCTCTTACTTGTCCTATGATAGCTTCTTAAATTGAACTCCCCATCTTCACTCAGGCCCTTCATTAATCTAGCTTTCACATTGCAGCCAAAGTAGTATTTCTAAATCACGAATGTTATATTTCCCTTTTAACTGGCCTCTGCCCTCTGGATAAAATCTAAAGTACTCAACATAGTCTAAAAGATATTTTTGGATCTCGCTTACTCACCTTTTCAGCCCATTTCTCACCATCCTCCCACCTGTCTTTGTCTTACTCTACATTCACCTTTTCCCTCTGCCTGCAACACTCTGTGTGAGGTAGGTTCTTTAACTCTTACCATTTCACCAGTGGCGTAGAGAAGCAGCTTGCCCTGTCATGTAGCCAGTATGCAGCAGAGCCAGATTCTAACCAGGGCAGTCTGACTCCCTAGCTACGGCTCTTAAACCACCAAATACTTCCAAAGTTAGTTGTTATTTTCTCTGCAAATCCTTCCTGACCTCAAGGCAAAATAAATCTTTAATTTGTCCATTTCTATCTCTAATGCCACCACTCCAATTCAAGTCAGCATCTTCTCTCATGTAGACTTTCTCAAAGGGCACCTAGCCTTCCTGACTCTCCTTCTGCCTCCTCCAATCATTTATATGGGAGCCAAAAAATATTTTATAAATGCAGATCATTTCCACTGAGCTTATAAAATCAAAATCTAAATTTTTCATCCTGGCTTTATAAGCTCCGGCATGATTTGGTGCCTATCTTTCCAATTTCACTGTGCATGTTTCTGTCTCTGTTGCTTATTCCATGCCAGCTACACTGGCCTTATCATAGCTGCCCAAATAGGTCAATACTTTCACACCACAGGGCCTATATTTATACAGTGTGCTCTTTCAGATAAGTTCTACACACTTGCACACACCACATACTCTGCATGGATGGCCCTCTCATTCACACTTTAGGCCTCCAATGATGTCAGTTCCTCAGAGACATTCTCTGACACCTAACTGAAAGTACATCTTCCTTCTTGGTCGCCTGATAGGATCCTGTTCTTCTTCTTCCATTTTTTTTTTTTTTTTTTTTTTAGATGGAGTCTCACTCTGTCGACCAGGTTGGAGTGCAGTGGCGCTATCTCGGCTCACTGCAAGCTCCGCCTTCCGGGTTCATGCCATTCTCCTGCCTCAGCCTCCCCAGTAGCTGGGACTACACGCGCCCACCACCACACCCGGCTAATTTTTGTATTTTCAGTAGAGACGGGGTTTCATCGTGTTAACCAGGATGGTCTCGATCTCCTGACCTCGTGATCCGCCCGCCTCGGCCTCCCAAAGTGCTGGGATTACAGGCGTGAGCCACCACACCCAGCCTCTTCTTCCTAATACTTAATCCAAATTGTAGTTATGTAACTATATATTTGCATTGATTTGTTTCTTGTACTGTTATACTTACTGAACTACACACTTCACAGGGCTAGGGATCATATCTATTTTTTCCTCCCTTCTAGCCTAGCAACAGTACCTGGTACATAATAAAGCAATTAGTAAATGTTTTGTTGAATATATCTGCATTTATCCTGTAACTTCCCTCTCATATCCCAGGGGTTTCTGGTTTGAGAAACAGAGCATTAACTACAATTAAAAACATTCGTTTTTAAATATATGAAGTGTTTCATAAATTTGCATGCTATCCTTGTGCGTGGACCATGCTAAGCTTCCTGTATCATTCGATTTTAGTGCAGGCATACCTTAGAGATATTGTGGGTTTAGACCACCATAATGAAGTGAATATCGCAATAAAGTGAGTCACATGAATTTTTTGATTTCCCAGAGCATGTAAAAGTTATGTTTACACTGGCCGGCCGCGGTGGCTCACGCCTGTAATCCCAGCACTTTGGAGGCCGAGGCGGGCGGATCACGAGGTCAGGAGATCGAGACCACCCTGGCTAACATGGTGAAACCCCATCTCTACTAAAAATACAAAAAAAATTAGCCGGGCTTGGTGAGGGGCGCCTGTAGGGTCAGCTACTCGGTAGGCTGAGGCAGAAGAATGGTGTGAACCCGGAAGGTGAGCTTGCAGTGAGCCGAGATAGCGCCACTGCCCTCCAGCCTGGGCGACAGAGCGAGACTCCGTCTCAAAAAAAAAAAAAAGTTATGTTTACACTATACTATAAAACGTGCAATACTACTATGTCTAAAAAGACAGCGTACACCTTCATTTTAAAATACTTTATCGCTAAAACAAAGCTAATGATCATCTGCACCTTCGGCAAGTCCTAATCTTTTTGCTGGTGGAGGATTTTGCTTCAATGTTGATGGCTGTTGATTGATCAGGTTTATGGGTGCTGAAGATTGGGGTGACTTGTGGCAAACTGGTTTTTTTTTTTTTTTGAGATGGAGTCTCACTCTTGTCACCCAGGCTGGAGTGCAATGGTGTGATCTTGGCTCACTACAACCTTCGCCTCCTGGGTTCAAGTGATTCTCCTGCCTCAGCCTCCTAAGTGGCTGGGATCACAGGTGCCCACCACCACACTTGGCTAATTTTTGTATATTTAGTAGAGACGGGGTTTCCCCATGTTGGCCAGGCGGGTCTTGAACTCCTGACCTCAGGTGACCCGCCCGCCTCAGCCTCCCAAAACGCTGGGATTACAGGCATGAGCCACTGCGCCTGGCAAGACTGTGGCAATTGCTTAAAATAAAACAACAATGAAGCTTGCCACATTGATGGGCTCTTCCTTTCACAAAAGATTCCTCTAGTATGCAATGCTGTTTGATAGGATTTTACCCACAGTAAAACTTTCAAAACTAGAGTCAATCCTTCTTCTCAAACCCTGCCACTGATTATTAACTAAGTTTATATAATATTCTAAATCCTTTGTTGTCATTTCAACAATATTCACAGCATCTTCATTAGCAGAGTGCATCTCAAAAGAAACCACTTTCTCTGCTCATCCATGAGAAGTAACTCCTCATCCACTCAAGTTGTATCATGAGATATCATGCAGCAATTCAATCACATGCTCAGGCTCCACTTCTAGTTCTCTTGCTATTCCCATGACATCTGCAGTTACTTTTTCCAATGAAGTCTTGAACCCCTCAAAGTTATCCATTGGAGTTGGAATCTAATTCTTCCAAACTCTTGTTAATGTTGATATCTTGACCTCCTCCCATGAATCATGAATGTTCTTAATAGCATCTAGAATGGTTTCAATTTACTTTGCCCAGATCCATCAGAAGAATCACTATCTATGGCAGATATAGCCTTATGAAATGTATTTCTTAAATAACAAGACTTAAAAGTCAAAACTGATTGGGCATGGTGGCTCACGCCTATAATCCTAGCACTTTGGGAGGCCAAGGCAGGCAGATTGCTTGAGCACAGGAGTTCAAAAACAGCCTGGGCAACACAGCAAAAACCCATCTCTACTAAAAATACAAAAAATTAGCAGGGTATGGTAGCACACACCTTAAGTCCCAGCTACTTGGCAGGTTGAGGTAGGAGGATTGCTTGAGCCTGAAAGGTGGAGGTTGCAGTGAGATGAGATCATGCTACTGCACTACAGCCTGAGAGGCAGAGTGAGACCCTGTTTCAAAAAAAAAAAAAAATCAACTACTCAACTGGCTGCAGAATAGATGTTACATCAGCAGGCATGAAAACAACATTAAGGTTGGGCACAGGGGCTCATGTCTGTAATCCCAGAACTTTGGGAGGCAAAGGTAGGAGGATTGCTTGAGCCTAGGAATTCCAGGCCGGCCTGAGCAACACAGTGACCCCATCTCTCCAAAAATACATTTAAAAAAAAAGCCGGGCATGGTGCTCACGCCTGTAATCCCAACACTTTGGGAGGCCAAAGAGAGCAGATCACTTGAGGCCAGGAGTTCAAGACCAGCCTGGCCAATGTGGCAAAACCCCATCTCTACTAAAAATATAAAAATTAGCAGGGCATGATGGTGTGCACCTGTAATCCCAGCTACTTGGGTGGCTGAAGCAGGAGAATCACTCGAACCCGGGAAGCTGAGGTTGCAGTGAGCTGAGATTGTGCCACTACACTCCAGCATGGGAGACAGAGTGAAACTCCGTCTCAAACATAAATAAATAAGAAAAAAAAAAAAGAAAAATAATGGGTGGGTGCAGTGGCTCATGTCTGTAATCCTAGCACTTTGGGAGGCCAAGACAGGTGGATCGCTTGAGGTCAGGAATTTGAGACGAGCCTGGGCAACATGGTGAAACCCCATCTCTGCAAAAAATACAAAAAGTTAGCTGGGTGTAGTGGTGTGCACCTGTAGTTCAAGCTACTTGGGGAGCTGAGATGGGAGGATTGTTTGAGCCCAGGAAGTAGAGGCAGCAGTGAGCTGAGATCATACCAGTGCACTCCAGCCTGACAAAGTGAAACACTGTCTCAAAAAAGAAAAGAAAAAGGAAAAATATTGACCAGTGAGGTGGCTCAGGCCTGTAATCCCAGCACTTTGGAAGGGCTCACTTGAGCCCAGGAGTTCGAGATCAGCCTGGGCAACACAGTGACACCTCGTCTCTACCAAAAAGAAAAAAAAAAAACAAACCAAAACAAAACACACACATATAGATAGATAGACAGACAGATAATAGAGAGAGAAAGGAAAAAAAATTAGCTGGGCATGGTGGCATCTGTCTTTGTCCCAGCTATTCGGGAGGCTGAGGGAGGAAGGCTGCTCAAGCGCAGGAGATTAAGGCTGCAGTGAGCCATGATGGTGCCGCTGTACTTCACCCTGGGAGATAGAGCGAGACCCTGCCTCTAGAAAAAAAAAATGTTTCTGAGCAGTAGGTCTCAACAGTGGGCTTATTCAGTAAACCATGCTGTAAATAGATGTGCTGTCATCCAGGGCTTTGTTGTTCCATTTATAGATCACAGGCAGAGTAGATTTAGCATAAGTCTTAAGGGCCATTGGATTTTTAGAATAGTAAGTGAGAAATGGCTCAACTAGATGTCATAGATGGCATCTTCCAATGTAAGTCTGTTTCTTCTACCTTGAAAACCTATTGTTTAGTGTAGCCACCTTCATCAGTGAGCTTAGCTAGATCTTCTAGAAAACTTACTGCAGCTTCTACATCAGCACTTGCTGCTTCACCTTGTACTTTATTATGGAGATGGCTTCTTTTCTTCCTTTTTTTTTTTTTGAGACAGAGTTTCACTCTTGTTGCCCAGGCTGGAGTGCAATAGCGCGATCTCAGCTCACTGCAACCTCCACCTCCCGGGTTCAAGTGATTCTCCTGCCTCAGCCTCCCAAGTACCTGGGATCACAGGCATGCTCCACCACGCCCAGCTAATTTTGTATTTTTAGTAGAGACGAGATTTCTCCATGTTGGTCCTCAGGTGATCCGCCCGTCTTGGCCTACCGAAGTGCTGGGATCACAGGCATGAGCCACCGCGTCCGGCCGATGGCTTCTTTTCTTAAAAGAACCTCTGCTAGCTTCCAAATTTTCTTCTGCAACTTCCTCACCTCTCTTAGGCTTCAAAGAATTGAAGACTTAGGGCCTTGCTCTGGATAAGGTTTTGGCTTAAGGGAATGTTATGGCTGGTTTGATCTATCCAGACCACTAAAACATTCTCCATATCATCAAGGTTGTTTCACTTTCTTATCACTTGTGTATTCACTGGAGTAGCACTTTTAGTTTCCTTCAAGAACTTTTCCTCTGCACTCACAACTTGGCTGTTTGGCACAATGGGCCTAGCTTTCAGCCCGTCTTGGCTTTCAGGATGCCTTCCTCATCAAGCTCAATCATTTCTAGCTTTTGATTTAAAGTCAGAGATATGTGACTCTTCCTCTCACTTGAACACTTAGATGCCACTGTAGGGCTATTAATTGGCCTAACTTTATTATTGTATCTCAGTCAACAGCAAGGCCTGAGGAGAGGGAGAGAGATGATGGAACAGCTGGTTGATAGAGCAGTCAGAACACACAGCATTTATTAAGTTCACCATAGTGTTGCCCCAAAGCAATCAGAATAGTAGTATCAAAGATCACTGATTACAGATCATAACAAATATAATAGCAATGAAAAAGTGTGAAATATTTCAAGATTTACCAAAATGTAACACAGACACAAAATGAGCACATGATGTTAGAAAAATGGCATTGATAGAGTTGCTCAATGGAGAGTTACCGCAGCCTTCAATTTGTAAAAAAAATGAAAATGCAGTATCTGTGAAGTGCAATAAAGCAAAGTACAAAAAATGAGGTATTCCTGTACATGTGCTGCCAAAGTGAGCGCTATATACATTCTTAACCTGGACCAAGAGCAGTATTCAAAATAACAACTCTGGCCAGGCACGGTGGCTCATGCCTGTAATCCCAACATTATGGGAGGCCGAGGCAGGTGGATCACTTGAGGTCAGGAGATTTGAGATCAGCCCTCCGCCATCATGGTGAAACCCCATCTCTACTAAAAATACAAAAATTAGCCTGGCGCGGTGGTGCAAGCCTGTAATCCCAGCTACTCCGGAGGCTGAGGCAGGAGAATCGTTTGAACCCGGGAGGCAGAGGTTGCAGTAAGCTGAGATCGTGCCACTGTACTCCAGCCTGGGTGACAGAGTGGGACGAGACTGTCTCAAAAAAAAAAAAAATAACAAACAAAAAAAACAACTCTGAGGATACATTTCTAGCCTGAGGCAACTAAAGCAAGAAATAATCTTATGCACAGACCTACAGTTAATCATTTTACTGAATCTACATATACATTCCACTTACATGATTACATATACGCATCAGTATGGACTTACATTCTATACATATGACTCTCCCATATTCAACAAGAGATCACCAAGAGCCTGAATCAAAGGATACCAATAAAACAAACCCTAAACTAGGAAGTGGGAGGGAAAGGAGAAAAGGGATGAGGGAGAAAAAGAAAAAAGAGGAAGGATGAAGGGAAGGCGGAAGCCAATATTAATAAATACTGAGTACCTACTGTATACACACCACCATTTCATGGTTGCTTCTTGGTTTCCACGCTTTCAGTCTTGGCCCTACATCCATTTTTTACACAGCAGTCTAACTGTGGTCTTCGAAACCCTGTGTTATCTGTCCCCAGTGCACCCCATGCTGTGCCACTCCTCTCCCTCAATGCTCTGCAGCCACAAGGGGCACTTTCTGTTCCTAGAATGCTCTGACTTCTTTCCTGCCACAGGGCCTTTGAACTTACTCTTTCCTATGCCTGAACTGCTTTCCACATCACTTATTCTTTTTCATTTTTTGAATTTCAACTCAAACATCACCTTCTAAAGGAATAGCGCACAGCCACTTAGTAACCCTCTATTTCCTTTATCACAATCTGAAAAGTTCCTGTTTGTCTAGCTCCACCCACCAACTTCGAGGGCAAGGACCAGCAATGTCTTGCTCACCACCGCATCTCCCGGGAGTTAGAACGGTACCTGGCACCTCAGGCATCTGATAATACTGGCTGAATGGCTGTTGGAGGCAGAGGTTCTTAACTGCCTATTAAGGATGAGGACCCTGAGGTTCAGAAACGTTAAAGTGATTTGTTCCAAATCAGACAGCGCCAGGTCTGAACCTAGCCAGCTGGGGCTAAGTCAAGTAACAACTGGCGAAACAGAAAGCTTAGCAAAGGCAGGATAGCGACAAACACGACCTAAAGTTTTCTCTTCATACCCAGGGATATCCACACCTTTCTCTCCCGCCCTGACCGACCGCGGGGCCTCCCCGCCCAGCCCCTGGCCGTGCGAGTCCCTTACTATGTGGGGATGAGAAGGCATTTGAGAAGAGTCACCCCGAGCGCCAAAGCCGAAAACCAATTGCCAGTACCCGTGGCAATTGTGAGCGCCGCCATTGCTGCGGCACCGCACGCTTCCCACCAACTTGATCCACATCCGGGATCCCGCGCATGCGGAGAAAGCCCTCTGAAGCCGTGCCCGCTAGCTGCGCGCATGCGGCGAGCGGCGCAGCCAGTCCGGGGACTGCAGTCAGCTATTTAAACCTCCCGCCCACCTTTTCTTTAGACCCGCGTCTCACCCCGGGCCGGAAGGGCTCCTGCGCAGGCGTTTGTAGCCACTTTTAAGTTTTATCAGCTAGTTCATGCTTGCGTTGAAAGAGTGGTCGTTTGCGCTGGGTCATCACTGTGTAGTATTGGGGATACTTAGGTGAGAAAAAAACTTAACGCTAGAGACGTTCACGCACTAGTGGAGAAGCCAGGATTGTTGCCCTAGAGTTACAGTAGATAAAAGTACCTCAGAGAACTGCGGGGGCTCCCAACCTGGACGCTTGCACCGGAGTATTAAATCCAGCTAGAGAATGGCATGTGCAAAGATACAGAGGTGAGAAACATTGTGTTTTTAGAACTCTGAGCGAGGCTCTTGGCTCACCTCCTGCTTGAGCGGAACCCATTCTGGAAGCAGGGTAGAGGCTAGTCCTAACGCTTAGTGTACAAATAGCCTACGGTTCATGTTAAAATAATTCGGATTCTGATTCAGTAGGCCCAACAAACTCGCAGATTGCGTAATGACTGAGGCACATGCAATTTAATTAGGCTTGTCTCATTATTTTACTGTATGATCTTGGACAAACTAAACTCTAAACCTCAGTTTCTTTTTTTAAAATTTTTATTTATTTATTTATTTTTGAAAATAGGAGATAAAAATGGTTTCTGGCCGGACGCGGTGGCTCACGCCTGTAATCCCAACACTGGGAGGCCGAGGTGGGCGAATCACCTGAGTTCAGGAGTTTGAGATCAGCCTGGCCAATATGGTGAAACCCTGTCTCTACTAAAAATTAAAAAAAAATTAGCCGTGCATGGTGGCGGGCGCTTGTAATTCCACCTACTCGGGAGGCTGAAGCTAGAGAATCGCGTGAACGTGGGAGGCGGAGGTTGCAGTGAGCTGAGATCGCGCCATTGCACTTCAGCCTGGGCAAGCCTCAGGCCTGTTTATCCAAGATGCTTTTGGTCTAAAAAAAAAAAAGTTTCAGCCTCATAAACTGGTTGTGAGGATTAAATGAGAATGCATGTAAATTGCTTGATATGATTCCAGGACAGAATAAATGCTCAATAATGTGTCAGATCAGTTAATTATCTTGCTGAAAGATGCACAGCAAGTAGGTGACAGTGTCACCTCCCTAATATGAGTTTATGCCCTCCCACAGCTTCAGCTGCCACCCATGTGAATATGATTCACAGATTTCTAGCTCAGCACTCTTCTCTCACTTTCAGACCCTGGTCTCCAGTTGGCTACCTGACCTCACGTAGATGTTTTTGTTTTGTTTTTGAGAGACAGGGTCTCATTCTGTGGCCCAGGCTGGAGGGCAATAGTGCAAACACAGCTCACTGCAGCCTCGATCTCCTGGGCTCAAGCAGTCCTCCCCACCTCAGCCTCCTGAGTAACTGGGACCACAGGGATGTGGCAACGTGTGTGTGTGTGTGTGTAGAGATGGGATCTCCCTATATTGTCCATGCTGGTTTCAAACTCCTGGGCTCAAGTGATCTTCCTGCCTCAGCCTCCCAAAGTATTGGGATTACAGTTGTGCGCCACCATGCCCAGCTACTTAGATGTTTTAAAGGCACTTTGCATTAATTTTCTATTTCTGCTGTAAGAAATTACCATAAACTTAGTAGCTTAAAACAACACAAATTTATTCTCTTACAGTTCTGTAAACCAGAAATCTAAAATCAGTCACTGGAGTAAAGTCAAGGTGTCATTTGGATTGGTTGCTTCCAGAGGCTCTGCAGGGAGATTGTTTTTCTTGTCTTTTTCAGCTTTTAGAAGTTGCCTGCATTCCTTGGCCCCTTCCTCACATCATTCCAACCAACTTCCATCCTTACAATCGATTACTTTCCTGTAATAGCTACAGTCAAATGGGCAGCTGAAGATGATGATGATGATGATCTTGACACCGAGAAGCAGAAGACCAATGAAGATGACCAGACAGCAAAAAAGGATAAGTTAAAAGAAGGTAAAAGAAGGCCACTCGTACTTGCTGTCTCAGTATCTAAAGGTGGTCACCTTCCAGTAGAGAGGCCCACCCACTGCAGACCGTGCCACCGAAGGTGACATGCACTTTCTGCCACCCATCCAAAACCGTAACGTGAATCTGCAACAGGAGAGGAAAGAAGAACCAAAACTTCCAAGGCCTTGCATTTTTTCTTAAAAGCATTTTTTTTTTTTTTTGGAGATGGAGTCTCACTCTATTGCCTGGAGTGCAGTGGCGTAATTTCGGCTCACTGAAGCCTCTGCTTCCCGGGTTTAAGAAATTCTCTGCCTCAGCCTCCCAAGTAGCTGGGATTACAGGCACATGCCACCACACCTGTCTAATTTTTGTATTTTTAGGAGAGACAGGGTTTCACCGTGTTGGCCAGGCTGGTCTTGAACTCCTGACCTCGTGATCCACCTGCCTTGGCCTCCCAAAGTGCTGGGATTACAGGCCTGAGCCACTGCACCTAGCCAAAAGCATTTTTTAAAGAAAAATTGGTCTATATTTTTTGTTTCTACTTTATATCTTTGTACATATTTTTAGAGTGCAGGCATTTTTAATAATCTTGGATGACCAAAGCAGCTTTCAGAATGTTCTTTGCCCAACTTCTGACTTTACTTGTAGTGTGACCATGTTCATTAGAATCTCAAAGGAGGAAGAAAAGAAAAAACAAACTTGTAAAAAATGAAAAATAGATCTGGCGAGGTGATTCACGGCTGTAAGCCCAGCACTTTGAGAGGCTAAGGCGGGTGGATCACCTGAGGTCAGGAGTTCGAGACCAGCCTGGCCAACATGGTGAAATCCTATCTCTACTAAATATACAAAAATTAGCCAGGTGTGGTGGTGGGTGCCTGTAGTCCCAGCTACTCAGGAGGCTGAGGCAGGAGAATCTGGAACCCCGGAGGCAGAGGTTGCAGTGAGCCGAGATCGCACCATTGCACTCCAGCCTGGGCGACAGAGTGAGACTATCTGAAAAAAAGCAAAAATAGGCCAGGCATGGTGGCTCATGCCTTGATCCCAGCACTTTGGTAAGCCTAGGCAGGTGGATCACTTGAGGTCAGGGGTTCGAGACCAGCTTAGCCAACATGGTGAAAACCTGTCTCTACTGAAAATACAAAAATTAGCCAGGCGTGGTGGTGGGTACCTGTAATCCCAGCTACGCGGGAGGCTGAGGCATGAGAATTGCTTGAACTCAGGAGGCGGAGGTTGCAGTGAGCAGCAGTCATGCCATTGCACTCCAGCCTGGTGACAGAGTAAGACTCTGTCTCAAAAATAAATAAATGCAAAAACAACAAATCTTATTTTTTCAGCCTGTTCGATGTATGTGTGAAACAATGTTGTCCAACAATAAACGGGAATCTTATTTTTCTGAGGTTTTTTCCCCTAACTTCATTTCTAGTGAATTTTCTGAGTTCTAACAAAAAATGGTAGAGACAGTTGTCATGAATTGTACCCCTTTTCTCATTCTTTCTGCTTTAGGCTTGAACATGAGGCATAAAGCTAGACTCAGCTGTTAGGAAAAACTGCCTCATGCTGGCCCTGACATCATTGAGCTAATAAACAAATCCCTCTACCTCCAGACTTATTATGTGAGGAAACACACACACACACACACACACACACACACACACACACACACGTGTTACTGAAACACCAGGGGTTCCGATCTAGTTCCTGTTCCTTGCTTCACAAAAAGCCAATCACTGAGATGATTATTGCCAAAGAATAAGGCTTTAATCAGGTGCTGCAGAGAAACAGATGGGAGATCAATCTCAAACTTGGGTCCCTGACTGACTAAAACTAGGTTTATATAGCAGGAAAGAAATGTAATAATGTGTTAAAAAAAAAAAAAAAAGGAACTAGGGAGGAATAAGGAAGCAATCATGATGAATGAGGGGCTTGGCATCTCATTTTCTGGATGCTGTGATCCGGTGAGTTTCAGTTCTTTGATACTTTTTTTGAGAGACCTGAAGGTCATTTCCTGAGGAAGGAACTCAGATAAATATAACTTTCCAGCTTTAAGACCAGAAGGGTCAA
This sequence comes from Homo sapiens, assembly GCF_000001405.40. NCBI lineage: Eukaryota > Metazoa > Chordata > Mammalia > Primates > Hominidae > Homo > Homo sapiens. The sequence goes on from NC_000011.10 coordinate 78,143,758, forward strand.
TTTCTATGTTTGTCCAAAAAAAAACTAAGGTACTATTGGGTCAGGTTCACACACGCCCACACCACCCTTAGGTGTTTAAGCCACAGTTGGTCAGTTTACCTGTTCTTCCAGCAAAAGCATTTCTCACTGCTCTTGCCAGGTCCTGTCTATTTAACCTCCTAGATGTCTCTCACATTCATGCATTCCTCTTCACCCACCTTTGCCACTCTAGGCATAATGACCTGCTTTCAGCCTTTGGTACATGCCATGTTCCCTCCTGTCACTGCCCTTTATACACGCCCTTCCCTCTGTCTGGAATGTTCTTCCTTCTCCCCTTAGGCTAGTTAGCTCTTCATCCTTTGGCTTTTATAGCAAGCACTGCTTCCCCAAGACAGCCTTCCCCAACCTCCCCTTATCCTACCCTGGGCACCTGTCAGCTGGATGCAATTTTATACTATGTGTGTGATTATCCAATTATCTCACTAGTTATTCACTCCATGAGGACAGGGACCTTTTCTGTTTTATTCATCATTGTAGCAGCAGCAACCCACATAGCAGCTGACACAACAGATACGCTCTATATTTGTTGAATGGCATGAATGTCTAAAATAGGATTCCAACCCAGTCTCTCCTACCTGAGTCTCTGCTTATCCTCAGTAGCTGGGACTACAGGCATGGCATGTGCCACCATGCCTCTTCGGTTCACCTTTAAAAAATAAAAGAATTGGCCACATACAATGGCTCACACCTGTAATCCCAGCACTTCGGGAGGCCAAGGCAGGTGGATCACAAGGTTAGGAGTTCGAGACCAGCTTGGCCAACATGGCAAAAACCCCGTCTCTACTAAAAATACAAAAATTAGCCAGACGTGGCAGGCACCTGTAATCCCAGCTACTTGGGAGGCTGAGGCGGGAGAATTGCTTGAAACCGGAAGGCAGAGGTTTCAGTGAGCCAAGATCTTGCCACTGGACTCCAGCCTAGGTGAAAGAGCAAAACTCTGTCTCAAAAAAAAAAAAGAAGAATGAAAACAAGTCTCTAGGCAATCAGAACCCATAGAGCGGCTGCAGTTTGTGAGATCATCAAAATCTGGACACTCCCTTTCAAAGAAACGTGTAGTGGTCAGGAAAGCTTTCCAGTCACCGGCAATGGCCAGGAACTGGAGTAGAGTGGACTGATTTCATAGAAAGAAAAGAGGCCAGGTCACATGGTTTATGAAACACTTCAACGATCTGCTCAGAGTTTTCAGCTTGAAGACCCCTATGAAACTGACCTTGGCCCTTTTCTGCAATGAGTATATTTGAGACATGGGGAGAAATTGCAGAAAGGTGCCGATGTCAGTTTTATAGGGTCTTCAAGATTATGATTAATTGAATAAGTTATATGTTTTTAGACTTCGGGATGATTGTTTATAATGTCACTTGGAGGGTAATGAAACTCAGAAAGAAACAGGCCAGGTGTGGTGGCTCATCCCTGTAATCCCAGCATTTTCGGAGGCCGAGGTGGGAGGATCGCTTGAGCTCAGGAGTTCCACACCAGTCTGGCCAACATAGCAAAAACTTGTCTCTACTAAAAATAAAAATAAAATAAAAAAATTAGCCAGGCATGATGATGCATACCTGTAGTTCCAGCTACTGGGGAGGCTGAGGTGGGAGGATTGTTTAAGCTTGGGAGATTGAGGCTGCAGTGAGCTGTGATTGTGCGCCACTGCATTCCAGCCTTGGCAAGAGAGTGAGACCCTGTCTCAAAAAAAGAAAGAAAGAAACAGTCCAGTTCCAAGTTTAAAATTAGAAGTGAATAGTATTGCATTTATATGCCATCCTAGCTATTTATTGCTGCATAACAAGTTACCCAAAACTTAGCAGCCTAGAAACATTTATTATTTCAGAGTTTCTGTGGTCAGGAATTCATGAGTGGCTTAGCTAGGTGGTTCTGGTTCAGGTTGCAGCCAAGATGACACCAGGGGCTGTAGTCAACTGAAGGCTCCACTGGAGCTGTAGTATCCACTTCCAAGGCCAACAGAAGCCCTCAGTTCCTTATCACATGATCCACCTTCCTTGGCCTCCCAAAGTGCTGGGATTACTGGCATGAGCCACAGCCCCAGGCCCCAAATGCCCTTTTCCTTTATTGTATGTCAGGCTCCTCCTATCCTATGACAAATCCTGCATGACCCAGTTCAGATGATCTATGAAATTTTCCCAAAGCACTTCATGCAGGTTTCTTTTCAGAATTTACAATTGTAACCCCGATGACAGCTAAGCCCTCCAAGATTCTTCAAATCTAAATAAAACTGACTTTGCCCAACCATTTAGTCTCAATTTGACAGCCTGTGGAAGCCAAGGCTTTCCCTTGTATTTCTGCAGAGTCTCAGAGGCATACATTTTCACATCACCTCTTTTCTCCTGGACTTCCTAATTCTCAGTTGTGGCCTGTGTTCTTACCTTATAACCCAGATTGGAGATTCAGCTCCTTCACTGCTTTCCAGGCAAAACCTGCTGATACACAGTATTTATGAGTACAGAGACTTTACTGACGAGCACAGCACACACAGCAAATCCTTTAAATCTCAAGGCATCAGGCTGGCCCTCCCTGGTCCTCTTTGACTCTTTGGCCATGTGGTGTCCCCCTGTTGCCCTTTCCTGGTGCAGTTTCAGTCTCCCCATTTTTCTGATCTTCCCTCACTCTCTGAAACAACAAACCTCTTCGAAAGCCTTTCTTGTGTAGAGTAGTTCCAGGGCGCTTTCTGTTCTTGGCCTCTCCTTCTACCCAAGACCTTATGAAGGTGTTATTCCAAAGAAGACAATTCCTTTCCCAAGAGGAGTTCTTGGACCAACAGGATAATAATTTTCCAGTCATCTTGTATGTTTATAAGCATGTCTTAGTTCAGGCTGCTATACCGAAGTACCACAGACTGAGTGTCTTATAAACAACAGACAAACAGACATTTATTCCTCACAGTTCTGGAGGCTGGAAGTCTGAGATCCAGGTCCAGGAAGCGGGTCTGGTGAGGGCTGTCTTCCAGGTTGCAGACTGCCAACTTCTTGTATCCTCACATGGTGGAAAGAGAGTGAGAGCGCTTTCTGGGCTCTCTTTCATTTTTATTTACTTATTTATTTATTTTTGAGACAGAGACTCACTGTGTCACCCAGGCTAGAATGCAGTGGCATGATCTCTGCTCACTGCAACCTCTGCCACCAGGGTTCAAGTGATTCTCCTGCTTTAACCTCCCAAGTAGCTGGGATTACAGGTGCCAGCCACCATGCCTGGGTCATTTTTGTATTTTTAGTAGAGATGGAGTTTCACTGTGTTGGTCAGGCTGGTCTTGAACCCCTGACCTCAAGCAATCCACCTGCTTCAGCCTCCCAAAGTGCTGAGATTACAGGTGTGAGCCACCGCTCCCAGCCAGTGGGCTGTCTTTTATAAGGGCACTAATTCTACTCATGAGGGCTCAACCCTCATAACCTAATTACTTTAGACAGGCCCCCACCTCCCTATACCATCACATTGAAGGTTAAGATTTCAACATATCAACTGGGGTAGGGGGCTCAAACATTCAGTCTATAACAGAGTGTGCCTCACCCCATGGGTCTGAATCAGGTCTGGTCTGAGTTGGTTGTCCCAGATCCCTGCACAGAGCTTGGAATATAGTAGGCCTTCAGTAACATTTGTTGAATAAATGAATTTGTGATAAATGAGAATGATTGATTAAAAAATACTGAATAAAATAATGAATCAGCTAGGCGTGGTGGCTCACGCCTATAATCCCAGCACTTTGGGAGGCCGAGGCGGGCGGATCACCTGAGGTCAGGAGTTTGAGACTAGTCTGGCCAACATGGTAAAACCCCAACTCTACTAAAAATACAAAAAATTAGCCAGGCATGGTGGTGGGTGCCTGTAATCTCAGCTACTTGGCAGGCTGAGGCAGGAGAATCACTTGAACCCGGGAAGCAGAGGTTGTAGTGAGCTGAGATCGCGCCATTGCACTCCAGCCTGGGCAACAAGAGCGAAATTTCGTGTCAAAAAAAAAAAAAAAAGAATGAATCAGTTGACATTAATTGACCTGATGGTTCCCAGGGATCTTTGCCCTGCAAAAGAAGAAGCTGACAGAAGTTCTAGTCCTAATTCTAGTCCCAGTTTTGCCTCTCAGTTGCGTGTAATCATGGGCAGGTCACTTTTCCTCTCTGTACCTCAGGTGAAAAATGAGAAGGAGGCTTCTTGTTATTCCTTTTTGTTCTGCCAACCACACCTCATTCTAATCGTCACCTGCTTGCCACCTGATGCTTCATGCTGGGACCTGGCTGGCCTGCTGGGTAGCTTATTATTAAAATCCACCTGCCTGGTTAAAAAGTGCTTTCAAAGCAGAGGGCCCACCTGGAATTGTTCTAGCTCATGATTCTTGTTCAGCCACACCATTGCATTCCTTGCCTTCCTTTAATGCCTGTTACAACTGCACATTGAATAAGCTCTTTCATTCTCCTCCCAATTTACGAATGAAATCCCATCAATCTTTTCCCATGCCCAGCCCTCACGCAGGAGTGTGTGTCTATGTGTTTGTGTGTGTGAATGCGTGTACCTGCATTCACTTGCATGCATACACACACACCCTCTTCCTTAACCAGGTTTATTGTGTCTGAAATTTTCCGAAACTTTGTATAGGCTTTCTGAAGGAAGTAGAAACCCCATGTAGTATTTGTGTTTTTTTTAAGACAGGGTCTCACTCTGTTGCCCAGGCTGGAGTGCAGTGGCGTGATCTTGGCTCCCCGTGTAGTATTCGTAGCAAGGCTTTGGTCATAGTTGCTTTTTCACTGTTTGAGGCCTTCACTGGAGCTATCTACCATGAGTCCTCAGAGGCCAGGATTTCCAAGGAGTAACTGATCAGTTTTCATTCGTTCTTAGCTCATTGATATCACTAAGCCTCTGTGTCAATAACTAATGTAAGTATGTATGTATGTATGTAAGTGCAGTGGTGTGATCATAGCTCACTGCAGCCTCAAACTCCTGTTCTCAGGTGATCCTCCCATCTCAGTCTCCTGAGTAGCTGGGACCACAGTTACGTGCCACCACACCTGGCTAATTAAAAAAATTTTTTTTGTAGAGATGGGTCTTGCCATGTTGCCCAGGCTGGTCTTGAACTGCCAACCTCAAGCAATCTTCCCTCCTTGGCCTCCCAAAGTGCTGGGATTACAAGTGTGAGCCACTATGCCTAGCCAACATCTAAGATCTTTTTTTTTTTTTTGAGACAGGGTCTCGCTCTGTATCCCAGGCTGGAGTTCAGTGGCACGATCTCCGCTCGCTGCAACCTCCGCCTCCTGGGTTCAAGTGATTCTCCTGCCTCAGCCTCCCAAGTAGCTGGATTACAGGTGCGTACCACCATGCCTGGCTAATTTTTTGTATTTTTAGTAGAGATGGGGTTTCACCATTTTGGCCAGGCTGGTCTTAAACTCCTGATCTCAAGTGATCTGCCCACCTCGGCCTCCAAAAGTTCTTGGATTATAGGCGTGAGCCACCGCACCTGGCACAACAACTAAGATCTTTCTTCCCGCCTCCCTGCTCCCCCAGAGACAGTCTCGCTCTGTCAACCAGGCTGGAGTGCAGTGGCGCAATCTTGGCTCACTGCAACCTCCACTTTCCAGGTTCAAGTGATCCTCCCGTCTCAGCCTCCCAAGTAGCTGGGATTACAGGCGCGTGCCACCATGCCCAGCTAATTTTTGTATTTTTTTAGAGACAGGGTTTCACCATGTTGGCTAGGCTGGAAAACTAAGATCTTAATTTGAGTGCCAAAGGGTGTCCCACAGCTCCTTTCCTATATTTTGTTATTGGGGCGGGGCCAGGACACACATTTCAGTAATCTTTGCTTTTAAGGGTTATGAGGTAACTTAAAATATGGAAAAAAAAAAAACAGGTATAACACACAGAACCTTAGATTTCATTGTTGCCAAGCTCCATGTGAACTAGGATATGAATAGTAGCAATGATTCAATTATTATTAATAGCATACACTTACTAGATACCAAACACTGGGTGAAGTGTGATACATAAGTCATCTCATTTATGTAAACATTGTGAGGAAATAGAGCACTGGAGAGTTAAGGAACTCACTCGGGTACTCACTGCTGGTAAGTGATGCAGCCAGGATTCAACCCAGCCCATCAGATGGCAGCATCTGCATCTATAACCATTACACTATTTCTTTCTTCAAGCTCCCAATTTGTGTTCTGAGGAGAGACTAAATAAGGAAAAGAAAAAAATGTCTTCCCCTATTTAGCCACCAGACCTTTGCCCATGACTTGGAAGTGTTTGCTGTGGAGTCTCCTATCTTGTCTTTTTTTTTTTTTTTGAGATGGAGTCTCGCTCTGTCTCCCAGGCTGGAGTGCAGTGGCATGATCTCGGCTCACTGCAATCTCCTCCTTCTGGGCCCAAGCGATTCTCCTGCCTCATTCTTCCCAGTAGCTGGGATTATAGGCTTCCGCCCCAACGCCTGGCTAATTTTTGTATTTTTAGTAGAGACAAGGTTTCTCTATTGGTCAGGCTGGTCTGGAACTCCTGACCTCAAGTGATCCTCCCCCTTTGGTATCCCAAAGTGCTGGGATTACAGGCGTGAGCCACTGCACCTAGCCTCCTATCTTGTCTTCATGAGTGTTCAGAATTTTGTGGTGCACTGATCAGAAGCCCAGAGGAATCTAGACTTCATTGAGGTGCACCTTGGTATTTGAATCCCACTCTCTCTTTTTGTTTTTATTTTTTGGTGGAGTGGGAGGGTAGGGGCAGACAGAGTCTCACTCTGTTGCCCAGGCCAAAGTGCAGTGGGCACAGCTCACTGCAGCCTTGACCTCACAGGCTTAAATCATCCTCCCACCTCAGCCTCCGGAGTAGCTAGGACTATAGGTGCACCACCACACCTGGCTAATTTTTGTATTTTTTGTAGAACTGAGGTTTCGCCATGTTGCCCAGGCTGGTCTCAAACTCCTGGGCTCAAGCAATCTGCCCGCCTCGGCCTCCCAAAGTGCTGAGATTACAGTCATGAGCTACTGTGCCCAGCCCAAATTCCTCTTTATCAGCATCAGATCATATCAATATCAATTTTATAAAGACCATTAATATCAACCAGGAGAAGGATGAAAGCAAAATGTTCTAAGAGCAAAGGGACTGCTGATTATCATCAAGTGACCCTATTTCACAGGAAGAAAATGTGGATGACATTTTATGACCAACAGCATTGTTTATTTAACCTTGGAGCACAATAGAGAAAAACTTTTGACTCCAACCCCCAGTCCCTGAAGGCAGAAGTCTGAAATACCCTCTCAATTCTGTTTATGGCCTTAAAGCATTTGTCTTAGCCTATATTCTCCCCAAAGCAGGGCCTGAGACAAAGGCTTATGTGTGAGTAGTTTAATTTGCTGTGCTGATCTCAGGAAGCAGGAGCTATGCTTGCAGAAAATGAAATAGGGAGTGCAAATATAAGGATAAGATATTAACTACTACTGAGGACAACTGATTACTCAAGCATGGGAGACCTTCTGAGAGACCATATAGGATGCATTTAAGGACTGTCTTGCTCAGGGGAAGAGAGGGAGAAAAGGTTATCCATCAGTTTCCCTCTCCCATTGGTCAAGACTGGCCCTAGGGAACATTTATGTTTCCTGTAAATGAGTGCTAAGTGGACTCCCACAGACATCAGGCATGGCAGCTCAAAGAGACTGGAAGGCAGAAAATGAAAGACATGAGACGGGCCTGAGGCCAGGCATTTTCAGGTTACATCTTCATGAAGATGGTCACTGCTGCACAATGGCTGGAATAAGAGGTGAGACTGACAAGATATGAAGTGGGACATGAGAGGTGTTTGACAGAGTCCAACCCTTGCACCATTCAAGCCCACTTAAAATGCCCTTGTGTAAATTTAATTTGTCATACGGTCGTCTTCAGTATGGCAGTTGGCTGCGTTCTCTGCAAACACTTGATAATCCAAGCAAATTAGTGAAACAAGTTATAACACTTGCTGCTACAGTTGATCCCAAAGCTGTAATTGATATTCATTATCTGCTTCTTCTACCACTCAATCTAGATTTCTCTTATTCTCATCTAGCACTTTGGCTGGCCTGGATTTCTTGCTTGGTGGTGGGACTATGACTGTCCCTGAAGTCCTTATGATTGCCTTACCCTTGATATGATCATGATTACTACAAATAGCCTGTTCATCATTACCACTGGATTTGTTCCTGAGCTGACACTTAACTGAGCCTTACCAGAACATTCCACCATCATCTGCCAGGGTCTGTTTTATTGCAGAAGCCATAGAGGTGATCTGAATAGAGATATAATGGGCATAAACAGGCTTGTGTCCTCTAAGTCTGTTCTGATGGTGTTAATCTCTGCAGTTCTTTCTGGGATGCAATATTGCTTCTACTGATGGGGGCAGTGAAGTGTCTGGGTAACTTCAGGGGCTTCCACTTGGCCCTTTCTACTACAGACTCTTACTCGGCTGGATGTGGTGGCTCACGCCTGTAATTCCAGCACTTTGGGAGGCCGAGGCGGGCGGATCACTTGAGGTCAGGAGTTCGAGATCAGCCTGGCCAATGTGGTGAAACCCCATCTCTACTAACATTAGAGACTACAAAAATTAGCCGTGTGTGGTGGTGGCATGCCTGTAATTCCAGCTACTCAGGAGGCTGAGGCAGGGGAATCGCTTGAACCCAGGAGGTGGAGGTTGCAGTGAGCCGGGATCAAGCCATTGTACTCCAGCCTGGGTGACAGAACAAGACTCTGTCTCAAAAAAAAAAAAGATTCTTACTCCTCAGGTCAGAAAAACAACACAAGAATTCTAATATCTGCTAAATATATATCTGCTGATCTCTACTTCCAGAAACTGGGGAATTAACCACAGGGTGGGTCCGTGAATGCATAGAACCAATGTGAAATGCATTTGGGCTAGAAGTCATTTTATCACTTGGCTTTCATCATTCAAATTCATCATCTAAAAATGGGGGGCTGCATGCGGTGCCTCACACCTGTAATTCCAGCACTTTGGGAGGCTGAGGTGGGTGGATCATCTGAGGTGAGGAGTTCAAGACTCATCCTGGCCCACAATGCAAAACCCGTCTGCACTAAAAATACAAACATTAGCCAGGCGTGGTGGCGGGCACTTGTAGTCCCAGCTACTCGAGAGGCTGAGGCGGGAGAATCACTTGAACCCAGGAGATGGAGGTTGCAGTCAGCCGAGATTGTGCCACTTCACTCCAGCCTGGGTGACGGAGCGAGACTCCCTGTCAATAAATAAATAAATAAATAAATAATGGGGGTGACAGTTCTTATCACTTACGGGTTTTGTGAGGATTAAATGGTATGTGTAAACACCAAAACAGCTGTTGACACACAGTAGGTGTTCAAGAAATAGTACTGTGATAGGACATTTTTCTACAGAAATCCTGACTCCCGCTTTGGATGATTTCCTTGAATCCTGAGTTTTTTGAATTCCCCAAATTGTCCTCCATGGTACTACATAGTCATTAAGAACAAAGATTTAGGAGCCAGATCATTGGGGTTTTGAATCTTGGCTCTACCAGTCACTAGCTGTTGGATGTTGGGCAAGTGGTTTAATCTATCTGTGATTCAATTTCTTTAATCTATAAAATGAGAAAAATTATATATCTCACAGTATTGTTTTGGTAATTGAGTTATTATATGGAAAACACCTAGAATTGCCTGGCACATAGTAAGCAGAATGTAACTGTTAGCTATTATTATTTTATTGTTATTTTTTGAGATGGGGTCTCACTCTGTTGCCCAGGCTGGAGTGCAATGGTGAGATCATGGCTTGCTGCAGCCTCAACCTCCCACGCTTAAGTGATCCTCCCACCTCAGCCTCCCAAGTAGCTGGGACTACAGGTGCATGCCACCACACCCAGCTAATTTTTGTATATTTGTAGAGACAGGGTTTCACCATGTTACCCAGGCTGGTCTTGAGTCCTGGGCTCAAACAATCCGCACACTTTGGCCTCCCAAAGTGCTGGGATTACAGGTGTGAGCCACCATGCCTGGCCTATTATTATTATTAATTGGCCAACACTACCACCTAGAATTTCTTACTAGCTGGCTTTTTTTCCCCCATCCGTTGCTTAGCTACATATATCTCCCCTCTCACTCTTCTCTTTCTCCTTCCAAATCAAAAGGTTACAGCCTGCTGGTGGCCATTCTGACAGGCTGGGAAGCATAGGCTCCAGTTAGAAGCCAGAAACAGGCTCTTCCTCTCCTTCCAAATCATACCTGGGGGACTCAGCTTTTCTGGGAAACGTAATAATAGAAACATTTACCCAGCACTTACTCAGAGTATTGTGCTAAATTCTTTCCATGGATGAACTCTTAATTTTCACAACAATCTTAAGAGGTAGATATAAATATTATGCCCACTTTATAGATAGGGAAAATTACAGTTTCAGAGAGACATGACAACTTACCTAAGGTCACATTCTAGAAATTGGTAGAGTTGGGATTTGAGCCCAGGTTTGTGATATTCCCTAGCCTATTCTAACCATAGGAATATGGCATTGCGTAGTAGTAAATTTATGCACTCTAGCATCAGACTGTGTTCACATGCTGGACTCACAGCTGTGACTTACTACTGCCTTGCCTACTTAAGTGGCTTCTGAAAATATTTGGCCTTTCCATTGGAGATGGAGACAAATGTGGGCAGTAATGTTTTTAAATAGAGTTTTCCCCAATACCCAACATAGAATCTGCCGCAGAGCAGATGCCTCATAAACATTGGCTCAGAAAATAAATATATTCACGACACTATTGTAGGCACGGTGTGGGTTACAAAGGCAGTTGATTGATTACTTATTTATTGCAAGGAATTGGCTGTTTTGCTCGTCAGGGCTGGCTTGGCAAGTTAAAAATCTGCAGGGCAAACCAGCAGGCTGGAAACTCAGGCAGGAGTGGAAGCAGCAATCCACAGTAAGTTTCTTCCCCAAGGAAGACTTCAGTTTGGTCTTTAGGCCTTTACACTGATTGGATGAGGCACACCCAGATTATTGAAGACAGTCTCTTTTATTCAAAAGTCAACTGACTGTACATGTTAACCACATCTACAAAATACCATCACAGCAACACCTAGATTCGTGTTTGATTAATAAAGTAGGTACTATATCCTAGCCATATTGACACATAAAACTAAACTTCATGGTCAGACTTGGTGGCTCACGCCTGTAATCCCAGCATTTTGGGAGGCCAAGACAGGGGGATTGCTTGAGTCCAGGAGTTGGAGACCAGCCTGAGCAACATGGCAAAACCCTGTCACTACAAAAAATTTAAAAAACTAGCCAGGTGAGGTGGCGGGAGCCTGTAATCCCAGCTACCCAGGAAGCTTGAGCCCTGGCAGTCGAGGTTGCAGTGAGCCAAGATCGCGTCACTGCACTCCAGCCTGAGTAACAGAGTGAGACCCTGTCTCAAAAACAGACAATCAAAAAACTAAACTAAACTAACCTTCACTTAATTTTTTCAAGTTCGTTTCATCAGCTATAAAATTGAGATACTGATCCTTACCTCCTTACCTCCTATATGAAAATGCACATTAGGTAGCAGAACTTTGCATGAAGCAGAGCAACAGGGCTTAACAGGTCTTAGCGCTCAGTCTACAAGAATCAGTGGGGAGGCCGTTGCAATGCTTTGACGAGCAGGGTTTGGTTTGAATAAGAATATATTTTTCCAACATGGATATTTTGTAATATAAGCACATGGGTGGCGGGGAAACAGTTCAAACTGGCAATCAATGAAGAGGTTGTCTCACTCTAGGCCTTTCCCTCAGAAGTAATCGTTGCTGATAGTTTCTGACTATTTTTCCAGAATTTTGTTCTATATGCATGCACGCTCAATGCCTAATCACACTCAGCCTTTTGTCCCCTTGCACCTTGCTTTTTAAATTTAATGGTATGTCTTGGAGAATGTTCCATTTCAGCATGTACAAATCTACTTCTTTTAAAAAATGGCTGCAAAGGGCTGGGCGTGGTGGCTCACGTCTGTAATCCTGGCACTTTGGGAGGCCAAGGCAGGCGGATTGCCTGAGCTCAGGAGTTTGAGACCAGTCTGGGCAACACAGTGAAACCCCATCAATACAAAAAAAAAAAAAAATTAGCCGGGTGTGGCAGCGTGTGCCTGTAGTCCCACCTACTCGGGAGGCTGAGGCAGGAGAATTGCTTGAACCCAGGAGGCGGAGGTTGTAGTGAGCTGAGATCACACCACTGCACTCCAGCCTGGGCGACAGAGCGAGACTCTGTGTCTTAAAAAAAATTGGCTGCAAAGTATTCCATTGTGTTGTTAAATACTAATTTACTTATTTAATAAGTTCTCAACTGATGGTAATTTAGGTTACCAACTTTTTTGCTATTATAAATAATACAAGGGTAAACATCTTTGTACATACATACATGTTTGCATAATGTGTAAGAAGAGATGTAAGATAAATTTCGAGAACTGGAAATACTGCATTAAAGGGTTTGCACATTTAAAATGTCAATGTATAGTGCCACTTTATCTTTCAAAGAGATTGCATTAGTTTATACCCAACCAATAGTATACGAGAGTGCTGTTTCCCCATGCCCTTATCAACACTGCCACCTTGGATTTAAACCTACTTGTTTTCCTTTAAAATACCAAAATGGGCATTTGAAAAAAAGAGGCATGATTTGTTCCTTGGCAAGAGCTATATTTTGTTTGAGTTTGATCTTTCTGATAGCAGACCTAGGCCTTGTGCCCTGTCCTGTGGTCCCATCTCTGAGGAGCTGGGCAGATGACCTGACCACAGGACTCAATCAGGATAGCTTCAGGTCACCAGGCCAAAGGGTAGGCCAGACCCGGGCCTGTGCCTAGCCTGATGATGGAAATGCAAACAAGCCAAGTTCTATAATAGAACACAGAGCCATTGCCGGGAAACCACAAATTGCTGACTTGCTCCTGCAAACAATCAATATTCAGAAGCTGAGTCCAGGAATTCTAACGATGCATCCTGCACAAAGGGCTGAGTGGGGGAGGATGTGCTTTTAGAAAAAAACCCAGCACCAGAAGCCCTGGTGCTGCTTCTTAGAGGGCCATCAAGAAGGCCCTTGGTCCCATCACCACGCCCTCTGACAATCCCAGAACCCTAGGCTCTCGGAGCCAGAGTAGATCTGGGAAATTATCCTGCCCTGAGAGAGTCCAGGCAAAGAATCAAGGGAGTTCCAAGGAGCAAGTGCTCACTTCGGTGGGATAGTGCAGGGCAGTGGTTAGTGGCTACACTTGGGCTCAAATCCTGACTCAGTCACCAGCTTTCTGACCTTGGACACATTGCTTCACATCTCTCAGCCTCAGTTTTCTCATCTATAGAATGAAGACAATAACACCTATCTCAGAAGGTCATTATGAAGATTCAACTGAATAATTATGTTTGTAAATAATTTAGCATGGCAACTGGCTTTTTGTAAGGTCGTAATAAATTATTATTAATATTCATTTTTTTTTTGAGACAGAGTCTCCCTCTGTCACCCAGGTTGGAGTGCAGTGGCACTATCTAGGCTTGAATCCTCCTGGGTTCAAGTGATTCTTCGGTCTCAGCCTCCCAAGTAGCTGGGACTACAGGCATACACTAGCACGCCCAGCAAATTTTTTGTATTTTTAGTAGAGATGTGGTTTCGCCATGCTGGCCAGGCTGGTCTCAAACTCCTGAGCTCAAGTGATCCACTGACCTTGGCCTCTCAAAGTGCTAAGATTACAGGTGTGAGCCACCATGCCTGGCCTATATTGTTATGAATAAACAATAGGATATCAGGAGTGGGGACTAAGGAGAGGCCATTTGCACTAGACCTTGAAGAATTTGGAAGATTTGGTAATTAGAATGATTAAAGGGATGAAGTTCCTGTGCAAAGGTTCTCTTCTCGTGTCTCTCCTGGCCTGACCAGGAGGCATGCTGGGGTCTCAGCAGTAGACCACTGCAGAGGAGGGTGGGTATATGTAGGGGATAATTCCACTGCAGAACATGTCAAATAGTCCTTGCTTAAATGGTATCTACAATGACATTTGCATCTGTGTTCCAAATTCATCCCCATATCCTCCTGTCTCAGCCTCCCAAAGTTCTGAGATTACAGGCATGAGCCACTGTGCCCAGCCTCCATCCACATTTGAATGCAGGCTCCATCAGGGCAGGCCCCTTTACTGTTAAAATTCTGCGTGATGATGAAGGGCACATGCCTGCACGGATTTCCTCTACTCTGTTCCACCTTAGCTGCTTCCCTCCCTCAGCAACGCCTGGCATCCCTACTCTGGGGTCGTTACTTAGAGGCAGGATATGGCTCCAATTTAGCACCATTATCCCCAGGACCAGATAGACAGTAATTGGAATGAATCAATATAACATACAAAACTCTTCATAATCTGGGTTCAGTATATTTTTTTAGCCATTCTCTTAGCCTAGACTCCAGCTAGTCTCTAGCATAGACTACATAGAATAATGGTAACATTGGGCTGGGGGTGGTGGCTCATGCCTGTAATCTCAGCACTTTGGGAGGCTGAGGTGGGTGGATCACTTGAGGCCAGGAGTCCAAGACAAGCCTGGCCAACATGGTGAAACCCCGTCTCTACTAAAAATACAAAAAGTAGCCACGCATGGTGGTGCACGCCTGTAGTCCCAGCTACTTGGGAGGCTGGGGCAGGAGAAGAGCTTGAACCCGGGAGGCGGAGGTTGCAGTGAGCCAAGATCGTACCACTGCACTCCAGCCTGGGCAACAGAGTGAGACTCTCTCTCACAAAACAAAAACAAAACAAAACAAAACAAAAGAATAATGGTAATATTGATCATCATTCACTGAGTGTGTACCAGTCATTGTTCTAGCACTTTACATGCATTAATTCACCGAATCCTTACAGAACCCTATCAGTTAAGTATTATTATTATCTCCATTGGTCTGGTGAGAAAATTAGACCCAGAAAGGTGAAACAAATTCCTGATAGAGCAAGGACTTGAAGCCAGGTGGTCTGCCTGGACCCTGAACCATTCCCAGCCACTCCTCTCTGTTGCCTCTGCTGCAGAGTGGCTTTGCTCTTTCAAGTCGCTGAGCCTCTGCTCTGCTGCAATGCCCTTCCCCAACTTCTGGCTCTAGCAAACTCTACTTGCCCTTTGAAGCCCAGCCCAGATACTGCATCCCTGGCCCCACCTGCTTCTCCAACCAGGGGAAGGAGGTTGTCCCTGTCTCCACTTTGTTCCCCTTACAAGTTGCTCCCAGTCCTGGATGGGGAGGTCGTCTGAAACAGGACCCTGACTCACGCCTCAGTATCCCCAGCCCTCAGCACAGTGCTTGTCTGTGGGTCTTTCATTTGTGTTTTCAACAAACATGAACGAGTTGAATGAGTAACTCCACTGCTTCACACACAAGGAAACAAATCCAGAGAGGCAGAGGGACCTGTCCATATCACACAGCCAGTGAGAGAAAGAGCTGAGGCCAGACTCCAGGGCTCCTGACACCCAGCCCTGCTCTCTCTCACGCCATCCCAACTGTGTGTGGAATGTTTGGAAAAGCCTTCATGCATCTTTGAGCCTTTCTTAATTCTGTCTTACATTTATTTCATCCCAAAGAGGACTTCTTTGAGAATGCTGGTGGGAGAGTGAATTTTGGCTCGTCTTGTCTGAAGTCATGAGGCAACAGGGAAAAACAGACAAACAATCCTGAGATGTGTTTTACTGACCCGGTCCTCAAAACAGCAGAACAAAACACTCCACACTCAAGCTGGGGCTGCTAGCCAGCAGGGCACTGAGTGAAGCTGGACAGAATTCACTAGGGATCCTCCTCCCTTTTGCTTAAAATGGTGGGGACTTTGGAGAGGAAGTGTTTTCTGGTTAGTCTGAATTTTCTTTTTTTTTTTCCTTTTTTTTTGAGATGGAGTCCCACTCTGCTCCCCAGGCTAGAGTGCAGTGGCACAATCTCAGCTCACTGCAACCTCCGCCTCCTGGGTTCAAGCGATTCTCCTGCCTCAGCCTCCCGAGTAGCTGGGATTACAGGCGTGCACCACCACACCTGGCTAATTTTCATTTTTTTAGTAGAGATGGGGTTTTACCATGTTGGCCAGGCTGGTCTTGAACTCCTGACCTCAGGTGATCCATCCGCCTCAGCCTTTCAAAGTGCTGGGATTACAGGCTTGAGCCACTGTGCCTGGCCCTTTTTTTTTCTTTTTCTTTCTTTTTGACAGGGTCTTGCTCTATCACCCAGGCTGGAGTGCAGTGGCACAATCATGGCTCATTCCCACCTCAGCCTCCCAGGCCCAAATGATCCTCCCACCTCACCCGTGTAGCTGGGACCACAGCTGTGCACCACCATGCCTGGATAATTTTTAAATTTTTTGTAGAGATGAGGTCTCCCTATGTCACCCAGGCTGATCTCAAACTCCTAAGCTCAAGGGATCCTCCTGCCTCTACCTCCCAAAATGCTGGGATTACAGGCTTGAGCCACTGTGCCTGGCCCTTTTTTTTCTTTTTCTTTCTTTTTGACAGGGTCTTGCTCTACCACCCAGGCTGGAGTGCAGTGGCACAATCATGGCTCATTCCCACCTCAGCCTCCTGGGCCCAAATGATCCTCCCACCTCACCCGTGTAGCTGGGACCACAGGCGTGCACCACCATGCCTGGATAATTTTTAAATTTTTTGTGGAGATGAGGTCTCCCTATGTCACCCAGGCTGATCTCAAACTCCTAAGCTCAAGGGATCCTCCTGCCTCTACCTCCCAAAATGCTGGGATTACAGGCGTGAGCCACCACACCTGGCCAGTGATGATTACTTATTCATGATGTCCTTTATGGCTGGAATGGCCTTCCTCACCTTGTCTGCCTAGGAAACTTTTACTTGTCCATCATAAGGGTGTTCTCCTTGGCAAGGCATCTCTGACCATCCCGTTTCCCCTCAGTGTGGTCCCTGGTTCTCTCAGCTCTCTCACCCCTTTTACCTTTGCCCCTCTAACACAATCTGATTTATGTTGAAATTGTTTACTTGCCCATCTTCCCTAGTAGGTGATGCCAGCTAAGAGGATAGGCTCAGGTCTGTGCCCTCAGGGCCTAACAGTGCCTGCCCCATGGAGACTCAGGAACTGGCTTCTACATCCCTAGATCAGGAGCACTAGGAGGTTGGGAGAAGAGAAGCTTTGCAGAGCTGGGGGCTGCACAGCTCCTGGGAGCACAAATCATATCATATGCTATTACTTTGTTTGAATGGAGTCCCTGGAGCTGTGCAGCTTGGTAGCTCTGGGCCTCTGCCTGAGACAGACTTGGTCTTGAATCTTAGCTCTGCCACATTCTGGCTTCACTCCTTGGACCATTTAATCTGTTTAGGCCTCAGTGTCTTCACTTGTCAATGACTGTTATGATTGTGACCTCTCAGATTGTTGTCAAGATTAAATGAGATGATACACACAACGATCCCGATGGTGCCTGGCCAGTGGTAGTTGTAACCCGGTACCGGATTTTTAATGACAAGATTCATACCAGGGCTGAGCATCAGACTATGGGGTTGCCTTGGTAGTGTAAGAGGCAGAAAGGTAATGTGAAGAGGCAGAAAGAACAGTGCTCTAGGAGACAAGAACCCTGGATACAAGGGCTGTGTGTGTGCACATGTGTGTGTGTACTTTCTCTGCCCTACCATTGTGGTCCATCTTCCCCTCTGTCCCAGGCCCATCCTGGTTTTGTACTCCATACTGAGCTGGAAAAATTTGAGGTAGAGGAGCAGCTAGGAACCCATCTAGGGTGGCCAGGCCTACCCGTGCGCTGGGAAGCAGGAGTGCCCTTGAGCAGTGGCACTGCTTTGGGCTGGAGCCATGAGGCCTCCTCTGTGGTGGGGGTCATGGTTTGGAGCATGGGCTATGGAGCCAACAGCCTGGGTGCAAAATCCCTCTTAGCCCCTTCCTCACTGTTCTACCTGTCTGTGCCTCAGCTTCCTCACTGGATTAGTTCACTAGGGCTGCTGTAACAAAGTGCCACAGCCTGGGTGGCTCAAACAGCAGAAGTCATTTCACATAGTTTTGGAGGCTAGGAGTGTGAGATCAAGGTGTTGGCCCGATTGGTGTCTAGTGAGGGCCTCTCTCCTCGGCTTGCGGGTGGCTGGCTTTGTGGTTCTATGTTCGCTATTGGTGAAATAAGGGACAGTGAGCTCAGAAGGAAGTGAACTTCCAGGGTCTAAATAGCCCAGGTGGAACAGTGCACAGACCTGCAGTGACACTGCCCAGCTGGCCAATACTGGACTGTGTTTCATCCTAGACAATTTCAAGACACAAGTTTGTTTTATGTTCTATTAATACCGTATAAGAATAAACACTAGAAATTGTAATTGTAAGACACCATCAATTAAGTCTCACTCTGATCTCAGAGATGCTGAAATTTGAAAAAAATATGTGTTGTGTCTTAGAATTGATGAAAGACAGTAGGTCCTGTTTTTTAGCTTTTGGCAGTGAGGATCCACTGAGGTGGAGGGGGGGCAGGCCATGTGTCTGGGGCCGCAGACGCTGGCTGCTGTCCAGTATCAGCGTCCACACAGGAAGTGGAATGGTGAAGCACCATCCCAGTCAAGTCTCCTCACTTGGAAAACTGGCTAAATCCACGGCTGGGAAACAGATCTCAAAAGCTGCACAGGTCCCACTTGAGCTTTTTGGTGGGCCTTGTAAAATGAGCCCTTTGCGTGGGCATCTGACAGACCTGGGTTCTTGCTCTAAAGCTGCTACTCATCAACCAAGAAATTGAAAGATGAAAGGCTCCAAAGTGCAAAGAGGGGCCAGGCATGGTGGCTCATGCCTGTAATCCCTCCGAGGTGTGTGGATCACTGGAGCCCAGGAGTTCGAGACCAGCCTGGGCAATATGGTGAAACCTGATCTCTACAAAAAAAAAAAAAAAAACAAAAACAAAAAGAAGAAGAAGAAAATTAGCCAGGTGTGGTGGCACACACCAGTAGCCCCAGCTACTCTGGAGGCTGAGGTGGGAGGATCACTTGAGCCCAGGAGGTCAAGGCTTCAGTGAGCCATGATCATGATGCCACTGCACTCCAGCCTGGGTGACAGAATGAGACCCTGTCTCAATAAGTAAACAAAAGTGCAAAGAGGGCTTTGCCAAATGTTGCATGCACAAGATGGTGTGTGTGTGAGAGACAGGGCTGGGAGTCAGGGGTCCCGGGGTTCGGTTTTGGCTTTTCCCTCCCTGGCTGTGGACTTGGCCAGGTCCCTCTGCCTCTCTGGACCTGTTTCCTCGTGGGTAAAGCAGTTGAGTTCAGTCACTCATCCAACAAATGTGAACTGGGGGCCCTTTCTGGGTGGTGTGCTGAGGGCTGGGGGTATACAGGGTGAGATGTGGTCTCCGCTCCCGGAGAGCTCCGTCCAGTGTGGAGAGCAAGGAGTGAAGAGAGCAGAGAGGAGGCAGCCAGGCATTCTCCATGCACTGTCTCCTTTAATCCTCATCATCACCTTATGTGATGGGTAACACAGGCATTTTTATTGCCATTTCAGAGATGCAGTCATGGAGACTGAGAAAGATGGTGCTGCTTACCAAGGCAGGGCCAGGGTTTGGACCTGTTCTGCCTTACCTAAAGCCAGTTCTCTTTCCTCTTCACCTTGGATGGTCAGTCAGAAGTTTCCTTCTAGCACAGCATTCTCAGATTCTATGCCAAAAAATAGCCTGTGAGTGTCACATTCTGACAGGCTTCTACAAGATCCCCCTCACTTAGCAACCAAGTAAGGGAGAGCCTCTCTCTGCTCAGGAATGGTGGGGCCGGGGGTAGGGGTGCAGGGTAGCTCAGCTTGTCTAACCTGGCTTGTCTTCTAAGGAGGTGGTAAGCACCATGTTTCAGGGGAGTGAGCCTCCCCCTCACAAAAGCTTTCCATCTACACTCATGGGCATGTCAGTGGTGTGACATGCCATCTGAGTGATTCCACTTTGCCTGTTCATTTTATGCCCAGCAGCTCTTAATACAGTCCAGCAGTTCATACTGGAAAATACAGAAATCAAGGGACTGCTCTGTCAGTGAGCATTATGTTCACAGGTTCGTGTCACAGGATGAAGGGGCAGGAGAAGATGCTGGGGGCCAGTCCTTAGTCTGAAGCCTCCATGGCAGCCCCATCAAGGGATTTTTTGGTCTCTGTTTGCATATCTCCCTGGATAGGAGGATCATGCTTCCTTTCAGCTCTGGCTAGAAGAGACTTCTAGCTGGTAGAGCCCAACAATACCTTGCACATTTTGCCGAGGAAGCTCTCAGGCTGACAGTGAAGTGATTTGCTCAGGGTTGCCTGGTGCGACAGTGGAAAGCCTGGGTCAGAGTCTTGGCACTGGGAAGCCTGGTTCTGTCCTTGACCTCAAAGTTGAGTGGAAATAATCCCAAGGGAGGATTTAGGCTGGATTCTTGCCTCAACCAGGTCATTTAACTTGAATTAAATGATATTTAATTCAATTTAATATTAGCCAAGGCCTACTATGTGCCAGGCACTATACTTACACCTAATGTGATCACCTCCCTGAACCCTAGTTTCCCATCTATGAAAAAAAATACCTCCTGTGCATCTTTTCTCAGAGCCCTGTTATGAGGATGAAATGAAGAAAAGGAAGTAAAGTGCTTTGTAAACTGTAAAGTGCTGTGTCCATTGAGGCATTGTTGCTAAAGCTGGCCATCCTATCTCTGCGGTCCACTCTGCCTGGAGCAGACTTCCCACTTAGCACTGGCTACCATATTTGAATTTGTTTATCTGCTCCTCACCCCCACCAGAGTTCCCAGGGGAGGAATGTTTGGGGGCTTGTATTTGATTTCCCAGAACCTCGCCCTGGGCCTGGCACATGGCAGATGCTTAACAGTATTTATAAATGTCATAGTCCATTCAGGCTGCTATAACAAAATGCCATAAACTGGGTAGCAGAAATGTATTTCCCACAGTTCTGGAGGCTGGGAAGTCCAAGTCCAAGATCAGGGACAGGCAGATTTGGTGTCTGGTGAAGCCTGGTTTCCTGCCTCATACATAGCTGTCTGTCTTCCCTGTGTCCTCATGGGGTAGAAAGGGCAAGGGAACCCTTTGGGGTCCCTTTTTTTTGAGACGGAGTTTCACTCTTATTGCCCAGGCTAGAGTGCAATGGTGTGATCTTAGCTCACCCCAACCTCTGCCTCCCGGGTTTGAGCGATTCTTCCGCCTCATCCTCCTGAGTAGCTGGCATTACAGGCATGCGCCACCACGTGTAGCTAATTTTGTATTTTTAGTAGAGATGGTGGTTTCTCCATGTTGGTCAGGCTGGTCTCGAACTCCCGACCTCAGGTGACCCGCCCAACCTGGCTTCCCAAAGTGCTGGGATTACAGGCGTGAGCCACCATGCCCGTTTTTTTTTTTTTTTCTTTTTGAGACGGATTCTTACTCTGTTGCCCAGGCTGGAGTGCAATGGCACGATCTTGGCTCACTGCAACCTCCACCTCCCGGATTCAAGCGATTCTCCTGCCTCAGCCTTCCGAGTAGCTGGGATTACAGGCATGCACCACCATGCTCAGCTAATTTTCTTTTCTTTTTTTTTTTTGTATTTAGTAGAGATGGGGTTTCACCATGTTAGGCTGGTCTTGAACTCCTGACCTCAGGTGATCCACCTGCCTCGGCCTCCCAAAGTGCTGGGATTACAGATGTTCACCACCGTGTCCAGCCCTGCGGTCCCTTTTGTAGGAACAAATCCCATTCATGAGGGTTCCACTCTCACGACCTAACTACCTCTCAAAGCCTATCCCTCCAAATATCACACTGGGGTTAGGTTTCAACTTAGGGGTATTATAGGGACACAAGCATTCAGTCTGTAAACAGAACATGTGATGAGCTCTTGTTTCTCAGACCCAAGGAGATGCCAACCTGTGGGCACTGGAAGACCCCTGGGGGGAGGGCTAGGGAGAGGGCAGGTGGGAAGGGTGACCACTGTGGTGAAGTAGCTACATTGTATAGGGTATATACCCTGGGGTGCGTCTCCTTGCGCCAGGAAAATTTAGGACATGGGCACACACGAGGAGTTTAGGAGCGGAGTTTTAATAGGCAGAAGAGAAAGAGAAACAGCTTTTTCTATAGAGAGAGAGGGGTCTCTGAGTGGAAAAGACTGGCTGGTGGTGGATGCACCAGACTTTATAGTCCAGCTTGAGGAGGTGGTGTCTGATTTATGTAGGGATCACAGATTGTTTTGATCAGGTGTGATATTTACATAGCGCAAGGAAGGCTTGTTGCCCCACCCTAATCCTATGATGCAAATGAACTCTCCTTGGCTGGTGCCATCTTGTCTGCTCCTTACTGTACACGTGGCTGGCAAAGAAGGGATGATGGAGCCCCCATCTTGAACATGTCTAGTCCCTCCCTAGTCCCTAGTTCCTGCTGACATTCAGCCATGCAAGCTCCCAGCTTGTTTGTCTGTATCTGCAGCTTGACTTTATAGGTTGCTGTTTGGTAGAAAATGATTTTGGGCTGCTTTTCATTAAAAAGAAAAGCCTTACCGAGGACTCCCATATCCTTACTATCTGCCTAAGTGATTTCTTCTTAACTCCTATTATCAGTGGGGTACTCTAAGCAGCGGGAGTGGCTTTGTTATCCCAGCTTGGACCTGTAGTTTTTGGCTCTCATGTAAATAGAAATGAACCCTGGCTGGGTGCGGTGGCTCACGCCTGTAATATCAGCACTTTGGGAGGCCGAGGCGGGCAGATCATGAGGTCAAGAGATCGAGACCATCCTGGCCAACATGGTGAAACCCCGTCTCTACTAAAAATGCAAACATTAGCTGGGCATGGTGGCACGTGACTGTAGTCCCAGCTACTCTGGAGGCTGAGGCAGGAGAATCGCCTGAACCCGGGAGGTGGAGGTTGCAGTGAATTGAGATCATGCCAGTGCACTCCAGCTGGGCGACAGAGTAAGACTCCGTCCCCCACCCCCCTCACAAAAAAAGAAAAGAAAGAAATTAACACCAGGCCAAACAGAACTTTTACTCAGGCAAGGTTTCATAGGCTTGCGTCTGGAGCAACTGCGCGGGAGCATTGTATGGGAAAGGGATCCTGGTGCTAGCTCCTGGAAGGACTTGGCTCTTGTCATTTTAAGGAAGCTGAGGCGAGAAAAAGGAGTGACATGTAGGCATGTAGGGATGGGGAACTTTTAGCACCTGCGCAGTTTGACTATGTGTTTCTCATGCATCATATGTCTCATTAGTGCGTTAAATCTCCAGCCCTGGGTGTGATTTTTAGTATTACGATGTGATTATTATAAGGAAAACTTGGTGAAAGGTCAGTGCTGGAGTCCATCTTGTCTTCAGCCAACTGCATGTGGTCTGGTTCTTATCAGGAATGCCAGAGGCCTGCTTTTAGCAACCTTGGGAGACAGCACTCAAGGACATAAATGGTTAGTTTCTTATTTTTATGGTTACAAACTCAGCCTGGTCAGCTAACTTAGGAGAGAGGTCCCCCTTTGCTATGTGACGTGGGTCAGCTTGTTAACGGATACAAGAAGGCAGCAGAGGGAATATGCCTGGACATGTGAGGCCCAGGGGGTCTTGGTGACCCAGTCTCTTGTCTTCTCTATACTGTCTTAGCTTGGCTTAGGTCAGGACATGGGGCTGTCATGGAGAGCCTCTCTCTGCTCAGGAATGGTGGGGCTGGGGTTTGGGGGCAGGGTGGCTCGGTTTGTCTAACCTGGCTTGTCTTCTAAGAAGGTGGTAAGCACTATGTCTCAGGGGAGTGAGCCTCCCCCTCACAAAAGCTTTCCATCTACATTCATGGGCATGTCAGTGGTGTGACATGCCATCTGAGTGACTCCACTTTGCTGGTCATTTTATGCCCAGCAGTGCTTATACAGTCCAGCAGTTCACACTGGAAAATACGGAAATCACAGGACTGCTCCATCTGTAAGCATTATGTTCACAGGTTAGTGTCACAAGATGAAGGGGCAGGAGAAGATGCTAGGGGCCAGTCCCTAGTATGGCACGACAGAGCCCCTGCCCTTACCAGCATGTGGATCAGCCAGAAAGATGGTGGGGGGCTGGAGTTCCTCACCCTGGCTCTCCAGAGCCTCTTGTGTGCCTGTCTTCCAGCTTGATGGTGACATCCCATTAGTGGCTTGAAACTGACCATGGTGACAGTAGTTATTTTATTTT
The DNA here is from genome assembly GCF_000001405.40 of Homo sapiens. Taxonomy (NCBI): domain Eukaryota; kingdom Metazoa; phylum Chordata; class Mammalia; order Primates; family Hominidae; genus Homo; species Homo sapiens. Next base: position 78,167,857 of record NC_000011.10, read on the forward strand.
ATTTATTTATTTTTTGAGACGGAGTTTTGCTCTTGTTGCCCAGGTTGGGGTGCAATGGCATGATCTCGGCTCACTGCAACCTCCACCTCCCAGGTTCAAGTGATTCTCCTGCCTCAGCCTCCCGAGTAGCTGGGATTACAGGCATGTGGCACCACACCCGGCTTTTTTTTTTTTTTTTTTTTGTATTTTTAGTAGAGACAGGGTTTCTCCATGTTGGTCAGGCTGGTCTTGAACTTTTGACCTCAGGTGATCCGCCTGCCTTGGCCTCCCAAAGTGCTGGGATTACAGGCGTGAGCCACTGCACCTGGCTGGCAGTATTTCTTTGAAACTGACGATGGTGACGGTATTTAGTGGGAAATTGGCCCACACTACAGATCAGGGCTTTGTTTACCAGTACAGCACTAGCTGTGAACAAGTGCGGTGTGATGACGAAAGTGCTCACCAGGTATAGGGTGGCACAGCAGGGGCTGGGACTGACTTTATTGCGTGGAGCTAAGGAGGCGGGGCTTACACAGTATTGAAGGATGAGCTGTGAAGACAGAGTGGTAAAGGGAGGCCCAGACAAGTGTGGGATGGCAAGACGTATCCTGTGGTTCTGTGAAAGGAAACTGTGGATGTGAAGGCACTTGGCAACTTAATACAAGGTGTCAAGCGAAAAGGTGTAGAGTAAGCAAATCCAACATAGGATGTATAAAGTGAACTAATTAGGGCTGGGGAAGGGTATCCATGTCATAACACATTAACCTTTGCTCTTTAGCTGATAGGATCCCTAGGGATTTCAAATGTGGCTCAACAAGGCCTTTGCCCAACTCTTTGGTAAAGGGGAACCCAGGCTTTGGAGAGGGACTTGGCGTAAGGAAGCAAATAGGCTAGAACACTCTGGGGCTGCCAGCTAACCGGGAAATGTTGACAAAGGCTGTGAAATGCCCTGTGTTTTGGTGGTGGGGCGGTGGGAGTGGCAGGGAAGTTGGCAGGAAACGGGACTAGGAAAACAAGTGGGGAGGGGTCAGATAGAGCAGGCTGAGCGTGCACTTCTTCATGCGCCTCAGAGCCAGACAGCCCCGCCTCAAAGCTTGTTTTGCTGTCCCTTGTGTCGGGTGGGGTCCTGGGTGCCATGGGTTGCTTGGTGAGCCCCCGTTGGTCCCTGTGCCCCAGACTGGGGCGAGTGTGTCACTGGACTGTTTCCACAGCTCGGTTGGTGCCACACTGTCCCGAAGGTTCTGAAGGAGACTGAGGTCACCAGGCTGTCTGGGCAGACAGAGCTGCCAGACTCTCGTCCCTCCCTTTGATGGGCCTGTTATCAGGGTTGTTTTGCTCCTGGAGCTGATCACAGGCCACGTTTCCCAGCCAGCCACCCCCATCAGCCCAGAGCCCCCTGGGACACAGGCAGACGTAGGCAGTCAGTTTGGAGAGACTGCAATTCAGGAAAGGGATAGGCTGAAATTTCTTGGGCCAAGAAATTGGCCCAGGACTGACCTTGGCTAAGCCCCCACTGATGACAGACGGATTTTTTTTAAAGATTATTTTCTTTAGACATTCTTGCTCTGTCGCCCAGGCTGGAGTGAAGTGGTGTGATCTTGACTCACTGCAATCTCTGCTTCCTAGGTTCAAGCAATTCTTGTACCTCAGCCTCCCGAGTAGCTGGGATTACAGGCACGCACCCCTATGCCTGGCTTATTTTTGTATTTTTAGTAGAGACAGGGTTTCACTATGTTCATCAGGCTGGTCTCGAACTCCTGACCTAAAGTGATCCGCCTACCCTGGCCTCCCAAAATGCTGGGATTACAGGTCTGAGCGACTACACCTAGCCTGATGACTATTTTGTTGTTGTTGTTGTTTGTTTTTTTGAGACGGAGTCTCACTCTGTTGCCAGGCTGAAGTGCAGTGGTGCAATCTGGGCTCACGGCAACCTCCGCCTCCCAGGTTCAAGCTATTCTCCTATCTCAGCCTCCCAAGTTGCTGGGACTACAGGCATGTGCCACCATGCCTAATTTTTGTATTTTTAGTAGAGACGGGGTTTCACCATGTTTGCTAGGATGGTCTTGATCTCTTGACCTCGTGATCCGCGCACCTCGGCCTCCCAAAGTCAGACTGTTTTAAGAGTAATTTGTAAAAGGAAGCTGGAAGTTTGGGGTGAATGGGTGGTTACACAAATGCTGTGTGATTTAGGGTGCAGTTTACAAAAGAGTGGCTGCGTCCTAGGCTGCAAATTCTGAGGTGTGGGCAAGTGGGGACCTTGGCCACCCCTGCACAGGGAGATCTGGCCCAAAGGCAGACCAGGGTCATGAGGCTAGGCCCTTCTTAAGAGGGTGGAGGGCTTTTGGAGGTGCTGAGGGCATGAGGTCAGAGTGGTGCCTGCTGCTGGCCTTCAAGCATGCAGGGTCCCTGTTTGGTGGTGGGCCTCATGAAGGAGTCACACCAAGGTGGGTGCTTAGGGTTCCCTCAAGCACCCATTCTGTCCCTCTGCATGCAGGGGACCACACCTAGGGCAGGAACTGAGAGCTGACGAGTGTTGTGTTCCCGGCGTTGCTCCTTCAGCTGGGATGGAGCCCTTGGCGGGATAAAAGGCTAAACTGGGTCCAGGTGAGATCACCACAAGGTCTCACCCAGGGCAATGAAGGGCTCACAAGCAGCACATCCCTGCTCACAGTTCGCACTCAGACTCACCCGTCTGTCGATGGTGCTGCCATCACTGCTGAACGTTTGTTCTCCGTCTTTCTCATGCTTTTGCCAAGCAGAAGGCTGAGTTCACCTAACCTGGACGCAGGCAACGAGATGCACTGCGTGCCCCCCTTCCCCTTGTGCAGCTGTGGTGTGAACGCATACCCTCCCTTGCTTGCCCTTCCTGCCTGGTTGCCAGCTCTGCTCTTGCTGTTCCCTGTGCCCACGGCACTCTCTTGCTTATTCTGTCAAGCCTGACCTACCCTCAGAGGCCCACCTTGGCCATCCACAAGGCTCCTTCTGAGAACTGAGCCCTTTCCCTGAGTTCCCAAAGCACGTTGTGTGAAGCTCTAAACTTTCTCCAGGCTGAACTTAGCTTACTCGTGGCTGTTCACATCCTCAGGGCCCACGCAGCAAATGCTCTGTAAGGGCTTGTTAAACTCCACTCTCCTGGGACTCCTAGTCCCCCACCAGAGTCCACCATGACTACCTCCTGCAAGAGCACTGAGCTCTTGGGTGCCAGGCCCAGCTCAGGATTTTCACAGACACCAACTCGTTTAAGTTGCATAACCCCGGGAGGAAGGGGTTGTTACCTGATGAGCAAACAAATCAGAGAAGTTCAATGACTTGTCCAAGGTTACAGAGGCTTGGAGCTCTGGATTCAAACCCAAGTCACTGTGACTCAAGACCAGTGTTTTTCCCCGTTACAAGCAGACACAAAAGAATAACAATCCTTTATCATTTATACTGTATTCTCACGTTACATTATTTCATTTGATCCTCACAACAGCCCTGTGAGGTAGGTAGGGTTATGTATTACTGTTATGCCTATTTCACAGATGAAGAAATGGAGGTGGCTCAGTGAGGTGAGTGACTTGCATAAAGTCACACAGCATGTTAGTGGCTTCACTGCTTCTGCAACTTCTCTAAAGTCAAGCTGCTTGGATTAGGGAGCACCGAAAAGATGGACAGTTTTATGGAAAAGGAGAAAGGGCAGTGGTGATTTGTAAGATTTCTTCCTCAAATTGTTTTGTTATGACCACAGCTTCTGCTACTTGGTCTAAACTAGGTTCTCCATGAGGGGCTCTCCCAAGTACCCTTGGCCTGGGACAGCTGTCTTTTTTTGGGATGGAGTCTCTCTGCAATGGCACACTCTCAGCTCACTGCAACCTCTGCTATCTGGGTTCAAGCGATTCTACTGCCTCAGCCTCCCAAATAGCTGGGGTTATAGGCGCCTGTCACCACACCCAGCTAATTTTTGTATTTTTAGCAGAGACGACGTTTCACCATGTTGGCCAGGCTGGTCTTGAACTCCTGACCTCAAGTGATCTTCCCGCCTCGGCCTCCCAGAGTGTTGGGATTACAGGCATGAGCCACTGTGCCTGGCAGAAAAGCTGTCAGAGAGACTCCTGGGTCCCACCGTAGGGGGAAAAGGGCCTTTACTGCTCAAGGGAACTGGCGCTGCCCATGGCCCAGTGTACAAGCTCCCTACTCACAGGGCCTATCTATGGGAAGCCCCTTTCTGGGCCCACCTCCCATGGGTGCCTGTGTCACCAGGCTTCCTTGGCTTTGAGGACCCCTGCCCAGTGGGGGAGGACCCTGGGGACTCTCAAGGCCAAACTCACTTTAGGGATGAATCATGACGTGCAGTTTGGAGGCCTGCATGGCTCATCACCCGGTGGGAAGCAGTGCTTGGGTTGCTTGCCCTGGATGGCACCCTACAGAGACCCAGGGGTGGGACACAGGACTGCAGGGGAAGGCCGCCTTCCTGAGGGCAGGGTCTTAGGGGCCGCACATTTACTCTAAGGGCACTGTTACGGTTCATACCACTCCTGGGCTCCTTGCTGCACAGCACCCTTGGAGACCGTCTCTTTCCTCTGGATCTCCTCAGGGGCCGTGAATCTTCCTCTTCCAGCAGAAAATGGTCGAAAGGTATATGGAGCCACAGATGGTGGGGAAGGTGGGTGAAGTGGGGGTCACAAACGAGGTGAAGCTACAACAAAAGGGGACTGACTTACAGGGGATAGAAAAGAGCTAACTTTGATTCTGAAGACAGATCCCAGAGGGGAATCTGAATTCTGAGTAATGATGTTTTCAGAAAAATGTCTGGTCTCTCAAGGTGACTATTTTGAAAGCAAAGATATATAACTGGGTGAATGGGAAGGTCTGCAACCAAGATCCAGCAAGTGGCAGGACAGATTTTGGCTCAATATAGGGAAGAACTGTCTAACAGTCAGCACTGTCCAACCACAGCAGGAGCTGCCTTGGGGATGGCGCGCTTCCTATCAGCCAAGGTATGCAAGCAGGCCAAGGTGATCACTTGCAGGTACCCAGGGAGAGGCGCTCATCTTCAGATGTGCTGGGGTGTTCTAGGGGTGGGGGAGGACTAAGCAATCATCGAATTATTTCCAACCCTGAGAATCCGTAATAGATTTGTTTAAAATGACCTGTTTCAATGATACCTCAAATTTTTGGGAAAACAATGACAAAAGTCAGGTAACAGGCTGGATTTGGAAGTGATTTCATTACACTGGCTACAGATACTTGCACATTTTTGCAAAGATAGCAGACCCTTTCTAAAGCCAGGAATCCCTTGATTCAGCCCTATCAAGAGGGACATTCCTACCTTCTGAACTCTGCCTGGACACTCATTCCTCTAGACCCTGCCACACCTCATCTCTGACCCCCAAGAGGGGACACTAACAGAGCTCTGAGAATGCACAGCATTCCAAGCCAGCCAAACATGGTCACCCCTGGGCAAACATCCACGATCATGGATGCACCCTGGGGAGGGAGGAGCAGGTGTGACAGGAACCGCTGGGGACTTTATGTCCTGGTTAACTGGAGGTAGCCTCTTGTTCTCATCCCATCCTCTCCACCAGGGCCTTCTTACAGATGGATAAATGCGGCACTGGCTAGCGGTACAGAGAGATGGAGCCCAGGAGAAAACTGCTGCTCTTTTGTCCTGGCTGGAAAATCCTCCTATGGCCTCCTTTAGTACACATCAGCTGACTCTTCACTTGTCATAATAAACCGCCTGTCTGCAGCTCAAAATGGCAAGAAAAAAGGTGGTTCTGTTCAGAGGACACTGGATTCCAAAAGGTGGACTTCATCATGGGGGGAATCAAGTCCTGCTACACAATTAATACAGATTAGTATAGTCCCCTGCCTCGCACCACTGGCGAGATGCCCTCCAAGACCTGGCTGACATGAGCTTCCTGGGACTCCCCATCTCCAGTGTTGTTGGGGTCCTTTTACCTGTACCGTATTAATCGAATAATCTTATTGTTCATAAAATCCAGAGCATGTGGGTGAGAAGAATCGATGCAGAAGCCATCGCTCAGAGCGATTTTCAGTACCTCTTCCACGAAGACCTGGAAGCTGTTGATCTGCTTGTTGGCGGGCACCACCCAGAGCCTCTTGAGGTTCTGCTTGGTGTACTCCTCCTCTGGCAGGCCCTCCACATTGGCCACCCAGTCCAGAGTCAGGTGGTTGGGGTCCTGCAAGTGGCTGGTGATGGAGGAGAGATTGCCATTGGAGCAGTAGAAGAGCTTAGAGCCAAGGAGCTTGAGGAAGAGGCAGGAGGTGCTGAAGATGTTGGCGTTGAAGACCTCCATGCTGGAAGAGGAGAGGCTGTAGATCTGGGGTGCCTCGCGCACAGTGAAGTGGACCGTCTGCACACGCTGGTTCAGTGTGATGTTGAGCATGGCATTCTTCTCGGCCTTGGAGAGCTCCACTTCCTTCTCCTGCAGGGCCTCAATCAGGGGCTGCACCTGGTAGAAGTCGGCCTCCCTGCGGAGCAGCCCCATCTCCTGGAAGTCCTCAGGCAGGTCAAGGTGGGAGGTCCGCAGGAAGTTGAGGATATAGCGGAACACTTTGCCGTCACGGTCAATGAAGCAGTTGCCCTGGCTGTCCCTCTTGGTGGGCATCTTCCCGCTGAACATGGCGCCTAGCATGGAGTCAGGGAAGCTGGTCAGGGTCGCCAGTGAGGTTGTATAGAGCTTCCCCCCGACGTTCAGCGTGATGGGGTCGGACATGGCAGGAGACTGGGTTGCTGGAAGTAGTCCTGGAGAGGGTGAGAAGTGAGAAATGACTATAACCAAACCTTATCAGAGAACTCACAGTCCTTAACTCCTTATTGTACATCAAGCCTATGCCCTTGGGATCGAAATGAATTAATACCTGATGAATGGGTGATAATTGCTAACACTGTGCAAAGTACATTAGCTTCACTAGGGAGAGGGAAAGGAGAAAGGGAAAAGGAAAGGAAAAAGGAAACAGGGAAAGAAAGGGAAGGACCCCTAAAGCCTGGGTCCCCCGCGCCCCCCTCTGCTGCCGACATTCTATTTTAATTGGTCTGGAATACTGCCCCAGCCCTGGTATTTTGAAAGAGTTCCCTTAGTGATTCTAAATGTTCAGTTAGAATAGAGAACCACTGGTCTAAAGAAAGAAAGGAAAACGTGCCTGGACTGAAAGCTATGCTACGTGTTTATACATATATTTGCTTACATAATAGTTGTATCAGCCAGGTGCGGTGGCTCACACCTGTAATCCCAGCACTTAGGGAGGCCGAGGCGGGCAGATCACCTGAGATCAGGAGTTCAAGATCAGACTGGCCAACATGGTGAAACCCCATCTCTACTAAAAATACAAAAATTAGCTGGGCATGGTGGTGGGTGCCTGTAATCCCAGCTGTTCAGGAGGCTGGGGCAGGAGAATCATTTGAACTCAGGAGGTGGAGGTTGCAGTGAGCCGGGACTGAACAACTGCACTCCAGCCTGGACAACAAGAGTGAAACTCTGTCTCAAAAAAAAAAAAAAAAAAAAGGTTGTATCATCTTTTGACACAGACAATATAATCATCCATTCCTGTTGTGCAGATGAGGAAAACTGTGCCAGGATTCATTCCTCAAGCTCAGAAAGGTGAAGTGCCTTGCCAGGATTCAAACTCAGGTCCTTTTATATGAAAGAAAAATGTGTAAATGCTTACTAGCCAAAGATCGGTTCTAAGTACTCAACAAATGGTTTGAGATTTATGACTCCAGGCTCAGTGCTCCTCCTTCTGTACCAGTGACACTGCTGAATTTAATTATTATTCTCTCTCAAAGATTTGACAATGAATGGCCATGATTAGTGTCATTTCCATCTATCTTCAAGGCCCACAGTGGGTCACTCAGCTGTCCGGACTGCAAATGACAATCCTGTTTTTTTTAAATTTTTTTAAATTTTATTATTATTAAAGTTTTAGGGTACATGTGCACAATGTGCAGGTTAGTTACATATGTATACATGCGCCATGCTGGTGTGCTGCACCCATTAACTCGTCATTTAGCATTAGGTATATCTCCTAATGCTATCCCTCTCCCCTCCCCCTACCCCACAACAGTCCCCAGAGTGTGATGTTCCCCTTCCTGTGTCCATGTGTTCTCATTGTTCAATTCCCACCTATGAGTGAGAACATGCGGTGTTTGGTTTTTTGTCCTTGCAGTAGTCTTTACTGAGAATGATTATTTCCAATTTCATCCATGTCCCTACAAAGGACATGAACTCATCATTTTTTATGGCTGCATAGTATTCCATGGTGTATATGTGCCACATTTTCTTAATCCAGTCTATCATTGTTGGACATTTGGGTTGGTTCCAAGTCTTTGCTACTGTGAATAGTGCCGCAATAAACATACGTGTGCATGTGAATGACAATCCTTTCTAGACTTTCACTGCTCCCATGCTGACTTGCCTTGCCATGAAGATGCTCTTGGCTCCTGGTGGCCTGTCCTTTGCTGTCATAACACCCCAAGCTTCTCTGAAACTGGCTGCAAGGTCAGTGCAAATGCAGGACTCTGTCAGAGCACTCTCCTGAAGGCACCCTATCCACTCCTTAACAAAGCCCCCCTAATCTCTCAGCTGTCAGCATCTATGGCTGGCAAGTCTCCTTCACCACATGTTCTAGAAAACAGGAGATCTCAGCTCCAGCTTCCAACACTATACTTTCCCCAGAGCCAACCTGTGGACCAGATTCAGCAATCCTTCCCTGACATGGCAGGTAGGGATGCCAAGAGGAACTGGCCCCAGTATTACCCCCAGAAGAGCCTGTGCTGGTAGAGGAGATGAGAGAGTAAAGGCACAGTGACAAGACAGGTAGAAGATGTGGGAGATGGTCTGGAATGAACCTTGGCACATCAAAAACTATCTGGCTGGCAGACACAGTGGCTCATGCCTGTAATTCCAGCACTTTGGGAGGCCGAGGTGGGCAGATCGTTTGAGCTCAGGAGTTCAAGGCCAGCCTGGCCAACATGACGAAATCCTGTCTCTACAACAACAACAACAACAACAACAACAACAACAACAAAGCAGGGTGTGGTGGCGAGCACCTGTAGTCCCAACTACTTGGGAGGCTGAGGTGGGAGGATCGCTTGAGTCTGGGAGGTTGAGGCTGCAGTGAGCCGTGATTACGCCACAGAACTCCAGCCTGGCAGACAGAGGGAGATCCGGTCTCAAAAAACAAACAAAAACCCAACCTTTCAAGCATGCTTACCGTCCAGATGGAGAAACAGAGGTCTGAGGAGACACCTCCCCAAAGTCACCCAGCAGGGGTGGCGAGAACTTCTCAACATTTCTGCCTCCTGAAGAGGCTGACTGCACTGAGGCCTCCTTTCTCCAGAGGATGGGGGCCATGCCAGTGTGAGAGATATTCAGCTGCCATGCTCGACTCTGTGGCAGGGGCAGGGGTATGTCCCCTCATGATTCCTCCCCAGTCTAATGGGGCACTTTGATATTGCAGAAAGGCATTCCCCATCTGGAGTGTCTGAGGAGAAATGAGTCCATGTGAAATACGAAATCGTCAGTAGAAGCCTGGAGCAGATGGGCTGCGAGACGGTGGGGAGGTCCCACAGAGGTGTGGGCGAGCTGCCGCTGGGGGCATGGCTGCTGGTGTGGAGATGGCTGTGAGGCAGCAACTGGGGAGGGTGCTGTGACTCAGGGCTGAATCTGGCCAATTCTCTCTCCAGAGGGCCCAGGCAGGAGGTGGACCCAGGAGTGGGTCCCCTTTACTCAGTCCAGAATCTTCTTCCCTGTTGCCCTCTTTGTAGGACTCTAGTCTACTCCAACTGTTTTCTTCTGGATAGAAATGTGCATGTTCTAGTTTCAGTCTCTCTTTCTTCTTGAAAACAAACACTCCCTCCCAACATTGGGTTTCAGGCCTAGGATCTATAAAGTGGCTTACCTTCACGGCAGGAAAAGAAGCGGGTGTCAGAGAGGACTTGGACAGTTCCATGGGTCACAGACCCTTATCTCTTCCATGCATTACTGCTGAAGTGCTCAGAGCATTACAGGCGGGGGAGGTCAGGAGCCACAGGGCATTCCCTGGGACCCCTGGGTAGGTGCCCAAACTCTTATTTCTCTGCTTGCAAAAGCAGCAGAGCACCTGCTTTCCTGCGCCCCCGATGACGTCATGGCTCCCGGTCATTTGTCTGGGGAGAGCAGCACAGTTGCACAGGCAGTCAGGGCAGAGGCTGGCTAGCAGGCAGGTCTCCTGCTCCGAGTCTAGGGTGCTCTCTGTGGTGATCTCCCCTTACCTATCCAGTCACAGAGCTCAGTCCTCTAAGCCCTTCTTTTCTTTTTTTTTTTTTGAGATGGAGTCTCGCTCTGTCGCCAGGCTAGAGTGCAGTGACGCAATCTCAGCTCACTGCAACCTCTGCCTCCCAGATTCAAGCGACACTCCTGCCTCAGCCTCCCGGGTAGCTGCAATTACAGGTGCACGCCACCAGGCCCGGCTAATTTATTTTTGTATTTTTAGTAGAGATGGGATTTCACCATGTTGGCCAGGATGGTCTCGATCTCTTGACTTTGTGATCTGCCCGCCTCGGCCTCCCAAAGTGCTGGGATTACAGGCGTGAGCCACCGTGCCTGGTCTAAGCCCCTATTTTCTAGCCACAGGGCCACAGTGTCCATCATCACAAATCCACGGCCCTGCTACAAAAGGCAAAATGACATGACACGAGGGGAGTTTCATGAGTCGGCGGAGGTTTGCAGTCAGGTAGTAATGAACTAACACCACTGAGCCTCAGTCCCCTATGTGTTCCCAGATGCCTCCTGGCCACCTCCACTTGGATATTCTGCAAGTGAGGCAGGAGAACAAGGTTTGGAGACAAGGAACTTAAGGCCAATTTGTGCTAACTTCATAAAAGAGAAAACACCAAGGTCTGGGGCAAAAAATCTGAGGCCAATTCTGTTGACTTCCCAAAGCTGGATCAGAAGGAAAATCCTGGGTCTGGGGGCAGGGACCCTAAGACCAATTAACACCAAATTCCTAAAGCTGAACCAAGAGGAAAAACGCCATCGCCCCAGCTGGGTGACAAAGGATCAAACGCTCCTCTTTGCAACCCTCCCACTCCACCATGTCTCAGGTGGAAAGGGAGGGGGGCCTTGGATTGGGACCATCCCTTTATCTGCATAGGGTGCCCATTCACCTCAGCCTTTAATTAGCCACAGACTAAATCCTTCGTCCAGATAAGGAGTAGCTGATAAGAACCTCAAATGGGGTACCTAAAGCCCAGAGAACTTTGTAACTGGGCCTTTGAGTTCCTTGCTCCGGCCCACTCCCACCCTGAGGAGTGCTTTCTCACTTTAATTCCTGCTTTCACTGCTTCATTCCTGCATTTCATTCCCCTGCTACTCTTTTTATTTTTACTTTTTTTTTTTTTAGTAGAGACGGGTTTCACCACGTTGGCCAGGCCGGTCTTGGACTGACCTCAAGTGATCTGCCCATCCAGGCCTCCCAAAGTGTGGGGATTACCACGTCTGCCCCTCTGCTACTTTGTTCAAAACGCCAAGGACCTGGAAAATTCCTAGTCAAGACCCTCCACCAGTAACACAGGTACCAGAAGCCTCACCTGTGCCTTCCTCTGCCCCTAACTCTGCTGTGAACTCTTCTGAGCCACCCAACTGCCTGAGGGAAGCAGCCCCGACTCTTCAGCCCTACAGTTTGTCTTGACTATCTCCTTGAACCCATCCCTATAGCTACTCCCAGAGCTCAGGCCTCATCCCTGCCCCCTGCACCCCTACATCCTCACTCGGCTCCCTGCCTTCTGTCCACCTTCCTTTCTGGTCTGCAGACTGACCTTCCTGAAGTACCGTCCCTGCCCAACCACCTTCCTCTTTCCCTCTCATGTCTAACCCTGCCCTCCACGCACGCCAGACGCCACTGAGTCAGTCTCCTTCATGCTGACACCTGCCCTGCCTTTGCTGTCCCTAGACCACCCCTGTCTACCTTCTCTACCCTCTCTGCTGTCTACCTTTCAGGCCCAGCCTATGAGTCATCACCTCTGTACTACTGTCCCCAGATCTCCACTAGGTTAACAGCTCTCCTCTCAGGGCTTCCTGGTGCCTTGCACAACCCCCTCTGGCAGCACCCAGCATTCCACCTGCAGCGATCTCCTTTGCACATGGCCCTCTTCCCTGGCTATCTCAAAATGCAGATCAGTGGACATCCATATGGGGAAAAAAAGAACCTTGGTCCATCTCTTATGCTGTTTATGAAAAATAAACTCAGAACATATCATAGACCTAAATATAAAATCTAAAACTACACAACTTCTAGGAGAAAATCTTTGCAACTGTGGATTAGGCAAAGATTTCTTGGATAGGACCTAAAAGGGACAAACCATTAAAAACATCAATAAACTAGACTTCATCCACGTAAAAAACTTCTGCTCTTCAAAAGACACTGTTAAGAAAATGAAAGAATAAGACACAGATGGAGAAAATATTTGCAAAACACCTATCTGATAAAGGATTGTTAACCAGAATATATAAAGAACTCTCAAAACTCAGTAAGAAAATAACCCAATTAAAAAACACATAAAGCTGGGTGCAGTGGCACATGCCTGTAATCCCAGCACTTTGGGAGGCTGAGGCGGGCAGATCACTTGAGGCCAGGAGTTCAAGAACAGCCTGGCCGACATGGTGAAACCCTATCTCTACTTAAACAAAAACAAAAACAAAACAACTAGACAAAAGATCTAACAAATACTCCAGCAAAGAAGATATGCAGATGACTGACAATCACATGAAAAGATGGTCAATATCATCAGTCATGAGAGTATGAAAATTGAAACCACAATTATATGCTACTATATACCTATTAGTGGCTCATATAAAAACTGACAATGCCAATTGAAGGTGAGTACATAGAACAATGGAAACCTCATACACTGCTGACAAATGGTAACCGCTGTTGAAAATAGTTTGACATATGGTATGGTTTGGCTCTGTGTCCCCACCCAAATCTCACCTTGAATTGTAATAATCCCCATGTGTCAAGGGCAGGACTAGGTGGAGATGATTGAATCATTGGGGCGGTTTTCCTCATGCTGTTCTTGTGATAGTGAGTTCTTAAGAGATCTGATGGTTTTATAAGGGGTTTCCCCCTTCGCTTGGCACTTCTCCTTGCTGCTGCCATGTGAAGAAAGACATGTTTGCTTCCCCTTCCACCATTATTTTAAGTTTCCTGAGGCCTCCCTAGTCCTGTGGAACCGTGAGTCAATTAAACCTCTTTCCTTTGTAAATTAGCCAGTCTGGGGTATGTTGTTATTAGCAGTGTGAGAATGGACTAATACAGCATACAATTATCACGTGACCCAATGACCCTACTCCTAGGTATTTATGCCGGAGAAATGGAGACATATGTCCATGCAAAGACTCATATGTGAATGTTTATGGCAGCTTATTCATAATTGCCCAAACTCAGAAACAACTAATTGTAAACAGATAAATTGCAGTACATCCATACAATAGAATATGACTCAGCAATATATAGGAACTACTAAAAGACATTACCACATACATGAATTTCAAAAGCATTACGTCAAGTGAAAGAAGCCAGCCTCAGAAGGTTACATGGTACATGACTCTATCTGTATAACGTTCTGGCAAAGGCAAAACTATAAAGACAGAAATCAGATTAAGTGAATTCTTGGGGCTGGGTTGGAGGGAAAAGACTGGTTACAAAGAAACACAAGGCATATTTTGGAGTGATGGGAATATTCTATTAGGTTGGCACAAAAGTAATATGATGTGGTGGTGGTCAAATGTGTTTATAAAGACTGTCAAAATTCATGTAACCATACACATCTAAAAGGGTGAATTGTGGCCAGCTGTGGTGGTTCATGCCTATAATCCCAGTACTTTGAGAGGCCGAGGCAGGAGGGTCACTTGAGCCCAGGAGTTCAAGACCAGCCTGGAAAACATAGTAAGACCCCTGTCTCAATTAAAAAAAAAGTGTAAATTTTACCATACTTAAGTTTTACCTCCATAAACAGGAAAAAAAATGAAGGTTGTGACCTATTGGCAAGTCATGACATCAATACAGTTAAGTGGGTTGTAACCAATTATATATTGTTGTGAAACTTTTGTTTCAGTTGTGTGTCTATGAACTGGATCATGGTATCTTCATACTGTGGCTGACAAAACAATTTTTTTTGGAAACCACTGCCTAGTTTGTGAGCTGAGAGCAACTGCATGTCTCACGTCTGCATAGTCACCGCCTTGCACTCAGGGGAGGGGTTGTGTGATACTGTGATATAATAAGCAATATACATTTTAGATTTGTCCCCAGCTGTTGGCCAGGGCTAAAAACTGTGTAATTTCCCAAGTGATAATAGCTATAGGAACTTCTTCTATTTTAATAATTGGTTTTGTCCCAGTAGGTGGAGGTTGCAGTGAGCCAAGACTGTGCCACTGCACTCTGGTTTGGGTGACAGAGCCAGGCCTTATCCCAAAGCACCCCCCCCCCCTCAAAATTAATTATAGTTGTTATGCTATCCTAATCCAAATCCCAATAGTATTTTTCAAAAAAGATTTAAATAATTAAAATTTTAATCTGGAAGCACTGATGACTGATAACCTGAAAGAGTATTTGAATAAGACATCTTAGCGCAATGTATTAAACTAGATTATAAAGCAATGACATTTCCCTCTGTGGTTTTAAAACAATGAGAAGAGAAGGAATTTGGTAATAAATGTGAAGAGACACAACTAGCAATGTTTAAAAATAAACATATTGATAAATATATTGATCCTTACAACTCTGGGACCCAGGCAGGACCGATTACATTGTCTTTGTTTCAAAGACAACCTAAAGCAGACCCAAAGAGCGTGAATCCCTTGCCCAGGGCTTCATGTGGATTCTTGACCTCAGAGTCATGGCCTCTGGGAAGTTCTGGTTTGGACACCCTTCAGAGAACCAGTCCTTTAGACGTCTTCGGCAGGAAGCTGAACCCAGCCACAGAGGTCCTAGCCAACAGTCTGTATACTCATGGCGACCTGGAGTAGGCAAGAGCTCTTTTCTGTGCAATTTCCTTTTTTCCTACATTACTGTCCACTTCCATAATGAGCATTACTTCCATAATGAAATGACTTACCATGCAATCCTGTCAGTGGGGACTAGCTGTTGTAACAATAAATGTACTGAGTAATGAAAATTGTCCATCTATCATCTATCTATCAATCACCTATCCATCATTTCCTAGCTCTGCTCACTCACAGAGCCTAGAAATGACACCCAGTAGCAATAAACACACCTAGCCCTGGATCTTTGTTTCTGAATGTCATCATCTCTTCTAAAAGAAACCAGGGCTTCCTGGAGAAACTGATGATTCCTGGACTTTCACAGGAAAAGTTCAAGGTGAGTTCATATAGCCCAGTGAATTAAAAAACAACAACAACAAAACAAGAGTCCAGGCTGGGTGCGGTAGTTCATGCCTGTAATCTCAGCACTTTGGGAGGCCGAGGCGGGCGGATCACCTGAGGTCTGGAGTTCAAGACCAGCCTGGCTAACATGGCAAAACCCCATCTCTACTAAAAATACAAAAAATAGCTGGGCGGGGTGGCGTGCGCCTGTTATTCCAGCTACTTGGGAGGCTGAGGCAGGAGAATCGCTTGAATCTGGGAAGTGGAGGTTGCAGTGAGCCAAGATCGTGCCACTGCACACCAGCCAGGGCAACAGAGTGAGACTCCATCTCAAAAACAAACAAACAAAAAACAAGAGTCCATAATGTTATTCCCAAAAGAAAAAAGAGGGTGAGAAGAAGGGAGTGAGAAAGATAGAGACAGGAAAAATTAATTCTTTTTTTTTTTTTTTGAGACGGAGTCTCACTGTCGCCCAGGCTGGAGTGCAGTGGTGTGATTTCGGCTCACTGCAACCTCCGCCTCCCAGGGTTCACGCCATTCTCCTGCCTCAGCCTCCCGAGTAGCTGAGACTACAGGCGCCCGCCACCTCGCTCGGCTAATTTTTTGTATTTTTAGTGGAGACAGGGTTTCACCTTGTTAGCCAGGATGGTCTCGATCTCCTGACCTCGTGATCCGCCCGCCTCGGCCTCCCAAAGTGCTGGGATTACAGGCGTGAGCCACCGCACCCGGCCAGGAAAAATTAATTCTATAAAAAAGAACACTAATAAACACAGAAGGAATGGCAGAATTAGAAAATTACCAATTTGCAACCCTCAGTGTTGTAATTCAAGCAAGGATCATCCAAGGATGTGGTGTGAAAGGTTATCAGGAACACATAATTATAACAGACTCAGAGAATCACTTCACAGATTACTTATTAATTGTAAGAGAGAAAAATTTACCTTTACGATAGAGAGATCAGGTTGCCATGACCTTAATAATCAAATTTAGCATTCATGGATAGTAAGACCCTGACATCATATCCTCCTGACATGCAGTAAGTACACACATTGCCAAAAACTTAAATCTAACCCCAATCTAATCATTGATAAACCAATCAAACATATTTAAATAGGTGGAGAAGCTCTATTTATTTATTTATTTATTTATTTGAGATAGAGTCACACTCTGTTGCCCAGGCTGGAGTGCAGTGGCACAATCTCGGCTCACTGCAACCTCCACCTCCTGAGTTCAAGCAATTCTCTTGCCTCAGCCTCCTGAGTAGCTGGGAGTATAGGCACACACCACCATGTCCGGCTAATTTTTGTATTTTTACTTGAGATGGGGTATCACCATGTTGGCCAGGCTGGTCTCGAACTCCTGACCTCAAGTGATCTGCCCACCTCAGCCTCCCAAAATGTTGGGATTACAGACATGAGCTACCATGCCAAGGGGCTCTATTTAGATTAAATGAGTTGATAAAAGAGATATAATAGGATGCAATATGTACATCTTGACTGGATCTGATTTTAAAAACCAGAAACTATATAAGGTATTTTTGGGCAATTAGAATTTTTTTTTTCTTGAGACAGGGTCTCACTCTGTCGCCCAGGCTGGAGTGCAGTGGCGCGATCATGGTTCACTGCAGCCTTGACATCCCCAGGCTCAGGTGATTTTCCCAAGTAGCTGGGACTACAGGTGCACGCTACCACACCATGCTAAATTTTGTAGTTTTTGTAGAGATGGGGTTTCACTATGTTGCCCAGGCTGGCCTTGAACTCCTGGGCTCAAGCAATCTGTCTGCCTTTGCTTCCCAAAGTGCTGGGGTTATAGACATGACCCATTGCACCTGGCAGAAAATTTTGAATAACTATTACATTGGGTAATACTGACTTCTTGCTTATTACATATAATGTATTATGGCTATGTAGTAGAACGCCCTTATTAGGGGATACATGTTGAAGAATTTAGGGGTCAAACGTCAATCAACATATCTGTAACTTACTTTTAAATAATTGGGCCAAAAAAGTGTGTGTTTGTGTAAAAGCACAATTGGCAAATTGTGATTTGGCGTATCTAGGTTAAGGGTTGTACTTTAAGCTTTTATGTAAGCTTGAAAATTTTAAAAATATTTGTATTTTAAAAGAGGGGGGAAGAACACTTCTTCATAGGGCCAATAGATGTAAAGTTACAGTCATTGTGCCAGACCCCAATAAGTCGCCAGATTTAGTAAGTTACAGATTTACTACTACTACTTAGAAGTGTGAAAAGCTCATAATTTTCCTTCCCAAGTGTTTCTGAATTTTGAAGGGTGAGGATGCCAACCAGGGCTAAGTGGTGGAGGAGTTAGAATCTAAGCCTGGGTGGGCAGTCTGGATAGAGCCACCACCCACAGAAACCACACCACTAGGCCTATTTTTTTTTTTTGAGATAGAGTCTCGCTCTGTCACCCAGTTTGGAGTGCAGTGGCGTGATCCTGGCTCACTGCGACCTCTGCCTCCCAGGTTCAAGTGATTCTCCTGCCTCAGCCTCCTGAGTAGCTGGGATTTCAGGTGCGTGCCACCATGCCCGGCTAATTTTTGTATTTTTAGTAGAGACGGGGTTTCACCACGTTGGCCAGGCTGGTCTCAAGCTCCTGACCTCAAATGATCCACCCACCTCAGCCTCCCAAAGTGCTGGGATTACAGGCGTGAGCCACCGCGCCCGGCCAGGTCTGCCTATCTTCTGTGCTGTGATTCTGCCTGGAAGAAGATGGCTGTTCAGGCCTTGTTTTTCCTGCCTCATCATGAACCCAGAATCTCTGTAACTCGGCAGGAAAGAAACTCCTGTCATGACTCACTGTGAATGTTGACAAAGAGAGGCCACTCCTGGGCCTCAGAAATGTCAAGGATGGGCAGAAAGAACTGGAGACAGGCCAGGCTCAGTGGCTCATGCCTGTAATCCCAGCACTTGGAAGGCCCAGGTGGGAGGATCGCTTGAGTTCAGGAGTTTGAGACCACCTGGACAACATAATGAGACCTCGTTTCTATAGAGAAAAAAAAAAATTAGCTGGGCATGGTAACACGTGCTTGCAGTCCCAGCTGCACAGGCTGAGGTAGGAGGATCGCTTGAGCCTGGGAGGTCAGGCTGCAGCAAGCCGAGATCACGCCACTGCACTCCAGCTTGGGCAACAGAGTAAGACCCTGTCTCAAAAAAAAAAAAAAAAAAAAAAAAAAAAAAAAAAAAGAAAAGAACTGGAGAGGCTGTGTGGGGTAGGGGCAGACCATGCATGGTATTCGGCATTACCTGGGTTTGCATTTGAATCATCCCCTGCCACTTACTAGCTGTGCAGCCCTGGGCACGTTCCTGGGCAGATGATGATGATCATAACAACAACAAACACTACAACGGCAATAATAATGGCTAACGTTTATTGAGCAGTTACTACCGTGCTAGGCACTCTATACATGTTAATCTCTTTCAATCTCACAGATTAAGTAGATACTATTATATACCTACTTTACAGACCAACCATACTGGGCCCTCTTCGACTTCTGCAATTTGGCATCTGCCATCCCCTCTGCCTGGACCTTGAAGACAAATCCCATGCATCGGCCAGGTCTCTCAGCTGGAATTCATTCCTTCTCCTCTGCATCTGCGGAGAATTTTAGTCTAACCCCTTACCACAGCCAACTTTACTTAAGTAGATGGATGCCTGGCTCCCTTGCTGGGGCTGGGGGTGCCCCTTTCTATATCCACAGAAGCACGTAGAATAGGGGAAGAGGAAGAAATTTCTCTCCTGTTTAGTCAGATCCATTTTCCCCACCTGGATTTTCAAAACTTTTTAATTTTGAAATGCTCTGTTCAATTTTCAATCTGGAATCTAAAGGGATGTGACAAGGCCGAGGTGATTACTTGGGAGTAAATGCAAGGAGAGTTTCCACTGCGTAAGGGAATGGACAGCACGTGGCTGGGTAAATTTCAAAAAAGACAATGCTCAGAGTGAGTACTGTGTTTTCCAGTAAGTGGGAGACTTCCCCACCTTACCCCACCGGAGAAAGGACTCTTTGCCTTGAAGCCCCTAGGACGACTACCCTTTCTTCACCTCCTCTTCCTGACCACCCCACATCAAAGAGCTGCGTCTATAATTCTGTCTTGCCCAGTCCATATCTCTAAGAAATCCGAAGGCTGCTCTATTACCATCACAACCCATAGGGAGGAGAGAAAAGGTGCTTCCTAGACACAGGGACCCCAGAATGAGCTGCGCAAAAGGCAGGAGGAGAGAAAGGTGGGCTGGAAGAAGGAGACCACGGAATCTGGCACGGCAAGGTATTCTTTCATCTGGCGTAGACCTCCAACAACCACTACCATCCCCCAGCCCCTTCCAGAACTTTCCTTCACCTTCTCGGCTCACTCTCACGCTTCACCTTGTGCTTTTCCTCCGGCACCAGCACCCCATTTCAAACCGCTCTCTTCCTATGTCTCCTCCAAACAGTAATTTATAAACACCGTGCTTTCAAATCCATCTCATTTCATCCTCACAGTACTATAGGAGGGCTGCCTTACAGGCTGTCATTCGGAAGGGTTGGGGGGACTGGTCCTGCCAGACAATTTGCGAAGGTCGGGGCATCAAAACTTTTCTTTCCTGCCTCCCACGCCAAGCTAAACCTCTGCCTCCCCGAGTGCAGGGAGAAAAGCAAGGTCTTTGAAGTAAGGAGTCCTGAGTGGTTTTAGGCAAGTCCCTTCGCTTTTCTGAGCCTCACATTCCTCACCTGTCAACCGCTATAGTGACGCCTCTACTTTTCAGGGCGTGGGAGGTCAATGAGATCACTGGTGTGCCGCACTGAACTCGGGGATGGACTCTTTATTTCCAGTCAGTAAAGGGAGGTGTTCTATGCATCACAGGCTTTTGCCCACGCCGCCACAGCGCGGCCGGCCCAGGGCTCTCCAGAGCGGGGCAAGTTCCCTGTCATCTGTGTCTCCGCCCTTCCTTCCCCAATCTCACCCAGGCTGGCCTCATCGGCTTGTTCCGCACCCACTCCCCAGCCCTACAGCCCCCACTCCGACCTGACAAGTGCCCCACCCCCACCTAGAGATCCCGCCTCTCCTTGCCCCACCCACCAAGGACTCCTCCCACAGTCCCGACCCTCATTATCCGGGCTTTTCCGACTATCACCATCCGCCCTTGCTCTCCCAACAGCCCCGCCCCTCTAAGAGCTCTGCCCACTTCGGCTCACCTCGCTCCGAAACGCGCCCCCTCCCCCGCACCACAGGCGATGCCATCCCCATTTCACAGATGGGAATGGCGAGGCTGGGATAGATTAGTCTCATGGTAAGACAGGTGCTCAGTGGGCCCACGTACCCTCGCCGGTAGTCCCCGAGCCCCGCGACCCCGGCCGTGCCGCACCCACCTCCTGCCCTCGCTCTGCAGCCTCTCCCTCCGCGAGCGGCCAGCGCAGCTTTGCGAGGGGGGCGGAGGGTAGGAGCCCAGCCCAGGGGCGTGGCGGTCCGGGGTCTGTGCGCTGCCTTCCGGGACTGGTAGTTCTCTCTGGGCTCCTCGCAGCTCGGCGCGTCGAGAGCGAACTCCATCTCCCAGGAGGCATTGCAGCGAGTTGCTCTGCGCCCCGCCTCGTCCCCGCCGGTGTCCGGCCGGCTGGCCTTAAAGGGGACGCGGTCAGAGTGGCAGCTCGCGGGGTGGCCCCCGCTCCGGCTCCGCCCCATTTCACGCACCTCGCCCCTCCCCATGCTTCATCCCGCAGCCCCGGGGCCGCGCCGCAGAGTCGGGCTTCCTGGATACATAGAGGCTTGTGCCAGGCGGGGTGGGAAGACTGGATTTTGCAGTGGAAGCAGCATCTCTTCCGTCTGGGACCTGGCTGAGGGCGTCCCCACCCTGGGGGGAGCAGAGGACCAGCCCTGACCTAGCCGGGCCCAGCCTCGTCCTGCCCGGCCTGAGCGCCCCGCCCAGCAGCCGGCTCTGGCCCACCGGGGTCCGGGAGGTAAGGGGGTTGGGGGCGTGTGACTGTCTTTGGGGGGCGGTGTCTGCACCCTGGCCTTTCGAGAACCCTGGACTTGCGAGCCCAGGGCTGGGAGTCGGGAGATCTGGGTGCATCCTGGGCCTCCTGGGCCTCACTGTGTGACCTTGGGCGAGTAGCTATTCCTCTCTGGGCATTAATCCCCTCCCTTCATCAATTGTATGTCGAAGTGATCCTGCTCCCTCCCCTTTCAGGTAAGAGGGCATTCGCACCCAGTACCTAGTACATTCGCTTGCTGGCTTTTCGTGGGGCCCTCCAGCTCAAGCGTGGGCTGGGCGCGGGTGCACTGGAGGGAGGGAGGTGGCACAAACTGGGGGGCCCGAGGCCACCATTGCTTGGAATGGGCTTTTCCTATTCTCAGTGTGCTGGGCCCTGGGATACCCTCCCCAACCCCCTCTTACGGCCCTGGCCCTTGCAAACCGGAGACCCTGATGTGTCAGCTTGGTGCCCTTCCTTCCAGAAAGCTTGGGGTGGAGTGCGGCCCTCACAGGTTTGTGAGGGGTGGCCCCGCAGGGATAGGTGTGTGTGGTGGGTTCCTGAGGAGGAATAGCTGCTCCTGCTTTCTTCCCTTCTCTCTCCTCCTTATCCTTTGAGGAAGAGCAGCTGCTTTTTACCAGTGAAACCCTTTTTTCTTTTTCTTTCCAGGAGACAGTTTGGTGGCCCAGACATGGGCCTCCCGGAGTAGGGTGAAGCACTTCTTCCCAGGGTTGCCTTGGGTAGAAGTTCAGTTAAAAAATACCTAGAGAGATGCTGCCATTCAGACACCTGAGGGGCCAGAGATGGAGGGCACCACCTGGTGTCGGGAGGGGCAGCCTGGTACCCCCAAGGAAGCTCTGGCTCCCAGGGGAGTCAAAGGAGGGAGGCTGGCTTCGAGGGTCAGAGAGGGGAGGAAATGTGCTCCTCAGCTCTTAGGTGCTGAGCAGAGGCTGGGAGGGGCTGCTCTGACCTGGAGCAGGGAGAGGTTGAGTAACACCATGAAGCCTTCTTCTCAGGTCCTAGGAGATTCTGTGAGCTTTTGACCTGAAGGCTAACCAGGAACAGATTTTTGTTTTGTTTTGTTTTGTTTTTGTTTTGTGCTTTTTCTTTTGCTTTGGTTGTTTGAACAATTTCTAGAATGGCTAAAGCCTCAGTCCAGTCCAGTGACCTCTGTAGGGGCTTTCTTGACTGATGTTTAAGATTTTCAGGGTTTTTGATATGCAAGACCAGGCCTGGGCAAAGGAGGGGGTGGTGACTGGACCAAAGGTTAGGCCAGTTTCTGGAAGGTACTTTTGTGGTTACATCTTTGGTTTTCTCTCATCTTGCTGTCACATGTCTCTCATGAGTTGCTTGACGCACCTTCACGGACACCTCAGTCCTTGGTTCTGTACTGGGCACTGGGCTCAGAGACGGGGATTGGACCTCTGCCAAGGGAGGTCCCAGCCTGGTGGGAGACAGAGACATGGATTCCAGTTATGCTGCAGAGGGATGAGAATAGCTAAGAGGGCCTTGGAGGCCAGAACTTTAGACACTTGAATTGTGGAGGGAAAAGGAAAGGCTTCCCAGAGGAGAGGGCATGTGAGCTGGGCATTGAAGGGTGAGTCAGAATTTTCCAGGAGAGAAGAGGGAAAAGCCCTTTTTCAGTAGAGGGGACATTGTGCAAAGTAGCAGTCAGGAAAAAGCCCCCTGCTCCAATGTCTGCAGAGTCTCCACTGAACAATGTTGCTTGAGTTCATCTCCACCCCTGCCCCACATCAGCTGAGTGTCACAGAAAGGGCTTGCATGTCCGGCTCAGGAGTTTGGACCTTATTCTGGGTCCAAGGGGCTGGAGAGTGTTGAGAGTTCTGAGCAGGGGCATGGACGGAATGGTGCTTACCGTGTAATAAGCTCCATCTGACGATGCTGCATCTGGAGAGACCAAGGAGGGATGATGAAGCTTGAGCGGGGGCCCAGGGCGTGGCAGTGGGGCTGAGCATAGGAGTTGTGTACACACACATACACACACACACACAGGGTGCTTTGGGGTGATGGAGATAAGTCAGGCTCAACTGTGCAGGAGCAGAGATCAGTCAACACTCGGCAGAAATGTTGAGGGTCATCCGAGAGGAACAGGTGAAAGGATCTGGGCCTTTTGGCAGAGGGATTGGGATTTTCCTGAGTGCTCACTGCGTGCCTTGGAGTGTGCTGGTGTTGCTGGGACGCCCCTCAGGCTGTCATGCCAGTAGGGCGAGGGGTATGAGGCAAGGGCTTGGGAGGAGCAGCAGCGCTGGCTGGGAAAGGCTAAGGGGTGGGCACGTAGTCACCTTCTATTTGGGCATTCCGAGGATCACAGAGGTAAAAGAACACCTACCTCCATGGTGGCTGGGCTAGACTCGAAGCCTGGACTCTGTTCTCCTCTAGGACACATGCCTCTGTTGGAGGATGGATTGAGGGAGGGAATTGGGAGATGGGTTAGGAGGCTACTGCACTAGTCCAGGCAAGAAGTCAAGGGGTCTGATCCTGGGTGGGGCTGGGAACACCGAAGTGGCAGGGAGGGCTAATGGAGGAAATGCCTTGGAGAATCAGCAGGATCAGCAGTGCGTGTCTCCTTGTCTCCTTTCCCTGACAGTATCTGTGTCTCCCATCAGTGCCAGGTGGCCCAAAAATAGACTCATGACAGCCCGGCCCTCATCTTTTTTTTTTTTTTTTTTTTGAGACGGAGTCTTGCTCTGTCCCCCAGGCTGGAGTGCAGTGGCATGATCTCGGCTCACTGCAAGCTCCGCCTCCTGGGTTCACGCCATTCTCCTGCCTCAGCCTCCTGAGTAGCTGGGACTACAGGTGCCCGCCACCACGCCCGGCTAATTTTTTGTATTTTTAGTAGAGATGGGGTTTCACCGTGTTAATGAGGACCTCATCTTTTTTATACCTTGTCTCAACCCTGTGAATGGTAGGCTTGGAATAGTCCCCATTTTCCAGATGAGAAGGCTAAGAAGCCAGGCAGGGGCTCACCCAAGGTCACCATGACTTTGAAGCAGAAAACCTGTATCTTCAGCTTTTAACACAGGCTCTCCTCGGGGAGGACATGGCTGCTGTTTGCTGCTGCGGTTGGTGCGGGGCAGCTGTCTCTTGAGTCAGAGCCAGCATGGACAGGCCATCTCCTCACCCGGGGCTTAGCAGGCTAATCCAGCCCTCCTGAGGGAGGCAGAGTGCAGGTTCTAATCCTGCTTTGCCAAGGCCATGTTCCTCTCTCTGAGCCTCACTTTCTTCATTCCTGCCAGTGGGATAGCTGGCCTTGTCCTCCCTTCCCTGGCCTGATGGGGCCAGGTGAGGTGCAAGCCTCTAAAACCCTTTTGTCTGAGTGCATGCAAGATATTGAGTGGGTTTGCTGGTGACCATGGTGACAGCTGTCCTCAGACTGCCTGCGTGGGAGTTGGGGCAGGTGGGCAGGGCTTGCTTGCTGTGGCCAGGCTACGGACTGAGCAGAGGCTGCCGGCTGGCCTTGGAGATCAGAGCTCTCATGGAGCAGCTCTATTTGAACTGTCAGCTGCCAGGCTTATGTGGTGTTAGGTAGAACAACATGAAATTGCCAACATTTGATCATTCGGTTTCATGCGGTTCAGTCTAATAGCATTTGTCCCCATTTTACAGAAAAGAGGCTCATGGGTATGATTTACTGAGGGTCACACAATGAGTCAGGGCTAGAATGTAGGACTCCTCATTCCTAGTCTGATACTCTTTCTACTCTTTCTAGTACTCTTTCTACTACCAGAGTCTTCCCTGTCTCCAGAACTCCATTTCTGCCTGCCCCCATGCCCTCTTGCTTCACACATGATGCCAGTGCCTCATGGATTAGGGTTTCTTCTTGGCTGCCTGAGTACCAGGATTTCTTGGCATCCTGGGTTGAAAGCATATGAAATCCACTAGCCATCCCAGGGGTCTGGGAGGATGGACTGTTTGTGTGGGGGAGGTTGGCCACAGCAACTGCCTTGTCACGGGCACTGCCTAGAAAGGGGACCAGGGCTGAAGGGAGAGTTAAAAAAATTTTTTTTCTTTTTTCTTTTTTGAAACAGGAACTCACTTAGTCACCCAGGCTGGAGTGCAGTGGCGTGATCTCAGCTCACTGCAACCTTCGCCTCCCAAGCTCAAGTGAGCCTCCTGTCTCAGCCCCAACTAGCTGGGACTGCAGGTGTGAGACACTACGCCTGGCTAATTGATGTAATTTTTTTTTTTTTTTTTTGTAGAGATGGGGTTTTGCCATGTTGCCCAGGCTGGTCTCAACCTCCTGAGCTCAAGCCATCTCCCCACCTCGGCCTCCCAGAGTGCTAAGATTACAGACATGAGCCACTGTGCCCAGCTGGGAGACCAGTTTTTAAAGACACTTTATAGGCCTTTTGAGATTATACCTTGCAGGGGCACCCTTACAAACATTTCTGCCTCCCCCATCTGACTGGAAGCTCCTTCAAGGCAAGGACTTTGCTTCTGAAGCAACAGGAGTTGACATTTTCTGAGAACTTCCTTGTGCCCAGCTCAGAGAGCCTAAGTAACCTTTATGGGAACCAGAATGTATCCCAGATGAGCCACATTCAAAGAGTCAAAAACAACAACAACAACAACAAAACCCAGAATCGAACACATCATTTCCCTCATTTCCTCATTCAGGAAGCTTCGGGTGGACCCTGAACTTTTTCTTTTCTTTTTTTGAGACAGGGTCTCACTCTATCACTTAGGCTGGAGTGCAGTGGCACGATCTTGCCTTACTTCACCCTTGACCTCCTGGGCTCGCCACCACCCTTGGCTGGTGTTGAACTCCTGGGCTCAAGTGATCTGCCTGCCTTGGCCTCCCAAAGTGTTGGGACTACAGGCGTGAGCCACCGCGCCCGGCCGCATCTGAGCTTGTAGCAGGTGCCCAGGTGCTTCTGAGGCATTCTGAGGCTTCTGAGCAGGCCAGGATTTGGGAACCACTGATGTCTGCCATGGTTACAACCTCTAACCAACAGTGAACTCTTAAGAGGCACACACTCTTGGCATGAGAGATGCTAGCCACAGACTAATAAACCCTGGTCCTTTCCTGGTGGAGCTCAGCCTGGTGAGAGAGACAGATATTTAAACAAATGGGCCCTTTGTATCGTAACACGTGCAGCAATGGAGGTTAGGTCACAGCTGAGAACTAGAACAGAGCAGGGAGCTCACTGGGTCTAGTACATAGTTGGGGTTCCAGAATATCTGTGATTCTGAATAAAACTTTCCAGCTTATTATCCCAGAAATTTAAGGCTTGTCCACACTCTAGCTCCAGTTCTCAGGCATAAGAGTAGTTTTTACTGAGCCCATAAGTTTAAACACCTGTTGTCTGCTGAGTCTTATATCAGGTCCTGCCTAGATTGGGCATCGAAGCAAAGAAATGGTTCTGCGCTCCAGGAGAGGCATTACGTGTTAGATGTTAAGAGAGCAAGCTGTGCCCATGTGAACCTGCATGAGAGGGCTCAAAGTGGGTTGGTGTGGGACAAAGTCTTCAGGAAACAGGCCAGGTGGAGGAGAAGGGCAGAAGGAAGGCTATTATGGCTCAGAGGAGTAAGGTAGAGATGACTCACACTGCACCCTGCATTTGCTCATCCAGCAAATGCCTGTCTGCTGGGCACTGTGCTAGGTGCTGGGGATACTGTGGTGAACAAAACCTGAAGCTGCCCTCAAGAACCATATACAGCATTGGAGGGGAGGCTGACCCCAATCAAGAAATCATGACAAGTGCTACCAAGGAGAAGGACAAGATGTTCTAATTTTTAATAAGGGAGATTGACCCAGGCAGGGAGCTCAGGTGAGGCTTCCTTGATGAAGTGACTTTCAGCTGAGGTCTGCAGGGGGAGGGAAGAGCATACACAAAGGCCCAGGGGCAGAGGGCACACGGTGAGCCAAGGGTGACAGGCCGGTGTGGGCTGAGGCAGGCAGAGCCCTAGGTGTGCAGGGCTGGAGCGCGGAGATGAGATGCTGTGCTTCGGTGGAGGGGACTGGGACCCATACCCCACCAGCACTAACTGATTCCAGCTGTAATGCAAGAGGCCCCAGCGGATTGTAGGAATTAAGGGTGGGGGATGGATTCCGGCCTGGAGGACCAGGGCTATTCTCACTGAGGACGGGTGCTTTAGATAGGCTTTGAAGGAAAAGACGCTTGCTTGGTTGTGTGAGAGCATGGTGGTCGTGGGGGCCTCAGGAGATAAGGACGTGTCAGGCAGAAGGCACAGCACACACACGAAGTGGAGTCTAGCCAAGGGGTAGGGGAAGGAGCAGGGAGTTGAGGCAGAAAGAAAGAGTGCGAGGCATTCTGGGACCTCTGTCGGTTCTCCCTTGGGGCCTCTTGCCCTTTCTCCACAGAGGTGTCATTTTTTGTGTGTGCCCCATCTCATCTCCCCCATGGAAATGACTTGGCTGAGACTCTGGACAGCAGCTTCTAGATCCTGCTCTTACCTGCCCTGAGAGTGGACAGGGTCACCAGGGAGGTCTGGGGAGAGAGAAGCAAAGGGGAAGGATGGGGAGGAGGCTCACGTAGCCTTTGTGCGATTAAAGGCGCTTAGCAACCATAGCTACAAGTCCCTGGGGTTAATTTATTTTGAGACAGGGTCTCTTTTGCTCAGGCTGGAGTGCAGTGGGATGATCTCCACTCGCTGCAGCCTTGAACTCCCAGGCCCAAGCGAGCCTCCCACTTCAGCCTCCAGAGTAGCTGGCATTACAGGTGTGTGTGACCACTCCTGGGTAATGTTTGTGTTTTTTGTAGAGACGGGCCTCGCTGTTGCTCAGGCTGGTCTTGAACTCCTGGGCTCAAGGGATCCTGCTGCCTGGGCCTCCCAAAGTGCTGGGATTACAGGTGTGAGTCACCACGCAGGCCCCTGGCATTTATTATGTGCCAAGTGTTGTGCTTTATTTCATCAGGATAGCTCTCAGTGAAATGACGCCCTTGCCCCATTTCACAGATGAGAAAACTGAGGCCCAGAAAGTTTGAGTTGCTTGCCCTAAGTCTCAGCACTCGGGGACTGCACCGGGAACTCTTGAGCCCCGCGGTTGTCGGGCTGTGACCTCATTCCCTGTCCTCCGCAGCGCGGGCGCCATGGACAAGATCTTGGAGGCGGTGGTGACGTCGTCATACCCGGTCAGCGTGAAGCAGGGGCTGGTTCGGCGCGTGCTGGAGGCGGCGCGGCAGCCGCTGGAGCGTGAGCAGTGCCTGGCGCTGCTGGCGCTGGGCGCGCGCCTCTACGTGGGCGGCGCGGAGGAGCTGCCGCGCCGCGTGGGCTGCCAGCTGCTGCACGTGGCCGGCCGCCACCACCCCGACGTCTTCGCCGAGTTCTTCAGCGCGCGTCGCGTGCTGCGCCTGCTGCAGGGTGGCGCCGGCCCCCCGGGCCCCCGCGCGCTCGCCTGCGTGCAGCTGGGTCTGCAGCTGCTGCCCGAGGGGCCTGCGGCCGACGAGGTGTTCGCGCTGCTGCGGCGCGAGGTGCTGCGCACCGTGTGCGAGCGCCCGGGCCCCGCGGCCTGCGCGCAGGTGGCACGGCTGCTGGCTCGCCACCCGCGCTGTGTGCCCGACGGACCCCACCGCCTGCTCTTCTGCCAGCAGCTGGTGCGTTGCCTCGGCCGCTTCCGCTGCCCAGCCGAAGGCGAGGAGGGCGCCGTGGAGTTCCTAGAGCAGGCCCAGCAGGTGAGCGGGCTCCTGGCGCAGCTGTGGCGCGCACAGCCCGCCGCCATCCTGCCCTGCCTCAAAGAGCTGTTCGCAGTCATCTCCTGCGCAGGTGCGTGTGCGGCCGGGGCAGGAGCGCGGGCATGCGGAGGTCCTGGGTGGGCGCTTGGGTAGGTGGCTGTACGTGTGGATTTGTGCATGCGGGCGCCCGTGTGGCACGAGTGTGCCAGGCGGCGAATGCTCAGGTGGAGGGCTGCAGCCTGCCTTCATGT
Organism: Homo sapiens; assembly: GCF_000001405.40. Taxonomy (NCBI): domain Eukaryota; kingdom Metazoa; phylum Chordata; class Mammalia; order Primates; family Hominidae; genus Homo; species Homo sapiens. Next base: position 78,197,079 of record NC_000011.10, read on the forward strand.
AGGTGACACAACTGTCTAGAGCACCTGCTGTGGGTCCTCTCCTGCAGTGGGTGTTGGAAACGCAGGGAGGAGCACACTGGTGTGAAAAGGATACGGGTCAGCCTGGCCGGAGGGAGGAACGGGAAGTTGAGCAAGCCACAGGATTTGGGGCGGGGGAGGTGGGGGGGGGGGTCATTATGGTCTTCGGGTCAGGTGAGTTTGATAGAAGCTATCACTTTAGAGCCAGGAGTTGACAGATTGGTGGCACCTGGCAGCAGGGGCAAGGTTCCCTGGGTAGGCAGAGGTGAGGGTCTGGAGAGGTGATGGAGTCTGCTATGCAGACTCAGAAACGTAAAATCTTGATCCTCCATTGACAACAGTGGAACTTAGACTACAGTGCAAGTGAGTGAAAGCAGATGTGTGCCTTCCCTGGTGATGAGGCTCTCCAGGGGAAAGGAAGGGAATGCACCTGGCAGGGTGAAGAACTGAGGACAACAGACTTCGAGAAGGAAATGGTCTTTCTCATCTAGGCCTCTGTGTGGCTCCACTTGGAGTATCTCCTTCCTCCAGTCCACGCAGCCCTCCCACCTTCTCTAGCGCCAGCGTTTCCCCTCCTAAAGGCCTTGCCCTGAAACCCACTCTTGATCAGTGCTTCGTCTGTGGCCAGCACAGGAGTAGCCCCAAGGCTGTGCTAGTGAAGGTTTGTTGAGTGAGTTTAGGTGGAACCAGAGACTTTGCTTGCTATAGGAGAGGAGGTGGCCTCTGCTGTGCTCTTCCTAGAGGCCCAGCCCGGTTCGTTGGCTCCTGCAGGGCATGGTGTGCTGGGGGAAGGGAGGGGCCTGCCTCCCTGCTAAGCTCAGCCCTGTCCCCTGTTCCAGAGGAGGAGCCACCATCTAGCGCCCTGGCCAGCGTGGTCCAGCACCTCCCATTGGAGCTCATGGATGGTGTTGTCCGGAACCTCAGCAATGATGACAGTGTGACAGACTCGCAGATGCTGACTGCCATTAGCAGGTGGGACGCTGAGGCTGAGCCATGATCAGGGCTGGGGCCCCTCCCTCTCTTCCTCTCAGAAGCCCCTTCTCCTGGGTGGGCCGCTGGGCTAGATTTGGAGTCAGAGGGCCCAGGCCCTCATGTGTGTTCCATCATCTATCCTTTCTTGAGCCCTGCTCTGTGCCTTGCCTGGGGCTGGATGTGGGGGACACAGAGAGCCTGCCCTAGTGATGCTGTCAGGCCAGGTACCAGCAGTGTGACCCTGGACATGCCAGTGAGCTCTCAGCCTCAGTTTCCCCCTCTGTAAAAGCAGAGGTGGGTGGTGTCAGGCGTCCTTGGGGTTGGGTAAGAGGGTGAGAGTGCTTCACGAGGTGCTTTCTGAGTGGGGCAAACATGGGAAGCAGAGTTTGGGTGCTTTTCAGCTCACAGAGTCCTTGCATATCCCCCACCTCATCTGAACGTCCTCCTCCCTGTGATCTAGACGCACCTGCCTGTCCAGTTGTCCCAGAATATGCCGCTCCCCTCCTCCCTGCAGGCCTTTGCCTATGCAGACCCCGTCCACCTGGCATGCCTCCCTCTGCCATTCTTTCCATCCCGTGTGCAGATCCACCGTCTTCGTAGGGCCTTCCTGGATTCCTTGCCTTTAGTGGGTAAGAGTGTGGGCTCTCGAGGTAAGTTGCTAGAGGTCAAATCCCGCCTCTACCACTTCTTGCCTGTGCGACCTTGGACAAGTTACTCAACCTCTCTGTTTGAGTTTCCTCAACTGTAAAATGGAGTATAACCAAACCCATCATCTAGGGTTGTTGTGAGGATTAAATTGGGTAAAACAAGATAATACACGAAACATGTCTAGAACTGTGCTGTGGGAGACGCCGTTATCATTGTTATGACTTTGCTGTCATGGTTTTGTCTTTTTCTAGCACAGTCTGCTGAGTCTAGGCTGTTTTCCTCAGCACTGACTGCATGGCAGCTGTGTGCTCAGCCCGCACAGGCAGGCTGTGTTGTGGGGTCCAGAGGGGCTGATACATGTAAAGTTGATGGAATATCCTGCTCAATGGTGAATACGACCTAAGTGTTAGCTGCTGTTATCTCCTTTAATCCATACAAGAACCCTCTGAGGGAGGTATTATCCCCATTTTACAGAGGAAGAAACTGAGGCCCAGAGCGGGGAAGTGGCTTGCTCTGGGTCACACAGCAAGGACTTGCTGGAGCCAAAGCTTCTGGCCCAGGGGCAGTGCCCTTCCAGGCAGAAGCAGCTGAAAGCCTTGTTCTGGCATTGCAGCCCAGTGTGGAGGGGCGAGACTTGGGGTGCTGAGAGGGCCTGGCTCCCTTCTTGGTGGGCTGGGAGCCTCAGTGTCTGGCAGGTGGCTGTGCTGGGCTTGTGCATTTCCCAGCCATGTCTGGTTCAGCCCACAGACCCCGGGGCTGCCCTTTGCAGGTGTGAGTCAATGTGGGAACCCAGGACATTACGGATAGCCCCTGGGCTGCCCTCACCCCAGCATTTTGGGTGTCCCTTGTCCCTGTGTCACTGTCACTCCCCTCACCAGGATGATTGACTGGGTGTCCTGGCCCCTGGGGAAGAATATTGACAAGTGGATCATTGCACTGCTGAAGGGCCTGGCTGCTGTTAAGAAGTTCAGCATCTTGATCGAGGTTTCGCTCACCAAAATTGAGAAGGTTGGTGCCCCTGTCCTAGCCCAGAGTTACAGCCTTTTGTACTAGGCTCTTGCCAGGGGCGGTGCAGGTCTGGGAGGTCAGAGCATTGGGCCTACCCACCAAGCTCGCTGTGTGACCTGGGCGAATTCACTGCCCCTCTCTGGGCCTCAGATTCTCCCCATTAGTTTCCCTGACTACTCATCCAAGTATGTGTGTCTGACTTTTGGTGTGTCCATCCATTCCTCAGATATCTATGTTGCTGTCCATCTCACCATCTGTCTGTCCATCTGGGTCTGTGAGCACCTCAGTGTTGATCCCTCTGCATGGGTTTGAACTCTAGGGTGTCTCTGAGTCCCCTCTCAGGCTTGTGATTCTACTTGGCCTCAGCAGCTCAAGCCTGGGGACTCCTGACCAGGGACTCTCTTGTAGGTTTTCTCTAAGCTGCTGTACCCCATCGTCCGGGGAGCTGCCTTGTCTGTGCTCAAGTACATGCTCCTGACCTTCCAGCACTCCCACGAAGCCTTCCACCTGGTAAGGTCCCCTGCCTGCTGCCCCTGGTGAGGCCCCTGCCTGCTGCCCCTGGTAAGGGCCCTGCCTACTGCCCCTGGTAAGGGCCCTGCCTGCTGACCCTGGGCTCTTGGGGCAGGTCACTTGGCTGAGGCCAAGCAGCTGGATCGTGGGCTCTGGCCTCCCTTTGACTGTGAGGAGAGGAGTAGTCATCCTATTTTGCAGATGAAGAAACTGAGGCAGGGTGTCTTAGATCATATTGTTGGGAAAAGGAGTCACCTGCCTGCAGAGCTCAGAGCCCCATCTGGGTCAGGGGACAGTGGTCAGGTGGGCAAGCCTCCCTACCTCAGAGAGTGTTGCGTGCTGTCAGCAGGGACCACAGCCCCGTGTCTCAGGTGGGCGGGTTGGTGCTGAGCCTGACGCAGCTCTGCTCCCACAGCTCCTCCCTCACATCCCCCCCATGGTGGCCTCTCTGGTCAAGGAGGACTCGAACTCGGGGACCAGCTGCCTGGAGCAGCTGGCGGAGCTGGTCCACTGCATGGTGTTCCGGTTCCCGGGCTTCCCGGATCTGTATGAGCCTGTCATGGAGGCCATCAAGGTGAGCGACAGTCCCCTACTTGGGCCTTGCCCCACTCTGACAAAGGTACCAGTGTGGGCCTTCCAGCGGGCCATACCACAGCTTGGTGGCAGTCCCCGTCATTTGGTGCCTGGCTGTCTCCCATCACCTCCCCAGGTCCATCATGTGCCTCAAGCACACTGAGCCACTCACGTTCCCCAAGTAGGCTGGGCTGCCTCATGGCTGCTCTGGGCTTTTGCACACACTGTGCTTTCTAACCATAAACGCTTCTCTGTCAGTGTAGTATGGAAATTAAAACACGTTCTCTTTCTCTGCTCTGCCTGGACAGCTCCTGCTTACCTTGTAAGTCTCTGTTCTAGTGTTACTTCCCTCAGGATGCCTTTCCTGATCACTCTCAGTACTCCCATGCCCTCCACCAGGCTGGGCTAGGGCCTCGCTGGGCTCCCACAGTCTTGGTACATCCCTCTGTCACATGTTATCACTGTCTGTCTGCCTCCCTTGCCAGACTGTGAGCACTCCAGACCAGGGATAATTTACAGTCGTTCACATGACTTTACTGACGTCCTGCTCTGCACCAAGCCCAGGCTGGGAACTGGGGGCATGGGCATGAAGCAAACGGAGTCTCCTCCATTGAGAGGATCGCAGCCTGGTGAGGGTGACAGACTTGGATACGAGAAACTCTGGTCGGAGCAGCTTTTGAAAATGTCTACAAGGTTTGGCTTGAGAGCAGTGAGAAACCAGAGGAAGGAAAGATCTTCTCCAGTTAGAGAGGACAGATGAGGCCTCTAAGAAGAAAGAGTTTCTTAGAGGCCTCATCAAGCTGGGCTTGACGGGTTGCTAGGATCTGACAGTGACTAACATCTGTGGCTACTGCTACACTTGAGATTATTTTCCTGTATGTTTTGTCTTCTGATGCTCACAAGAAACCTACAAAGATGATACGGTTCATTTCAATCTCATAGATGAGGAAAAGGAGACTTGGAGAAGTTTGGTGACTTGTGCAAAGTCACAGAGGTAGTGAGACATGTAGCTGGAGTCTGGATGGCAGAGCCTTCCCCATTGCCTGATAGAGAAGGCAGGTTGGGTGGGGTGAAGGGGTCTAGGTAGGTGGCCCTTGCAGAACCTTTGATCTGACTTTTACATCTGCAGCACAGCAGACGAGATAACCTGAAAAGTGTCCTGCTACAAAACAGCTAGAAATGCTTGTTAAAATATAACAAACATCACTTTAAGTACATAGCTAAGCTTGCAAGAAAGTAAGGGGGAGTCCCCAGGGGCCAAAAAGGAAGAGATAACTGAATTCCAGAGTGGTAGGTGAGAAACAATGTTCTTTTTCCTCTGGAGTGAGGCAAGTGCGTGGCTGAGATGGCCAATCTCAGTCACAAAGGGACTTGAGTTGGTAGGGACAGGAGGTCAGACTTTGGGCCTATCCCCAGCAGGGAGTTAGCACTAAGAAGCCGACTAAAAGCCAGGACCCAAGAAAGGTTGTACCATTAGCAAAAGAATGGTCTAGGAAAAAATATGCACATGGTTTTAAATAGACATCAGGGAAACTTTTCTGGCTTCGTCTGGGCTCTGGATTGGGGAAAAAAATGTAATCAGTGGCCTGCTCTCATGTGGATTTAGGGGTTCAAATTCATATCATTTTGGGGGTTGTGGCCCTTCCCCACATTAAAAATAGTCATAAACTTGTAGTACCCAAGGGTAACCTGGTAGAAAGACATAAATCAGGCCATAAAGGTAAAGTTCTACTGAAAATGAGTTTATAGTCCCAAAATTATAAAACACACAAAGGAACAATCCTGCATGAATGACAGTTGGTAGATACAACAAACAAAACTTCCGTTATTTACTTGGATCTTCTCAGTTTTTCAAACTTAACACGAGAAAGAACTTTTTGATAATCAAAGCTGCCTTACAATGGAAGGGGCTGCCATGATAGGTCATGAGCCCCCGACAGTGGAGGTGGATGAGGAGGACTTCCCTGTGTCAGGTGTGTTGCCCAAGGGTTTCTACATCGAAAGGGAGGTAGGAGGAAAGCTTGGAGATTCTGTGGCTGGGTCTGTCTGTTTCCTGCTAGACAGGAAACAGTGAGCTTCTGTGGGCAGGAACCCTGTCCTTTTGATCTTTGTGCCTAGTAGATGTCTGTGAGCAAATGAGTGGGTTATTGTTTGAGCAGGACTGTAGGAGAATGCTGTAATGAAGGTGCAGGCAGAGAGGAGGGACCCTGCCCCGGGCACTGAGGAAAACCCATGATGAGTGAGATGCAGGCTTTGCACAGTAGGGGCCCATGGATTGTCTGATCAGGGGATGAGGGGAGTCTGCACATACCTGTACCAGTAGGGGCAGGGAGTTAGGCTTTATAAGATGATACAGATACAGTCCTTCTCAAGGACCCCGCCTTCTCAACCCCGCGCCTTGAGAAGATCCTGGAAAGCTTCATAGAGAAGGGATACAGGAGTTTGATCTTACTGTACGGGGACTGAAAAAGGACACTCTGGATGCATCGGAGGGGAGGCATGGAAGTGGGAACATGTGAGGTTAGTTTGGTGGTAATGTGTGAGGGGGAAGGGAGATCAGAAAAATCAGCAGAGCAGTGCCTTGAAAACTAGGTTGCACCACTCGGCTAGATCTGGGCTTCTCGAACGTTTCCACCCAAGTACTTGACGTCAGAGAGGGGAACTCACCCAAAGTAGCCTGACATGAGCTCTGAGTTTGTCTACAACCTCACTTTATCTCAAAGACTCAAGTATGTATGTCGTAATTATAAACATGTTTACATGTTTTAATATTACATTTTTTTTTTTTTGAGACAGAGTCTTGCTCTGTTGCCCAGGCTGGAGTGCAGTGGCGTGATCTCGGCTCATTGCAAGCTCTGCCTCCCAGGTTCACGCCATTCTCTTGCCTCAGCCTCCTGAGTAGCTGGGACTACAGGCGCCTGCCACCACGCCTGGCTAATTTTTCGTATTTTTAGTAGAGATGGGGTTTCACTGTGTTAGCCAGGATGGTCTCGATCTTCTGATCTTGTGATCCAGCCATCTCGACTTCCCAAAGTATTGGGATTACAGGTGTGAGCCACTGTACCCAGCCCATATTTTTCTTTTCTTTTTTTTTTTTTTTTGAGACGGAGTCTCGCTCTGTCGTCCAGGCTGGAGTGCAGTGGCGGGATCTCGGCTCACTGCAAGCTCCGCCTCCCGGGTTCACGCCATTCTCCTGCCTCAGCCTCCCAAGTAGCTGGGACTACAGGCGCCCGCCACTACGCCCGGCTAATTTTTTGTATTTTTAGTAGAGACGGGGTTTCACCGTTTTAGCCGGGATGGTCTCGATCTCCTGACCTCGTGATCCGCCCGCCTCGGCCTCCCAAAGTGCTGGGATTACAGGCGTGAGCCACCGCGCCCGGCCTATTTTTCTTTGAATGTTAGAAAAGATGGCTTCACATTTGTTCTGTGGCTTCGAACACTCCTGGTACAAGCCAGTTTGAGAGGCAAGGCAGCAAATTATAGGATTTTACTGCTTATAAAATTATTTCGCATGGGTTCTATGAGTACATCCTTTTGTACATATGCCTTTGTAAATAAGTTCTGGAAAGTTCTCTGACTTAGGCAGATGTATCAGGTTGTGGCGGTTTCTTTGGGACCTGTGATACTTGCCAAGGGAGCCATCACACATCAGTTTCTAGTAACATTATTAGGTTCTTAAGTTATTTTGAAGTTTTTATTTTCCTGAGAACAAAGTTACCTTCTTTGGGAATAATGGCATTTGATTTTGTTCCTAGCATGGATATTTTTGCATCTTCTCTGCGTGTGCACGGATATGTGGGGTTGTGTCTGCCTTTTTGCCTCTATTCATTCATGTTGTGGGGTGGAGGGACAGGCGAGGAGGGCATTAGATAGGGTATCATGAACAGAAAAAAGAAGGGACGAAGAAGATACTGAGCCTGTATCTTATCTGTCTTCCCGCTGGCATCTCCTTGGTTATGTGTGTGTGTTTTTAAATCATCTGTGAGAAGTGACTGACTGCTCTGATAAATTATCCGATAAATGATCCTGGGAGGTGAATGAGCAAAAGTGTTAAACCCCACTGGGTGAGCAAGACCTTCTGTGGGAGCCACAGGATGTGCACTGGGGAGACGAGGGCTTTGGATGCTGAGCTGTTTTGAAGCTCTGTGGAGCCCTGGACAAATCTAAGGCATTGTGACCAGGATCTGGAAACAAGAACAGGGCTAGAAGAACTGTTAGGAATGTTGCTGAACTCTAAGTAGCGGGATGTGGTGCTTAGATGTTGTTCTTTGGAAGATACCTCTAGCATCATTAGAACTAGTGCTTGGTGGTATTCTTAGGTGCTGCTGTTTGATGTGACACAGATAATGAGTGGGAAGCATGCCAAGGACCAAGACCCATACCTCAGACCCCAGGGATTCACCCACTGTCCTGACTGTAGGGTCAAGTTTTGGGGAGGTGACTCTCTCTTCTTGAAAGCTGATTCTGCAAATCTAAAAGTAAAAGGTGGACATGGGCACATCATTGTGTGCCCACACCATGAAAACGTAGGATGCCAAACTGACACAAGGTAGGAGTATCATCACTTGACAGATGAGGAAACTGAATCAGAGAGCCTCGCCACCGCCAGACAGCTAGTATGGACCAGAGTTGGGGCTGGCACTGACATCCTGACATTACTGGATTTGGCCTGTGGGCCAGGGTTGTCATTGCCTGAGCTCTTTTATAGCACATGCATATTCTTCAGTTACTGACAGCGACCCTGGACAATTATTTTCTCTGTCTGAATCTTCATTTTTTTTTTAATCTATAAAATGGGAATTATGCCACCTTAAGGCAGTCCTGACCTGAAAGACCATGGAGGCAGCCCATATGTCAACTGAAGGGGTTTGGAAGCAGGGGGCTGTTCACACACACCCCAGAACATCTGTGGGGGGGTGTGCCTGGGAGGCCTTGGGGTTGGCTGTATCTGAGAAGGCCTCCCAGAAGAGGTGGTAGTTTTTTGAGCTGACCCTGGTGCCCACCATCCTGCCTGCCTGCTTATTCCCTCCTCAGGACCTCCATGTTCCCAATGAGGACCGCATCAAGCAGCTGCTGGGGCAGGATGCCTGGACTTCGCAGAAGAGCGAGCTGGCGGGTTTCTATCCCCGGCTCATGGCCAAGTCAGACACGGGCAAGATTGGTCTCATCAACCTGGGCAACACATGCTATGTCAACAGCATCCTTCAGGCCTTATTCATGGCGTCTGAGTAGGTGCTGCTTTGGAATTCCCTGTCTGCCCTTGCTTCTCTCCTCTGGGCTCCCTGATGACAGGTGGAAAGGTGTCCGGGGTGGGGGTTGGAGAGGGTGGGCCTTGCTTTGCATTGCCAGCATGATTCCCTGAGGTCTGTGGGGACAGAGAGCCTCAGGCCATTGCCAAGGCAGGTCAGGACTGGATGGGAACTCAAGAAGGGGCTTAAGGGGCTGGGCAGCCCTGGGAAGTGGGGTCTGCTCTGGGTTGGCTGACATCACTGACTTTTCTTCTAGAGTCTGTGGGGGTGGATTTTGTCTTCCAGAGTAGAACTGCCACCCATCCTGGTATTAGACATCTCTCTCTTTTAAAATGAAACAAACACAATCTTTATAGTCTATGGCCACCTATCTACCTTATGGCTTACTTAAAAGATCAAAGTTTCAGCTTTGATTCAGTGAAAATAAGCTTTGATTCTGGCTTATCGTATGTCCTCAAGTCAGTTTCTTTTCTCTGAGCGTCAGGTTCAGTGGGAGGAGATTGGAGCTGATCTCCAAGTCTTTCTAAGGTGCTGCTGGTGCACGTTCTTCTCAAAACGCCTAGTGAAGGACTAGTTTTGTTTTTCTTTTCTAATTCCAGTCTGCTGCAGAATATTACTTTTGTAAAATATAACAAAACGACTTACTAGAAAAACGGTCACGTGCTTGTATGGTGGTTGTGATGTTAAAATGCTGTGTATGTTTCTAAGTGCTCGCTCAGCTTCTGAACTTACCTTGTTCTGAGACCCAGAGCTGCTTGTGAGAACAGGAGATAAGCTGGGGCCTGGGAATTGGCTTGCTCCAGAGAATGTTCGTGTAGGGAGGGGAGCTATCTCCTATAGGATCAGACCCTTCCCACTAGGAGCCAGTCTACCCATCCCTAAAGGGTCCTCTTCGTTTAGCGTATTCCTCACATTGACCTCTGCCTCCCTCATTGGAAGGCAGGGGAACAGCTTGAGATTGCTCTAGGGGCAGGGGCCAGGGCCCTGACAGGGGCTGTAGGAGTCGATTGGAGGGCCCAGGTCAGAGCAGAGTCTGCTGCTCTGGAGGTGGATGAATGCCTTTCCCCAGGGAAGCAGCTAATAAGGGTGTGCGAGGGGCTGCTGCGGCTGGGATGATATTGGCATGGATCCTGTGGCATGTCCTAACCCTAGAATCCTGGGACCACAGGACCTTAGGACGTTTGAATCTTTAAGTCCTGAACGTAGGTCTCAGAGCTGGAAGGGGCTACAAGGGTCACCTTTGTACCCTTCATTGTCTAAAACATGTCTATTGTTGTGTTCCTGACCTCAGATACCCCAGGCTGAGTTGTTCACCTGCTCCTCCTCCCCAGCCCCTGGCTTCTGGCTCCGTCTTGGGGCAGAAATGTCTGTTCTGCCTTTGGCCTAGAGGCTCTGGGCTGCCTGTGACATGGGTGACTAGAGACTCCTTGGGGGCCCATGGCTTACCCTGGGTGCCCCTGCTTTGTTTTGAAGCTTCAGACATTGTGTGCTCCGCTTGACTGAGAACAACTCACAGCCCCTGATGACCAAGCTGCAGTGGCTCTTTGGCTTCCTAGAACACAGCCAGGTGAGTGTAGGGGCAGTCAGAGGGGGGTGGAGAGGCAGCTCTGGTCAGGCCCCGACATGGACACCTTTCCCTTCCCCAGGACCTGCCTGCATCTGGCTGTCATCTCCCATGTCAGTTGCTGAGCCCCTGGCCGGGCTGGCATATGGAACTGATTTAGTGCCCTGCTGGGGCAGGAGAAGGCGGGCCCCCTTGAGCCCTGTTCCGTGTTGTGCTGCCCAATCTTTCCCTTTGGCAATTCAGTCCATCCATCGCATTATGGTGTTGCCATAGTCCATTTTATGCTGCTAAAACCAAATACTCGAGGCTTGGTGATTTATGAAGAAATTTATTTCTCAGTTTTGGAAGCTGGGAGGCCCAAGATCGAGGGGCTGTGTCTGGTGACGGCCTTCTTGCTGCATTATAATGTGGGTAGAAGGCATCACAGGGTGTGAGAGCATGCATGAGAGAAGGGAAAGCGGGATGAACTCACCCTTTTATCAGGAACCTGCTCCTGTCTCCATTTGTGGCTGCTGGGGAAAGCAAACGGCCTGTGATAAGGAAATAATACATTCCTGAGGGCAGAGTGCTCAGGACCTCATCCTCTCTTGAAGGTCCCATCTCTTAACACTGCTGCACTGGGGATTATGTTTCCAACACATGCTTTTTGGAGGACACAGTCACACCACAGCATGTTGCTTCATTCTGCTGTTATTTTTGAGTACCCACATGGCCAGGCAGCCTGAGAGCTGTTGAGGGTACAGAGGTGAACAGAACAAACACCATCTCTGCCCTCATGGAGCCTAAAGCCCTTGGCCAGGGATTATGCAAAGCTCTGTGTGGGGGCACAGAAATGAGTAATCCCTCCCTGGCTCATGGAGGGAAGGGAAAGGTCAGTGAGGGAGGGTTGGGAAGATGACATGGAAGAGGCAGCGCTGTATCTGGGACTCATCTTGACGGGAGAGAATGGCAGTGAGTGGAGGCAGGGAGAGAATGTTTGAGGTGTGCCAGGAAGAGAAGATTCCTAGAGCCTCGTTCATTTCTCTGAGCCCAATGCCCTGCTCAGCCCTGCTCAGAGGCGTGGACATGTGGGCTGGGTTGGGTCAGGGACAATAGAAAAGCGGGGAGGACCTCATGGAGGAGGCCAGGAAGTTTGAGGCCGAGGGAATGAGGTAGACCCTCAGGCCTAACCTGTGCAGAGCTGGCTGGTGAGTGGCCTCCTGCTCCTGACCATGCCTTTCGCCTGCCTTGTCCTAGCGGCCTGCCATTTCCCCAGAGAACTTCCTCTCCGCATCCTGGACGCCCTGGTTCAGCCCTGGCACCCAGCAGGACTGCTCGGAGTATCTGAAGTACCTGCTGGATCGGTAAGGGGGCCAGGGCTACGCGAAGACTCCAGGTCTAGAGGGTCCTTGGGGGCAAGCCCAGTACCTCTGAGCTGTGTTGCAGCGTCCAGGGAATAAGTGTGCTGCCTCCAACATGTGGAGGGCGTGGAGAAGGGGTGTGCTGGAAGGGCAGGGACTGAGTGTGAGGGAGGTTTGGTAGATGCTGAGTGGAAGTGATCTCTGGGAGGTCATTGTGTATGTCTGCACACCGGGCCGTGCATCTTTGTCACTGCCATGGGAGCACATTACATAGCTCCAGCAAGTCTTTATGTAGGGCGTGTGGGTGAGTGTAGCAAGCGTGCTGTTGTGAGCATGTACGTGGATGTGTGGGTGTTTGGTGTGTGCATGTGTGTTTGTGTGCGTCTCAATGTGTGGCTGTTGGGGAAGGTAAATGGGCATGGATAAGCTGAGTGCCCCGGAAGGGGACCCGCATGTACATGTAGTGACTCTGTGCTCTCTGCCCCAGGCTGCACGAAGAGGAGAAAACGGGCACAAGGATCTGCCAGAAACTCAAGCAGTCCAGCTCGCCCTCTCCGCCCGAGGAGCCCCCGGCCCCAAGTTCAACCTCTGTGGAAAAAATGTTTGGAGGCAAGATAGTGACTCGGATCTGCTGTCTCTGCTGCCTCAACGTCTCCTCCCGGGAGGAGGCCTTCACGGACCTCTCTCTCGCCTTCCCTCCTCCTGAGCGCTGTCGCCGCCGCCGCCTGGGCTCTGTGATGCGCCCCACAGAAGACATCACAGCCCGGGAGTTGCCCCCACCAACCAGTGCACAGGGGCCAGGCAGGGTGGGTCCTCGGAGGCAAAGGAAACACTGCATCACAGAGGACACCCCCCCCACCAGCCTGTACATCGAAGGCCTGGACTCCAAGGAAGCTGGTGGGCAGAGCAGTCAGGAGGAAAGGATAGAGAGGGAGGAAGAAGGGAAGGAGGAGAGAACGGAGAAGGAAGAAGTGGGGGAGGAGGAGGAAAGCACCAGAGGGGAAGGAGAGAGGGAGAAAGAGGAGGAGGTGGAAGAGGAAGAAGAGAAGGTGGAGAAGGAGACAGAAAAGGAGGCTGAGCAGGAAAAGGAAGAAGACAGCCTGGGAGCGGGGACCCACCCGGATGCTGCCATCCCCTCCGGGGAGCGGACATGTGGCTCTGAGGGCTCCCGCTCCGTCCTGGACCTGGTTAACTACTTCCTGTCCCCCGAGAAGCTGACAGCAGAAAACCGCTACTACTGCGAGTCGTGTGCCTCCCTGCAGGATGCCGAGAAGGTGGTGGAGCTGAGCCAAGGGCCGTGCTACCTCATCCTCACACTGCTGCGCTTCTCTTTCGACCTGCGCACCATGCGGCGCCGCAAGATCCTGGATGACGTCTCCATCCCCCTGCTGCTCCGCCTGCCACTGGCTGGTGGCCGTGGCCAGGCCTATGACCTCTGCAGTGTGGTGGTGCACTCTGGAGTGTCTTCGGAGAGTGGTCACTACTACTGCTATGCCCGTGAGGGCGCTGCCCGCCCTGCCGCTTCTCTGGGAACTGCCGATAGGCCAGAGCCCGAGAACCAGTGGTACCTGTTCAATGACACTCGGGTGTCCTTCTCTTCCTTCGAATCTGTCAGCAACGTCACCTCCTTCTTCCCTAAGGACACAGCCTATGTGCTGTTTTACCGGCAGCGGCCCAGGGAGGGGCCCGAGGCTGAGTTGGGCTCTTCTAGAGTCCGGACAGAGCCCACCCTGCACAAGGACTTGATGGAAGCCATTTCCAAAGACAACATCCTTTACCTACAGGTGAGCTGAGCCGTGGGGCCTTTGATCTGATCTCTTGGTGGAGGGAGTCCAGTCCCACTACTGGCTTAGATAAGTCATTTCCCCTCTAAGTCTTTTTTGTAAATCCCATTCATCTGTTGCTCAGTGCTGGGTATATACTGGTGGCCCAGACAGACCTAACCCCTTACTTCAAAGTAACAGACACTGAGTAATGAATGACGCAGTTTATTTTTTAAGTTCCAGGGTACATGTGTAGAATGTGCAGATTTGTTACTTAAACGTGTGCCATGGTGGTTTGCTGCACAGATCAACCCATCACCTAAGTATTAAACCCTGTATCTGTTAGCTATTCTTCCTGAAGCTCGCCCTCCCCCGCCACCCCCCAACAGGCCCTAGTGGGTGTTGGTCCCCTCCCACCCCCACCAGGTGTCCATGTATTCTCATTGTTCAGCTCCCACTTATGAGTAAGAGCATGCGGTATTTGGTTTTCTGTTCCTGCGTTAATTTGCTGAGGATAACGGCTTCCAGCTCCGTCCATGTCCCTGCAGAGGACATGATCTCGTTCCTTTTTATGGATGCATAGTATTCTGTGGTGTATATGTGCCACATTTTCTTTATCCAGTCTATCATTGATGGGCATTTGGGTTGATTCCATGTCTTTGCTATTGTGAAATGTGCTGCAGTGAACATACATGTGCATGTATCTTTATAATAGAATGACTTATATTCCTTTGGGTGTATAGCCAGTAATGGGATTGCTGGGTCAAATGGTATTTCTGCCTCTAGGTCTTTGAGGAATTGCCACACTGTCTTCCATGATGGTTGAATTAATTTACACTCCCACCAACAGTGTAAAGGTATTCCTATTTCTCTGCAACCTCACCAGCATATGTTGTTTCCTGACTTTTTAATAATCACCATTCTGGCTTGCGTGAGATGGTATCTCATTGTGGTTTTGATTTCTCTAATGGTCAGTGATGTTGAATTTTTCTTTCGTACGTTTGTTGGCCACATGAATGAATGTCTTTTGAGAAGTGTCTGTTCATGTCCTTTGCCCACTTTTTAATGGGGTTGTTTTTTTCTTGGACATTTAAGTTCCTTGTAGACTCTGGATATCGGACTTAGGTCAGATGGGTAGTTTGCAAAAATTTTTTTTCATTCTGTAGGTTGTGTCTACTCTGATGATAGTTCCTTGTACTCCGCATAAGCTCTTTAGTTTAAGTGGATCCCATTTGTCATTGTTTGCTTTTGTTGCAATTGCTTTTGATGTTTCCATCATTAAATCTTTGCCTATGCCTATGTCCTGAATGGTATTTCCTAGATTTTCTTCTAGGGGTTTAATACCTTTGGGTTTTACATTTAAGTCTTTAATCCATCGAGTGAATTTTTTGTATAAGGTATAAGGAGGGGGTCGAATGTCAACATTCTGCCTATGGCTAGCCAGTTCTTCCAGCAACATTTATTAAACAGGGAATCTTTTACCCATTGCTTGTTTTTGTCAGGTTTGTTGAAGATGGTTGTAGGTGTGGAGTCTTATTTCTGAGTGAGTTCTCTATTCTGTTCCATTGGTCTATGTGTCTGTTTTTATACCAGTACTATACTACAAGGCTACAGTAAGCAAAACAGCATAGTTTGAAGTCAGGTAGGCATTAGGCTTCCACTTTTGTTCTTTTTGCTTAGGATGGTCTTGGCTATATGGACTTTTTGGCTCCGTATGAATTTTAAAATAGTTTTTTCTAATTCTGTGAATGTGAATGGTAGTTTAACGGGAATAGCATTGAATCTGTTAATTACATTGGGCAGTATGGCCATTTTCATGCT
Organism: Homo sapiens; assembly: GCF_000001405.40. Classification (NCBI taxonomy): domain Eukaryota; kingdom Metazoa; phylum Chordata; class Mammalia; order Primates; family Hominidae; genus Homo; species Homo sapiens. The sequence continues at coordinate 78,212,545 of NC_000011.10, forward strand.
ATTGAGTCTTCCTATCTATCTGTGAGCATGGAATGTTTTTCCATTTGTGTCCTCTCCTTCACTTCCCTTGTTAGCTGTATTCCTAGGTATTTTATTCTGTTTGTAGCAGTTGTGAATGGGAGTTTGTTCATGATTTGGCTCCCTGCTTCTTGTTGGTGTATAGGAATGCTAGCAATTTTTGCACATTGGTTTTTGTATGTATCATCTTGAGAGTTGCTGAAGTTGCTTAACAGCTTAAGAAGCTCCTGGGATGAGATAATGACATGATTCTGTATCATCTAGAAAACCCCATTAATGCAGTTAATAAGTGTGCTGAAGGAGGAGTACAGGGACCAGTTGAGTCTGAGGGGGAGGAGGATGCTTCGGGTGTGGGGGGAGGGGGTCCCACTACCCACGTGAGCCTCCTGTGTGACTCCCTAGAGTCAAGGGTGGCACTGGCATACTGAGCAGCTGGAACAGCATGGGCTTTGACCAGTGGGATGGGTGCCAGTGCCTGGAGTTTGTGTTTTGTGCGGGGGAATACAGCAACTGGTGTGGGGACACCAGACCGGGTGTCACCAACATCAACTCCTTCTTCCCCAAGGACACAGCCTATGTGCTGTTTTACCAGCAGCAGCCCAGGGAGGGGCCTGAGGCTGAGTCAGGCTCTCAGGGACAGCTTCTGCCATGCTGTCCAGATGGAGGCAGGGTGGCGGGTAAGGATCGCCATGAGGCTGACGTCCTGGTAGCAGGAGGATGGGCTTTCTCATAGGCAGAGCCCATTCCTCGTGATCATGAGGCCTGCGGACAGGTTCCCGTGTGGTGTGATATGACCCTCGAAGTCCTCAGACCTCTCGGTACCACATTAGGCCCTTGTCAGCTAGTCAGTCACACCCTAGTATCAGCTGGCTCAGGGACTAGAGTTTTTATTGAGAGGAGGGGGTCTTTTGAAGTCTTTTGAAGGTGTCCACCCCGGATATCCTGCCACTGAGCTGCAATGTCTCTGTGTGTCCAGGCCCTGGGGACCTAGAGGAAACATTGAAAGGTGTTGTGCTGGGTAGACTCACTCTGGCTTCAGGGTGTGAATTCTAAGTCTAAGTCTCCTCTCATCTGTGTTCCCAGGAGCAGGAGAAGGAGGCCCGGAGCAGGGCGGCCTACATCTCTGCACTCCCCACATCTCCGCACTGGGGGAGGGGCTTTGATGAAGACAAGGATGAGGATGAAGGCTCTCCAGGGGGCTGCAATCCTGCAGGTGGCAATGGTGGTGACTTCCACAGACTGGTCTTCTAATGTGAACCTGCTGCCAACCTGACCCCTTCCCTCCAGGAGCCAGGTAGGGCCTGAGGGAAGCTGTGGAGGCAGGCCCTACCAAGAGGAAGGATGGTACAGCTCATGGCACCTTAGTCCTCAGCCTGATGAAGGGTACACAGAGATTCTCTCAGATATGGAAGTAAGACCTAAGTCCCTTTCATTGGGGATCAGTCCCATTAAAACTTTACACCCAAGTGTCCTGGTTAACTTGAAGCAGCCGAGATGGGCACACACGGGTCTTTGCCTCCCCCTCCTTCCCTAGCAGGCTCCCCATGCGGGAAGATCTGATGATGTTCAGGAAACAGGCTAGACCTCAGCTCCAATGTTTTGACATCAAGTACTATTTTCCTTCCGACTGCTGTACGGTATAAAGCACAGCAGGATCCAAGCCTTGCACAAAGGGGTGGGGGGGGCAGTGTCTCCTCTGGCTGTCCTGTTTGTTTGTTTCTCATATGGGGGTGGGGGGTACCTGCACTGTCTGTACCTTTCTGAGAAGAACAGAGACCGAGACCTGCCCCCTTACCAAGCGCCACTGCATGGTTTTGGGGGGGGGGGCGGGGGGCTAGCTTCTCACAGCAGGAGGCCTTTGCCCCCACAGCCCCTCCACGCCTGCCTCAGGGCCTGAGAAGCCACCACTTGTATCCCCCTTGTGGTTAGAGTCCTGATTTTACTGCAAAGGTGTTCATGTTCCTTGTGAAGTGTGGGCTCTTAGGAAGCCTGTGGGCTCCTCTGAGCAGTTGGCCTTTGTAGCTGCAACAGCAGCCACCTGCAGGTTGGGTGAAGTGCCCTGACACTGCTGTAGCCCCCTTCTAACTTCTAACCGAAGACAAGACAGACACCCATGTTCATAAATAAATAAAAGTAAGCCTAAGCAAGAGATTGTTCTTCCTTGGACTCAGGGGCTGTGATGGCCACTGGGTTTTGCTCACGGGGTCTGGGGAGGCCAGGACTCAGCCTGCCCCCCAGTGACGTGTGAGATGCCACAGGGAGCCAAGAGCCCTCTACTGAATCTACTGAAGTGGGGTGTAAGTAAACGTGTGGACTGACTGACTTACTTACCTTACTGAGGGCTGGGTGATGCTGCCCGTGGAGAGGATGCACCTGGGAGGCAGCTCTCAAGCCTTTACCTACCTCCTTCCCCAGGGGCTGCCTGCTGTGATGGTGGTGTGGAGTTTGGGCCCAATGTCACAGACCCTCAAGATGTCACATCTAAGTGACCTGTGAAAGCAGCAGACAGACACGCCCAGAACCCATCTCTAGACGCCTAAGAAAGCTGGATGGGTAAATGCTAGTATGATTTCCACTTTACAACAGACGCTGAGGTAGAGAGCATTTGTTCTTATTCACAGCCAAGAAAAATACCCAATTATTTCCAAATAAAGCAAAAATTGGAACAGACTGGAGTGAGAACGGGTTCCACCACCAAGCCCCTCAAGACAAGATGGACACGGCAGCTGGTTCTGGGGTGCATTTCTAGTGGACTTTATTGTCCTGCTCCAACACCACAGTAGAAAGGGACCTGCAAGCTCCAAGCCTGTACCATGTGTCACCACAGCAAAAACATGACCCACTTGAACACACTCCTGTCCCACCCACCGGATAAATATGTTACAATTTAAAAAAAAGAATACAACAGAATAAATTAATAACTTAAGTGATTAGGCACCAACAGTGATTTGAAAATTAAATGTCAATTTTAAATGGTAACAAGACAAGAACTCAAGACTGGGCTTCCACTAGCCCATTTTCTCTTCCTGACAAACAGTGACAATTCTGCGTGAAATAATTCTAGATTTCAAGACACAAGTAGCCAACAAATACACAACACATGCCACCATAAATCACATGACAGCCTGGATCTCTTGGGGACCCCCTCGGCAGGTACCCCATTGTGGTCCCAGGTCCTAAACAGCAGGGCTAGTCCCAGAAAGACGACCCCCCACGGAAGGGCTTTAGCGCTCCTGAGACCAGTCTGGCTTCCCCTGCATTTTATGAAGGCCCAGATGGGGAAGGAAGAACTCTGGAAATGGGATAGGGGTGCTGGGCCGAGATGTCCCCATGGGAGAAGGGGCCAGAGGGAGGATGAGCTGAGCCCATGCTCCAGTAACTTCAGAATGGTTGTGCTTTTGTCACAGGAATGGGGCATACTTTGTTAACTTCTACATTGGAAACCACTAAAGTCAAGCTAGGAGGGGACTGGGGATAGGTACTGCCCACCCCAATCCCCCAGAAAGAAGTTACAGAGGAGGGAGTCTCCCCTTCAAGCAGCTGAGCACCAGCTGTGGATGGGACCTCAGCGCAGCTAATCCAACCTCCCATTCCACAGACAGGCAGATCAAGGACTTAAGGAGACACCATCTCCCTATTTCTCATCGTTCTCACTTGACTTAACCTTGCAGAAGTGGAGCTGGAAGTGGGTGAAGAAGGCTCCTTGGAGAGCCCCAGGCAGGGGGCCTGTGTGAAGCAGTGCTGAGTGGGAAGGTATCCCCTTTCCGTAGGCTCAGTCCTCTCCAGGCCCCCAGGAGAGGTGGACTTTGACCCATGGATAGGCCAAAGGACCAGTTTTTTCAACTGAGTTGACTCCTTTGTTGGAGGAGGTAGTGGGTGGAGGGTGGGGATATGCTAGATACGGCTGGTAGTTTGGGGCCTGTGAGCCAGAGCTTTGCTTTCAAAAGGTCAATTTCACCTCTCATCCTTCCATCTCTACCCCTACACTTGCACCCGAGGGATTTTGGTAGTTACCAGAATAGGGGGCTGGAAGGAAGCCTCCTGGTAGTTACCAGAATAGGGGGCTGGAAGGAAGCCTCCTGGGAGATTCGATTTGAACACCTCAGTCGCTCTCCGAAGATTCCAGCCAGGTCCACTCACATCATGGCACACTCAGAACATGCTCACATGTTTATGGGAGGCTGCAATAGTCTGGGCCCACTTGTGGCTGCTGCGGGTACAGGGAAGGCACCAGTTAAAAGCTCTGTCGTATGGGGCCCCTTGTAGGGGGCCTTTAAGGCACACATTCAGGGCTGGGCAGAGTGAACCAGCACCCTGCCAACTCTGCCCAGTGTAGCTACCACCACTGCTTCCATTCACTTATTGGAACACCAAGGCATGGCCCCTACACTTCTGAGTGGCTGGACCCATATGCTCAAAGGCCTTTTGTTCCCAAGACACAAGGCTTTCCAAGCCTCTCCTTCCTTCTTCCTCCACTGGACCCAAGCCCTGCCCTCCTCCTCTGTAAAAATCTGACTCATCCCCTTCTAAGGCCTACCTCAGGCACTCCCTTTTCCTAGAATCCACCTTCCCTGATCCCCCACTCCTGCCTCTGACACCAACCTCCCTAAGTACTTCCTCTGCCCTCCATCAGCATTTGAAGTCTCTGTCTGATGGCCATCACCACTGTCTCATGTCCTTGTCCTTTTTCTGATTGTGGCTATCTTAAGTTCAGGGAGAAGGTCTGATTGATTCTTGTGTCCTTAGTGCTTAACCCCAGAAACTGGAGACAGCAGCCATTAATAAATACTCCTTGAGTTGATCTAAACTAATGCTAGGAGGAGAGGTGCAGCTCTTGAAGAAATAACTTCTTCCAGGATGGGACTTAGAGAATGGCTAGGCCATTGGTCTGGTGAACTATGCATGCTCATGGGAGCTGAAAGGGGAATGGGGGCAGAGGACAGTGGTAGCTGTCCCCATCAAACATGGCAGGAAGTCATTGTTTGGGAGGAAGAAGTTCTGTTCGCCCCAGGGTAGAATGAAACGTCTGGTCTGTCCTGTTGCTTCTGAAACTCTTGAAAATTTAGTCAAGAACAGTCAACATAAAAACATTCAGATCCCCCACCCTTAGTTTAAGAGAAGGAACCTTGGGTGATGCCCTACACCCCGTCCCTGCTAATCTGATGGCCTTTCAAACCTGGGGAGGAGAGTCCAAGATGGCTCCTGGAATGCTAGGGAGCAACAGAGGGCGGATGAGCTGAGGAAACACTGGGCCGGCACCAGGCCAGACTCGTTCCTACCCTGCGATCTGACATACGCCACAGCCCATGGGCACAAGCTGTCAGCCATGCCTGATGTGGTCCTCTAGGCATCATTCTGCCCTGCTTTCTCCTTGTCCTGCCTGACCCACTGTCCCATCCTAGGAACGGTCCTCATGTCACACCACCATGCACACCACTCTTGCACGTGTCCCTCCTTCACTTTCTGCTCCACCCTGCACCCCCAAGGATTGCGTTGGGCACCCCCCAACTCCCAGGCCCTTTGGATGTATTTCCCCACTTGCTACATGGCCTTCACCACTGCTTCACATCTGTCTGCTACCTCTGTGCCCGACTTCCACTGCACTGCTCACTGCAAAGAAACTCACTTCCCGACCCCACTGCAGAGTCCCCTGCACTGCCCTGTGCCTCTGCCCAGCCTGTGCCTGTCCCAGGGTTCCCCTCAGTCCCTGCATCACCCCCATCCACACCACACTCCCTCCCATATTCCCCACCCCTTTACCATGTGTTCCTGCCCCATGTGCTTGGTCGCCCAGCTTGGTCCAAGCCTTCCCCTGTATGCTGCTTTCAAGGTGGGGCTGGCGGGGGCCTCTGAGGGGACTGGGGAAGAGGACTAGCCCTTGGGCCTAGAGTGGCCTGTAGCTCCAGAGTTCTGGGGACCCAGACCCCACAGTGTCCTTGTCATCTCCACCACCCGAGCTCCAAGCCCTGCTCCTTGCTGCTCTAGGTTGGCCATCAGTTTTCCCTTCCTTTTGTCCTTCATCTTCTGCCTCTGCACCCCACAGCAGCTGTCCTGCCATGGCCTCAGCCTCAAAGTGGGTTCCCTGCAGATGTCAGCTTTCCCTCTTCATCTGGGCATCTAAGTCCTTTACCCCTCAAGACCACTGCTGAGCCTCCGTCTCCACCATCTCCTCTTTTAGTGGCCTTGCTTCTCTCCTGCCAAGAAAAACAGGAATGAAAAAGTCCATTATCCACTTTGGTTTGCTGGTCCTTGACTCCCTGGGTTGGTGAGACTTGTCTTCTGGGACTGAAGGAGAGGTAGCCCAGTGGCCGGAGGGAAGATAGCTGAGGGCTGTGACTGAACGTGAGGTGTGGAATCTGGCTCAGAGCCCCAGCCCTTCCCTCCAAACATCTGGTAGAGAGTCAGGTCTAAAGGACAGGAAGAGGCTGAAGGATGCTTTTTGGAAGTAGCTCCTAACTAAGGTGGGTGGAGGCATGGCCATTACTGATAAAAATCACAGCTGGGCCCCGAGTGGGCAGAGGAGGTGCCTTGATCAGGCCCTCACCTCCCAGGGGAAGGGTTCAGGGTCCCTGATGTCAAGTGCTTTGAAGGCTGAGACTGGCAGAGTAGAGAGGAGGTGGATGGGAGGAAGAACGGGAGAGGGGAGAGGGGAGATGGGAAGGGCCAGCTCTGGAGATGCTGCCTCCTGGGCTCTGCGGTGGCCCTCTCATCACAGCTTGGCACCCTTGGAAGGCTCTGAGGACTGCCGCACGTCTGTCCACTCCTGCATGGTGTTCTGCAGGGCCTGGGTCTTCTCCTTGTCCACCTGAACGTAGTCCACCTTCTCATCAGAGGTGACGGATGAAGTAGATGGCTGAGGGGACAGAGTGGGAAAGAGGGAGTAGCTGTGAGTTACCAGTTAGGTGGGGAGGAAGAAGGTGGGCACGGGATCTTCCTGAGCTGTCTGAAGGGGAGAAGAGCATGGCCTCTGCCTGCCACTGACCAGCCTCAGGAGCCTGGCTTCTCTTTCTGAATGTGGGCTTTAAAGCTCAGACTCCAAACTCATCATCCCTCCTGCAGGATGTAGCAGCACCTGCCAGCCCTTCTTACTTCCCGGCTTCTGGGAGGACCCAGGCCCTTCCTTGGCCCTGGTGGATGGGTCCAGGCCTTCATCTCTGCCTCCACCCATCTCTGTCAGGTCGCTCATCCAGGGGAAGGAATTTGCTAGGTGCAAACAAACATCAGCCACAGGACTTTACGTGCTGTGCTCACTGCCACCCTGTGAAGGGGAACCATGCTGAGGCACAGCTCTGCACCCTTCTGTCTAGACTGCTTAGCTATAAGGATGCCTCCTGGGGAGGCTTTCCCAGGCCTGGAAGTCCCTTCTGAAGGCTGATGTATCGACGGCAGGGCTCTGGACCCACTCGAGAGCCCAGGACCAGGAGGCAGTATCCTCATTCCTGGATCTGTTGCTGATTCACTTTGTAACCTTAGGACAATCAGATCTCTGTGCACTCATTTGCCCATCTCTACAACACGGGGGATGGGCTGACTGATGAGGTTCTCTGACTGAGGGTACTGTGCTCTGAGAGCAGGAATAGGAGTCTTTAGACCTAGATGAAAGCTCTATGACTAAAGATGCATCATAAAAGCTGGGTACTGGAGCAGGAGGGAGGCTGAGTGCTGCTGTTCAGTGTTGAAGGCACCCTGGCCTCCATGATCTCTGCCTCCGGGACCCTGAGAGCTCTTACTGCCCCCCCAACTCTACTCCAGGCACCTTGCGGTGGGGGCTTGGGGAGCTCGGCTGGAAGTCCAGGGCCAGATAATCAACGCTGCCGGTGCTCTTCTTAGGGGCAGGACTGTTCGTGCCACTGGGAACGGGAGATGCAGACACTGGGTTTTGCTGTCACGAGGAGGAAAAAACTGTGAGTGACTGCAGAAAACAGACTAACCCACCACCCAGAAAAACACCTCTGGGAGTAAGAACACTGTTTCCCTGAGCCCTACTCTGACACATGCACCATGCTAAGGACTTTTCATGTTTTCATTTTAATCCTCATGACAATCCTGTAAGGTAGGTATGATTACTGTTGATACTGTTTAAAGCAAAGATGAAACTGTGGTTCACTTTACTTTCAGAGAAGTGACTTTGCCTGTGGCTGCACAGCTGTTGAGTGATGGGAATCAGGTCTGTTTTCTGACTTCCAAACCTGTGCTAACCCCTGTACCACACTGCCTCCTTTCTAGCACATCAGGCCAAGTCTCATCAACAGTGGCTCTCCTGAGACATCCAGCCTTTGCTTGCTGGCGCTTAAGAAAGGAGCACATTTCCTTTATGCACTGGAAAGTTTTCTTCTGTCGCACCAAATCAGCCCCTGTGAAACTCCCACCTGTGGCCTAGAGTGGGGTAGTCACCCCAAAGCAGCTTGCTCCCCCGCCTAGCTCCTCCAAGATCTGAAGAGGGTGGCTTCATCTCCAGGCTGCACAAGCCCGCATTTCTTCAGATGACACGCTCTAGGATCCTGTCCATCCAGGCTCGTGCTCTAGCAGAGCACCACCTCCTCTAGAACTTTCTGGAAGTCTTATTCTAATGAGAAGGTGATAGTCCTGTGTTCTGTTTGTTGGCTGCTTTACTGGTTGGTTAATTCATTCTTTCACTATCTATGCAGTGACTACCAGGTGCTGGGCAGTTACGCCCTTAATGGAAATCTCAGGGAAGAAATATCCTCCTCTGCCTGTGTTGATAGCTCTATTATGGCCTCACCAAAGTGAGTTATGTGCACGTATGCCTCTCACCACTGAGGAGATACCTCCACCACTGAGGAGATACCTCCAGCACTGCCTATCCAAGGGCACAGATCATGCCACCCATGTCACTGTCATGAGAGGCAGGCCCCTGCTCTTGAAGACCATGACTTCGTTGGGACAGGTCTCATGTCTTCCTTACATCTGATGACAACTCCTACTGCTTGATAAACAGGTGCTCAAGAAGGGTTTGTAGCAGGAGACTAAATCATGAATAATACAAGGAGTCCCTGGGCTGAGGTGAGTTAGCTAAGCTGGGAAGTGGGGAACTGAGGGGTGGGTCCCAGGGGACTTGAAAGGCGTCATTCCAGCGAAGCCCGAAGGACTCACCATAGGGACATAGTTCTCTTCGCTGTCTCCTGAGTCTGTGCTGGTGATGCTCTGGGTGGAGATGGGGCGGCAGTACTGGGAGGAGCTGGAGTTGAAGGTGTGGCTGTTGTGGGAAGGAAGAGTTAACACTGGGGAAGCTGCATGGCTGCTGCCATGTTTCTAGCCTCCAGCTGGGCCCTGACCCTCACACACCCAGACCTCAGCCATTAGAGCTGCACACTCCATCAGATTAAGATCTGATATAGGGCAGGTATAATTATTCTCTTTTACAGCTGAGGAAACCAAGCCACAAGACATCGAGACATGATCAGCTAATGATAGCGTTAGCATCAGAATCCAGCTGTCCCGGCCCACAGGCCAGCTACCACATCACTCATTTTCCCTAATGGCCCGACTCCAAGCTCCCACCCCCACACATACGCACTTACTTGGCCCTAGACCAAGACTTGGTGATAGGTGACTTGAAGGGGAGTTCATCGATGACGGTGTTGTTCCTCAGGTCAAGTGGTGTTGGCTTTGCTGGAGCAGGAAAAGAAAGTCTGGTAATCAGCCAGTAATGATAATGCTACACATACACACCTTATATATAACACATGAGCATGTTTATAAAGGCCTGCAAAGTCATTCCAGTTTCACACAGGGAAACTGACGCTCAGCGAGGTTGTATAATCTTTGCCCATATTGATGAGCCTTGAAGTCATGTCTTCAGATTCCAAATTATATATTCTTTCTGCTGTATCTATGGTAATTATATTTTCAGAATCAAAAGTGGGGACACAGGGTTTGACAACAGATTTTTCTCCCTCAATTTATGACTTCATTTAAAAATAAAAGACTATATATAAAATATATTTATATATTAATATATTAATATTTATAAAAATATATACTATTTATATATTAACACACATATATGTATTTTTTAAGACGGGGTCTCACTCTGTTGCTCAGGCTGGAGTGCAGCGGCGCAATCTCAGCTCACTGCAACCTCTGCCTCCTGAGTTCAAGTGATTCTCCTGCCTCAGCCTCCCTAGTAGCTGGGACTATAGGCGCCTGCCACCACGCTTAGCTAATTTTTATATTTTTAGTAGAGACGGGGTTTCACTATTTTGGCCAGGCTGGTCTCGAACTTCTGACCTCAGGTGATCCACTCGCCTCAGCCTCCCAAAGTGTTGGGGTTACAGGCGTACAGGCGTGAGCCATGGCGCCCAGCCAAGAGACCATATTTGAAGTATAGATGGTCACCGTGACTACTCCCTGCTGCTCCTGGCCAGGTCGGTGCAAGCCACAGTGGAGGAAGGTAGATGCCATAAGGGCTTGAGGGCTTCAGTTCCAAATGCTAAGATTTGAATTCCCTGTTGGCCAGACCCACAGGGGGCTATCTCTGCCTAGCTATCCTACTCCTCCCTTTGAATCCTTGCCACTGATCCAATGCCAGGAGAGTGAGATTGTAGCAGACGAGGACCTTGCCTGGTCTACATGCAGGGGGCACAAAGCTGACTTTACTGAACGCCTGCTATGTACCAAAGTACTATCCTAGATGCTCTCCTTTGCAGCAAACCTGGGAGGTAGGAATTACCATCTGCATTTCACAGATAAGAAAACTGAGACTCAGATTTTACATGATTTGCCCCAAGTCACACCTCTCAAGTCCAGGATCCACATGACCCCTAAGCAAATGGAAAGAGTCCCTAGCCACTGTCCAGAGATGGGACAGGGGAAAGAATGGACTTACCTTTCCGATCAGGTTTGAGGTTGCGGTTGACAGGGGGTGGCTGAATCTCACTTCCTCTGCTGGGGCCTCGGTGCACAGGAAGGGTTGTTGATGGGTAGCCAAGTGAGTCAAAGTGATGGGCCCCTGGGCTCATTGGGATGTAGACGCTCTGGGAATTATCACCTGCTCGTTCCATGGCCAACAGGGTGGAAGAACCTGGATTCATGGGCACATAGTTGTCTTCAGAATTGGTGCTGTCCGATCGGCCCACAATCATTTTCCCTGGCTAGGGAGAGGAACAGTGAAAGAAATACAGCTGTTACTAGCAAGAAGAAACAGGAAGGGGGTAAGACTTTGTAAATGAGGCAAGACAAGTCATGACTGGGTTAGCTATACTTTGAAGCTGTAAGGGAGACCTTGGGGAGACCAAATAAGAAAGCAGAGTAGTGGGAGGCTGAGGCAGGTGGATCACTTGAGGTGAGGGGTTCGAGACCAGCTTGGCCAACATGGCAAAACCTCCTCTCTACTAAAAATCCAAAGTATTAGCTGGGCGTGGTGGCATATGCTTGTAGTCCCAGCTACTCAGGAGGCTGAGGCACGAGAATCGCTTGAAGCTGGGAGGCCAAGGTTGTAGTGAGCCAAGATCATGCCACTGCACTCCAGCCTGGGTGACAGAGTGAGACTCTGTTTCAAAAAATAAAAAATAAAAAAAAGGAAGCAGAGTGGGAGACAAGAATATATGAGGTCTGTGGGCCCCTTCAAGCCTTCACGATCCTTTGGCATCCACTAATAATTTTTGATAAATCTAGAGTATAAAATATTCTTGGTGACTGGGTCCACTTGGCTTTCTGGACGCCTGACCAACACTGTGGGTGGCATAGTCCATAGACTGTAGGTTTGGTTCAGGACCTGCCCTCCACCTCAAGTCCAGACTCACCACTGGCAGGTCAGCATCTCAGGCCCTGGATCAGAACAAGGAGCATATTAGGAGTCCTGGCTCTGGAAGGTGAGGTCTGGGGCCAGTTGTGTTTCCCCAGTCCAGGTTTCTAAGTACCTGGGGCTCACTCCAGGCACCTAGGGGACCACCAAGCTGCAGTCAGAGCTTCTACAGAGTTGTGTGATACAGCAATCCCAGCCTTCCTCTAACTCTTGCTCTATCTGCCGTGACATACAACTAAGCTGCTTCTGCCTTGGTTACCTGATTTCACTGTCTTTTCAGTGGGCCTGAAGCCAGGCCCTGGTCTTCTTGCCTGACACCTTGGAGAACTGCGGTTAGCATCTTCCAGAGGGCAGCCTGGGATCCTGCACTCAAGCCATAATTCTGCCACTTAGCCTGACTGTGAGTACCACCCTTGCCTGGAGTCTCACACTGCAGCCTCCCTCCTGCATGTGAGGCCACGTGGGTAAGGTTGCTGTCTTAGAGGTTCCCCCACCGTGCAGCCTGGGTCTATTGCATTCTAGATCCTCTGCTTACCTACAAGGTTGGTGAACCTTGTAATCCAGTCTACCTTAGCACATACATTTCTTCCAGACTAGAATACTTATATCTTACTTGTCCAAAGACTCAACGCAGGGTTCTGAACTGAGACAAGAACTTGGGCAGGGTCCTAAGATGGAGACGCCATCAATCTTTTGGGGTTGTGCTTTTAATTCCATAAGGTGTGACCTTTTACCTAACCAGGCCGGCCTGAGGACCCTTGGGTTAACCCACACTCACCAGGAAAGAGCCAACTCCATCACTCATGGATTCAGCAGACCGGCCTGCACTCTCTCCACCACGCTGTGGGTACTCGTAGGTCTCACAGGAAGAAGCTGACAGAGGAAGGAGGATTCATAAGTACTCATGGTTGATTCATGTGTTGACACTTACCCATACCCTCACCAGTGTGGTTCAAGGTCTTACTGATACTCCAGAAGATACTACTCTCAACCCCAAATGATAAGGAATTTCTTCGAACACATCACTCCTCAGTTCAAAAATTCCTCCTGGGCTTCTAGATGTAGCTCCAGTGTTAGCATCTGCAGAGAAGCTGTCCTTGACTACTCTACCCTCATCTATGCACCTCTCCTTTGACTCCTACACCACTCACCTGTCCTGCTCACCCCAGCCATCACTTCTCTGAACACCACAGTAACAATACTTGTCCTGATTTATATGTGTTGGTTTTATTTTCCCAATGAGATGTAAGCTCTGAAGGGCAGGAACATGTTTTATGTATGTCTTTATCATCTCAGTTCCAAAACGGAGTATGACTGCTCAAATTGTCGATGGATTGAAAGACGGCAAAGAGGTCTAAACTAGGAGCTGGGACTCTAGGGTCTGAGTCTCATCTCTGGCACAATGACTCTGCAACTCTATTTAAGTCTCTTAACTGTCATTGGCCTCATGTGAGATGGAGACAAGGAGGTTTTGTCCCACCAACCTCTCTGCCTGGCTTAAACAACAGGATGGACAAGAAAAGGCTTTGCAAACCATAAAGCAAGATGCAAAATGAAAGGAATTAATATTGTTCTATTTTTTCATCATACAGAGGAGGTTACATGCAGAGTTGGAATACTCTCAGTGGAAAACAAGTAACAATAGAATTTAGGTACTTCAAATAAAAGTTTTGACTTCAACCAAAGAGATTCAAGTATGATTTAGAAAATATTAAGACCTCGTTTTGCTTTAGCAGTCTGTTAGTCCACACAGGTTTCACTCCAGTTTGGACTGATCTTCTGAATTTATTTTTTAAATCTTTGATTTGATTTACAAATGAATAAAATACAATGATTTGGGCTTCTAAACCCATAATATGTTATACTGTGGTTAATCAAGAATGTCCTATTCTCCATTAGTAGAACATTAACTTCTCTGGGGCTAGCTCTGTTAGACAACTACTACTAACAGCCTCCAGTGCTGGAGGACCAACTGGTAAGGGATCTGGGTAGAAGACACCTATGTTTTTGAGTATCAGTGACCTAGGTGGTTCGTAAGTTCCCCTCGGCCATGGATGACCAAGGACCATCAAACTATTGAGAACCCCTGTGTTACCTCCTCCTCCCTCTGAGTCTCAGCTAGGACTTATACTGACCTCGGTGAAGTCGGCTGTTGTCCATTGCAGGGAGGGTGTTGCGTCTGGGGATGGTGGCAGCGACAGATCTGCTATTTTCACTGATTGGCGGTCTCTGCTGAGGACTGCCCCATCGAGGTGTTTCTGCCTGACTTGGCTTGGGGGGGCGGGGTGGGGGAGCTATGGCTGAGTCCCCAGGAGTGGCCACTGTCATGGCATTGTGGTTTTTGTCCAGAGTGAATGTCCTAGGGATCTGGTAGGCTGAGAGTGGGGTGGCCGGAACATCCATATTGTCTACCAGGAGGTCCCCGAACTCCCTGCACAGGGTGTTGCTGGGCGTCTTGAAGGTGTACACATCCTCATTATCTGTCTCGGAGCCTGTGAGGCTGCCCTTGGTGTGGCCATGGGAGGCCAGGCTGCGGGGGAGGTCGTAGGTACTGTCTCTGAATTCTGTATTGTGCCGGCTCGGCTTGGGAAGGCTATAGAAGCCATGGACTTGACCACTGATCCCGTTGACACAGTGTCCATTGCCCTGGGCAAGTTTTTGTACAGCTGTGTCACTCCTCATGAGAAAAGAGGCTCTGGTGCCCTGAGAGAAGCTGGCACTCCTAAAAGAGAAAGAAGGGAAAGGGCAGGAGGGTGAGACAATTACTAGCTGTGTGACCTTGAGGCAAAGCACTTTCTCTTTCTATACTTTGGTTTAGGCATCTGTAAAATGGTGACTAAAAGCATATTTTGAAGGTTGTTCAGACTCTAGTATATGAATGTTTAAACAATGTTAGACTTCATCCGTCCCCCATCTCCAAATGGCAGTTAATAGCAGGGGTTATAACCCCCACTCCCTGAACAAGTATCAATAAGCCAGATGGATTGCCTATTTGTTCACTGTTTTAAGTACCGCAGAATATGCACATTCGAACACAAATGTTGTGAGACAGTGGAAAGAACCTTTAAGTTGATGACAGGAAACAGCAAACAAGTCATTTTACCTCTCTGAGTCTATTCTGCCACTGTGAAACTAGCCCATGGGTATTGATGTTGTAAGTTGAAAAGAATTATTTGGGTCAGGTGCAGTGTGCAGTGGCTCATGACTGTAATCCCTGCACTTTGGGAGGCTGAGGTGGGAGGTTCACTTGAGGCCAGGAGTTCAAGACCAGCCTGGGAACACAATAAGACTCCATTGCCACCAAAAAAAAAAAAAAAAGAACTAGCTGGGCAGGGTGCTGCACACCTGTAGTCCTAGCTTCTGGTGAGGCTAAGGGAGGAGGATCGCTTGAACCCAGAAGTTCGAAGTTAGAGTGAGCTATGATCGCACCACTGCATTCCAGTCTAGTAAACAGAATGAGACCCTGTTTCAAAAAAACACACGCCCCAACACAAACAAACAACAAACTATTCAAACGTAAGCTCTAGATTTATTTTCTACCATGATTTATGGTTGGTTAAGAGGCATTTTGAGGGGAAAGATCTCTTTCCAGAGACCTAGAAATCTATATGAAGAATGGTTTCCTGTTTGGGAACTATATATAGAAAAAGTTTTGATTAGTACATTTTTAAATTTAGGTTTTGGGCAATAAGGCAAGCAGTAAAAAGAGAAGAGAAACAAGAGGGGAGACTTGTGTTAGGTTCCAGTACTGCTACTGATACGTGCTGTGTGTATCACCAAGCCTCCTCTCTCAGGTGGGACCTAGTACGTCACAATGATTTCTAAGGGCCCATCTGGCCCCGATGCTCTACAAGCCCTTCGTTTCACAAGAGTGGTTTTCAAACTAGATTCCAGGTTCTCTGTAAGTGCTTTGGGAAATTGGAGGGTGAGGTTCTGAGCAAGCAGGGATTTAGGTCTGCTTCTTTAGCTTGTGTATGATTCTTCATAGGATTTCACTTGGGGAAAAAAAGAATCAATCCTTTGTAGCAGGGATTCTAAGCCTTTTGGAGGCTATAGGAGTTTTTAAGATTCTGGTCAAAAGCTCTTGGAGTGTCTCATCAGAAAAGGCAAATCTCGTATACATATAAACTTGTTGGGGCTGTAATACATAATAGCCCTCTGAGGCCAATCCCTGGACCTTTTGCCTTATAGAAGCTCTCTCAGCTCCTGAGGAGTTTGTTATTTACAGATGTGGCCACCAGATGGTGTTAGAAAATAGGGGCCAGAGCTTAGAAAGAGGAAACAGGTGTGTAAAGCCAGGCTTCCTCTCATGTAAACTGTACCCACCATGATGGCTAGGAATTCCAGGTCAGTCTCCAAACCTTCACTGATGCTCCTCCTTGGGCCTCTGCACTCCTCCTCCCTTTCTGTTCCATTCCAGACACATAACCAAGCCAACAGCCATGGGCTTGGATGATTGAACATCTAGGCTTTAGATAATGTAGTGCTTAGGGAAGAGGACGGGGGTGGCGGGGGGAGCGAATGGTAGACATAAGGTGTTAATGTTGTATGCATTTTTTTGGTGCCTTTCATTTTGCTTTTTTTGGAATTTCCAACTCTCTGTTGGATGCTCCCATCTGGATTTGTTCATTTTACATTTACTGATGTCCTAATTTCCATCTGGGCCAGGCAAAAGGGATACAGAGATGCCACCTGCCCAGTGAGGGGTGGTCTGGGAATGTCACAGTAGGGCAGGAGATGACATGGATGCAAATCATTACAGTCAAGTAGGGGTGAGTATGTAGCTGCTGACAGTTGGTATCAGCCCTTGCTGGGGGTGGTGGTAGACAATGTCAGGGAAGCCTCCTTCAGAGATGTTTTATCTTGAGTGAGTCTGGAAGGATGAGCCACAACTGGCCAGGCAGAAGGCAGGAGAAGGGAAATGGTGTTCTAGTTGAAGGCTCAAAGATGTAGAACACAACCTGGCAAGTTCTAGAAACTCGAAGCTGCTCAGGCTGCAGCAAGCACATTAGAAGGCAGGGCTGAGAGAAGACACTGGAGGCCAGGCCAGGACTAAAGGGAACGGGGAGCCTCTGAAGGATTTCAAGGTGGGGATGGGGTTGCAAGAGCATCACAGGCACCCTGCAATAACCTTCAACATACTCAAGAATGAACTCATCATCTTCCTCTGGAACTCTTCTCCTCCTGCCTCTCTTATTTTGGGAATGGCAACAGTTACTCAAGCCAGAAACCTGGGAGTCACCCACATTATGATTTCTGCCCAGGGCCTCTCTGATCCTTCCATCCTACTAATATTTACTTTCCTAACTTCCCAGTGTAAACATTTTCAACACCGCCTCAATGCTTCAGGATTAAGCCCAAACTCCTAGGTTTATCCCAACTCATCTCACCAATCTTTTCTCTTTAGTTCCCTTTTCCACTCTAGGATCCAAACCAAACTTTGCAGTGTTCCCTGTGTGCCCCAGTTAGTCAAGCATTGGGCTTTGCTGCATTGTTGGGCTGTGTCTGGAAGGCTTCTTACCTCAATCTGGCAAGTTCCTACTCCATTTATCCTTCAAACTCATCTCAGAAGACACATTTTTTAAGGCCATTCTTACATCCTCTACCTCTAAGCATTGCTTAACTTAATCACTTGCTTAACTTTGTTCTTGGAGCAGGTAGCAAGTGTTACCTATATTAGGCACCATTACTACTTATCTCTGCCAACAGACTGTGATTTCCTTGAGGAAAGAAACTGTGTCTTACTCATTTTTCTCTCCTTAGCACCTAGGTTAATGCTTGTTGCATTATAAATAATGAATAAACGTTTGTTGTAAGTAAGCAAATGAATAAACAAACGTATGTTGCTGCTATCCCTTTTCCTGGGCTTGGCCCAAACCTTCTGATCAGCAGATCAAAGCCCTTCCTCTGTAGAACCCACTAGCTTACGTTCCAACTTCCCTCTACCCCGGCATCCTCCTGTCTCGCTCACAGAACTACTCACTCATCCCTAAACATGTCCTGTGTAGTCTAAACTTCAGCCCTGGTCTTGCATTACTCACCTCCCTGTGGAACGCTTCCTTGATACATCAACACCTTACACAAAGTCCACAAGAAGCCTTTTCACTCTACAAAGGTATTACAGGTCCCTAATTCTCCTTTTTATGGTAATCATTCCTTCCTCTGTGCTACCACAGCACTCTGTGCTTCCATCGCAACACTCACCTTATTCTGCCTTATGTCAGTTATTCAGGTCTGTGTCTTTCCACTTCTACCAGACCATGTGCTCCTAGAAGGCAGAGGGCCATATCCTGTACCCTGGCATAGTGCCAGGCATATGATAGATAATAGTGACACATGTTGAGGGAGACTGATTATCACCTCAGTAACCAAGTAAGAGGAGTTGAACAAGGGACTCTTGCCCAAAGTTACATACTCAGAGGGCAGGGAATTTGTTCTAGCAGCCAGGTCTCTGGGTGCCCCCACTGCGCAAACCATGCTAAAATGTGGTCCCTTTGGGCAATAATCTAGATGGGGAATTCCAAATACTCAGCAGTCTTATGGCCTTTAGTATTTTCATGTAAACCTTAACTGAGGCCTGTGTCACTGTGATGACCTGAGTTGCTTTTGTGGGATGGATAATCCACCTGGAAGTGGTGGATTTGGAGAGAGGCTTCTCTTCCAGGGCTGGGCTTACAGAAGCCTTATAAAATAGGCAAGATACTATGCCATACATATCACATGTGATCTCATTTTAAATCCTCCTAATAGTTCTGAGACACACCTCTTACTTTCACATTATCAGATGAGGAAAACAGTAAATGGCAGAGTTGGAGCAGGAAGATACTCAAACACAAGCACGTATGGGAGCTCCCCAGAATCAAAAAGAAGTTTGAGAGAAGATATTCCCTCAAGCCAGCAGTGCCAAGTGCCTTCCCTTTCCATTCCTGGCCAATGGCTCTTCCAGAGGCTATAGAGGCTATTGCCACCATACAGTCTCTCCCTTGGTGCGCGCGCGCGCGTGTGTGGTGTGTGTGTGTGTGTGTGTGTGTGTGTGTGTGTCGGAGTCTCATTCTGTCTCCCAGGCTGGAGTGCAGTGATGCAATCTTGGCTCACTGCAACCTCCGCCTCCTGGGTTCAAAGCGATTCTCCTGCCTCAGCACCCTGAGTAGCTGTGATTACAGGAGCGTACCACTGCACCTGGCTAATTTTTGTATATTTAGTAGAGACGGGGTTTCATCATATCGGCCATGCTGGTCTCGAACTCCTGACCTCGTGGTCTGCCCGCCTCAGCCTCCCAAAGTGCTGGGATTACAGGCGTGAGCCACTGTGCCCGGCCTTCCCTTGGCTTTTAAAAATGGTTTTCTAGTTTTTCTAGCCACTTCATTTTGTACTTGTTCTTCCACACATTTTCATATAATTTTATATACCATACTATATGATGATTTTGCTTTTTTCTATCCCACTGGACTCCAAGAACCCTAATGATGAAGGACTCACTTTGATTTTCAATGAGTATGTTCCCATTTAAGGGTGACTTAATATAAAATGCTTGTAAGTAGATTAAACACCATTTAGAGTTCTGTAACTGTCACTGGCCATGTTTAAGAGGTCATTTGAACTATCCTCTTGCATTTGACCCATTCCAAATGGATCCTTCCTGTGAAAGAAGAAAACTCTGTGTCACAAATCTTTATGAGATGAGGCAATCTTTGTATCTCAAACCCTTCTGGCTGCAGTTCTGAGCCAATTTTGGCAGGACTCTGGTTACAGAGCAAAGCTGTATATGTGAAACTAAAAGTTGTATATTTTGCCTTTGGTCAGTCAATCAAAGCCTCTGGTGAATGAGTCAGGGAAGACTTAGAAAAGATTAATGATGGGTAAGCTCTCCACTGACATTTCTAATTTTACCATTTACCCACCATCTTTCTATAGACTACTGCTGCAGGGTCAGTGATTCTGGAATCTCACCAATGAAATTTCACTCCTAGTAACCCTCACCAGAATTATGGCTTTTCAGGGCATGTGACTCACATCAATGTATCATCTGTTACAGGTTTAACAGCCTTCTTGAAATAAGAAGACAGACACTGGCTAGAATCTGGAATGAGGCCCCAAAGGCTGGAGGACAAAAATAAGTCCAGTGAAACCAACTTGTCTTCAAAGAGAAAAAGAACTCTATTTGTCTTGACTCTGCCAGTTCAAAACTCTTTCCGTTGGCAATAGATATTATTCTGAATAGTTACTTATTTTAGCTCAGTGGAAGACCTGCATTTTGAGAAATGAAGTTATTTTAGCAAGAATACATATTATCTAGTACTTGAAGGAAGACTAGTGGCTATTATTGCAGTAAAAGTGATGATAAATACATAATTCACAGTTTTATTTCTAAGGTGCTTAATTTACTGTATCTTTACAATCAGGTTCCCACATAAATGAAAAAAGAGATAGATAGAAGGCTGGTATTAGTAGCCTCAGTAATCCAATCAGACACAGTTATGTCTAGTCTATGCGAGGCAGGATGAATGGGCTGATTCACTTTATACCCCCTACTCAAAAATAATCTTACAGGATTACTTTGGAGATCATATGAGGTACCTAATGTAAAAGTGCTTTGTAAACTTTAAAGCATCATTTCTTTCTTCCAGAGCACCTAGTATATAATGTGAATGTTAGAGGAAACACAGGATTAAAGTCTATTCATATACTTACCAATACCTGGCACTGTTAAGTTTTTTTTTTTTTTTTGGTGACAAGGTCTGGCTCTATTGCCCAGGCTGGAATGCAGTGACGTGATCTCAGCTCACTGCAACCTCCGCCTCCTGGGCTCAAGCCATCCTCCCACCTCAGTCTTCTGAGTAGCTGGGGCTACAGGCATGTGCCACCATGCCTGGCTAATTGTTTTTGGTAGAGATGGGGTGTCGCCATGTTGCCCGGGCTGGTCTCAAACTTGTGAGCTGAAGCAATCCGCCTGTCTTGGTCTCCCAAAGTGCTGGGATTATAGGCATGAGCCACTGCGTCTGGCCTGTTAGCCATTTTTATTTTAGCCCTTCCAGCAGAGGTAAAGCAGAATCTCACTGAGATTTTAATTTGCATTTCCCAGATCACTGATCATCTATTCATGTGGTTACTGGACATTCCTATATCTTTTTTTGTTGAAGAATCTATTCACATTTTTTGCCCATTAAAAAAATATTGGATTGCTCTCTTCTTACTGAGTTGTAGAAGTTCTTTATATGGACCACAAACAAATCCTTTGTTAGATATGCGCGTTGAATATTTTCTCGCATTTTGTGATTTGTCTTTTTTTTTGAGATGGAGTCTTGCTCACTCTGTCGCCCAAGCTAGAGTGCAGTGGTGCCATCTTGGCTCACTGCAACCTCCACCTCCTGGGTTCAAGCGATTCTCCAGCCTCAGCCTCGCCAGTAGCTGGCACTATAGATGAGCACATCCACGCCTGTCTAATTTTTGTATTTTTAGCAGAGGTTTAGCATGGGGCTTCACCATATTGGCCAGGCTGGTCTCGAACTCCTGGCCTCAAGTTATCTGCCTGCTGCCTCCCAAAGTGCTGAGATTACAGGCGTGGGCCACCACGCCCAGCCCATTTTCTTTTCTTAAAGAGGCCTCTTGAAGAACTAGTTTTAATTTTGATAAAGACTACTTCACCAAAAACTACAGTTTTTTCTCTTTTATGATTCTTGCTTTTTCTGTCCTATATAAAAATCTTTGCTTACCTCAAGATCATGGAGATGTTTTCTTCTAGAAGTTTCTTTTCTTTTCTTTTTATTTAAATACAGGGTCTTATTCTGTCGCCCAGGCTGGAGTGCAATGGAATGATCTTGGCTCACTGCAGTCTTGACCTCCCCCAGGCTCAAGTGATCCTCCCACCACAGCCTGCTGAGTAGCTGGGAATGCAAGCACATGTGACCGTGCCTGGCTACTTTTTGTATTTTCTGTAGAGACTGGGTTTTGCCATGTTATCCAGGCTGGTTTTCAACTCCTGAGCTCAAGCAATCTGCCCTTCTTAGTCTTCCAAAGTGCTGGGATTACAGGCGTGAACTACTGCGCCCAGCCTAGAAGTTTCGTAGTATTAGATTTTACATTTATGTCTCTGATACATTTTAATTTTTGGGTGAGTGGTGTGATATGAAGGGTTGCTGTTCTTTTTTTATTATTCCTATATGAATGTCAAGCTGTTTCAGCATCATTTGCAGAACAGGTTTTTCCTTTCTCCATTGGCATCTATATATTTATATACTTTTAATAATTATATATATTTATATATTTAAACTATTTTTATTTATATATGCATTTAAAATATTTATATACATATATGTATTTATATATATTTCTCTCCTGGACTTGCTAATTCTTCTAGTGATCTACAGGTTTTTGTCCTTTCACCAATACAACATTATCTTGATTACCATAGTTTGACAGGAATTCTTGAAATCAAGTAATATAAATCCTGACTTTATTGTTGTTCTTTTAAAAATTTCTTTGGTTGCTTGGCCAACATGGTGAAACCCCACCTCTACTAAAAATACAAAAATTAGCCAAGCATGGTGGCACGCGCCTGTAATCCCAGCTACTCAGGAGGCTGAGGCAGGAGAATTGCTTGAACCCAGGAGGCGAAGGTTGCAATGAGCTGAGATCATGCCACTGCATTCCAGCCCGGGAGACAGAGCGACAGACTTTCTCCTCCCGGGCCACCGGGAGGGGCTGCCATGAAGGTCTCTGATGTGGCCTGGAGACATTTTCCCCATGGTCTTGGAGATTAACATTAGGCTCCTTGCTACTTATGCAAATTTCTACAGCCGGTTTGATTTTCTCCCCAGAAAATGGGTTTTTCTTTTCTTTTTGAGACAGAGTCTCACTCTGTCGCCCAGGCTGGAGTGCAGTGGCACGATCTCGGCTCACTGCAAGCTCCGCCTCCCGGGTTCACGCCATTCTCCTGCCTCAGTCTCCCGAGTAGCTGGGACTAAAGGCGCCCGTCACCATGCCGGGCTAATTTTTTGTATTTTGAGTAGAGATGGGGTTTCACCGTGTTAGCCAGGATGGTCTCGATCTCCTGACCTTGAGATCCGCCCACCTCAGCCTCCCAAAGTGCTTGGATTACAGGCTTGAGCCACTGCGCCCGGCTGGGTGTTTCTTTTCTATCACATCGTCAGGTGGCAAATTTTCCGAACATTTATGCTCTGCTTTCCCTTATAAAATTGAATGCCTTTAACGATACCCAAGTCACCTCTTGAATGCTTTGCTGCTTAGAAATTTCTTCCGCCAGATACCCTAAATCATCTCTCTCAAGTTCAAAGTTCCACAAATCTCTAGGGCAGGGGCAAAATGCCACCAGTCTCTGCTAAAACAACAAGAGTCACCTTTGCTCCAGTTGCCAACAAGTTCCTCATCTCCATCTGAGACCACCTTAGCCTGGACCTTATTGTCCATATCGCTATCAGGCTTTTGGTCACAGCCATTCCACAAGTCTCTAGGAAGTTCCAGACTTTCCCACATTTTCCTGTCTTCTTCTGAGCCCTCCAAACTGTTCCAACCTCTGCCTGTTACCCAGTTCCAAAGTCGCTTCCACATTTTTGGTATCTTTTCAGCAACGCCCCACTCTACTGGTACCAATTAACTGTATTAGTCCATTTTCATGCTGCTGATAAAGACATACCCGAGACTGGGATTTTTATTTGGATTGTGTTGAATCTACAGAACAATTTGAGAAAAACTGCCATCTAAATAATAATAGGTCTTCTAGTTCATAACTACTGTACATCACTCTCCATATTTAGGTCTTTAATTTCTACCAGCAACATTTGATAGTTTTCAGTGAAGAGGTGTTGCATGTTTGTTGTTAAATTTATTCCCAAGTATTCCACGTTTTCTGGTACCATTCGATATATAATTAAAATTTTTTCATTTTCCAATTGTTCACTGCATACTGTAAAACTTATTTTTTGCATAAAAACCTTTTTATCTTGTGACCTTGCTAAACTCACTTAAAAATTTTTTTGTTGTTAAAATACACAGGGTTTCGCCATGTTGCTCAGGCTGGTCTCGAACTCTTGAGCTCCAGGTATCCACCTGCCTCAGCATCCTAAAGTGCTGGGATTACAGGCATGAACCACCACACCAGGACTCTTATTTATTTTTCTTCCTCCATGGAACTGATGAGAATCTCCAGTACAATGTTAAATAGAAGTGGTAAGAACAGGTACTTTCTCCTTGTTTTCAATCTTAGGGCATTATGTTCAATATTTCTCCATTAGGTATGATCTTAGCTATAGGGTTCCTTAGAAGTCCTTTATCAGTTTAAAGAAGTTCTCCTCAATTCATAGTTTGCTAAGAAATACTTTTTTTTCAATGAAGTACTGAGTTGTCAAATGCTTCCTCTGCATCTATTGAGGTTATGATTATATTATTTTTCTCCTTCATTCTCTTAATGTAATGAATTACTTTGATTGTTTTTTTTTTGAAGTCAAACCAACCTTACACTCCTGGGATAAACACTACTTTGTCATGATGTCTTACCCCTAATGTATACACACATGCATATTCCCTAAAATATATATATTGTCCCAAACAGACACATATAGATATACACACATACGTATTTAGTTGGATTCGACTGCTAATCCTTTGTTTTTAAAGAGGATTTCTGTTTATTATTCATGGGGGATATTCTCTGTAATTTTATTTCCTGTCATCTTTGCCAGATTTTGATAGTAGGGTTATGCTGGTCTCATAAAATGAGCTGTGAAAGAATCCCCTCCTCCTATGTTTTCTGAAAGACTGTGGGTAAGATTGGTGTTATCTTTGAATGCTTGGTAGAATTTACCAGTAAAACCATCTGGGCATAGTTTTCTAGGTATTTGTCCAAGAGAAATAAAAACAAATGTTTCTACAAAGATTTGCTCATTACTGTTTAAGTACAAATGGGTCTTAATGTGTAACAGCCAAAACTGGAAACAATCTAAATGCTTATCATCATGTGAATGGAAAAGTGAATTGTGATATAAAGATACACTGTACTACTGAGGAATAAAAAGGAACAAACTAATGACACATGGAAAAACATGGATGAATCCCAAAAGCATTATGCAGAATGAAAGAAGTCAGGAAAACTAGTACTTACAATATGATTCCATCTATGTAAATTTATGGAAAATGCAAATCAATCTGTAGTGGCAGAAAGGCTGTTACTGGTTCTCTAGGAATGAGGTAAGGGAAGGATGGATTACAAGGGGGCATGAGGAAATGTTATATAAATGCCACTGACTGTACTTCAATTTCTTCCTAAAAACTTGTGGGGAAAAAAAAGGGTGGGGAAATGTAGAAATGAAAAATCAGTTTAAAAAATCATCTTAACTGAGCAGAGAGAAAAGGATTGGAAAAAAAAGATAATGTAAGTGATTGTTGGGTCAGTATCAAGTGGTCTAGTGTATAAGTAACTGAAGTCTCAGAAGGAATGCCCATCAGTGATAGACTGGATCAAGAAAATGTGGTACCTATATACCATGGAATACTATGCAGCCATAAAAAGGAAAGAGATCATGTCCTTTGCAGGGACATGGATGGAGCTGGAAGCTGTTATCCTCAGCAAACTAATGCAGGAACAGAAAACCAAGCACTACATGTTCTCACTTATAAGTGGGAGCTGAACAATGAGAACACATGGACACCTGGGGGTGGGTGTATAATACACATTGTGACCTGTTAGGTGGGCAGAGGGAGGGAGAACATCGAGAAGAATAGCTAATGCATGTTGGGCTTAATATCTAGGTGATGGGTTGATCTGTGCAGTAAACTACCATGGCACATGTTTACCTATGTAACAAACCTGCACATCCTTCACATGCACCCTGCAACTTAAAATAAAAGTTGAGGGAAGAAACAAAAAAAAAAAAAAAAAAAAGAAAATGTGGCAGAAAAAGATTTGAAGAGGCCAGGTGTGGTGGCTCATTCCAGCACTTTGGGAAGCTAATGTGGGAGGATTGCTCGAGACAACATAGCGAGACCATATCTCTACAAAAAATTAATCAAGTATGGTGGCATATGCCTGTAGTCTCAGCTACTTGGGAGGCTGAGGGCAGGAGGATCTTGAGCCCAGGAGTTTGAGGCTGCAGTGAGCTATGTACTCCAGCCTAGGTGCCAGACTGAGACCCTGTCTCTTAAAAAAAAAAAAAAGTCGAAGAAATATTGGTAGAAAGTTTGCTAAACTAGATTAAAAAAAAAAAAGCAACACATAGAACTGGAAAACTAAGTCAACCCACAAGAACAAAGTTCTTGGACCTTTACCTTAAAACAGATAAAAAAACTAACTCAAAATGGATCAAAGACCTAAATGTAAGAGCTACAACTATAAACCTCTTAGAAGAAAACATAGAAGAAAAGCTTCATAACATTGGATTTGACAGTGATTTCCTGAATATGACACCAAAAGCACAGGCAACAAAAGTAAAAATGCAGAAATTGAACATCAGAATTAAAATATCTGTGTTTCAAAGAACATATCAGCAGAGTAAAAAACCAATCTATGGGAGAAACATTTGCAAGTCATGTATCTGCTAAGGGTTTAATATAGGTAAACTCCAACAGCTCAACAACAACAACAAAAATCAAACAACCTGACTGAAAAATGGACAAAAGACTTGAAATAGATATTTCTCCAAAGAAGATATACAAATGGCCAACGCACGCATGAAAAGTTGCTCAACACCACTAATCATTAGGGAAATACAAATCAAAAGCACAATGAGATACCACATTGCACCCATTTCTATTAAGAAAAAAAAAAAAGGAAGTAATGCTAGCAAAATGGCCAAGAAGAAACCCCTACTGCTTGTCCCCCTCACAAAGACAGGCAGAACAATGAATAAACAACTACATTTTAAATTTTAATTTAATTTAATTTTATGTATTTTTTTGAGATAGAGTCTTGCTCTGTTGCCCAGGCTGGAGTACAATGGCGTGATCTAAGTTCACTGCAACCTCCACCTCCTGGGTTCAAGCGATTCTCCTGCCTCAGCCTCCCGAGTAGCTGGGATTACAGGCGCATGTCACCACACCCTGCTAATTTTTGTATTTTTAGTAGAGACAGGGTTTTACCATGTTGGTCAGGCTGGTCTTGAACTCCTGACCTCGTGATCCACCTGCCTCGGCCTCCCAAATTACTGGGATTACAGGCGTGAGCCACCACACCTGGCCTCCTGAACAATTACATTTTAGCAAAAATAACGGAGGGAGAGTCCCAGAATGCATGAGAGGAGTAACAGAAACTCGATGAACCAGAAACTTGGGATGGTCACACAGAGAACAGAAGGAAACACACTAGGCCTTCACCACTCCATGCAAGATCAGTTTGGAACAAGGACGAAGTTCTTTTGGTGAGAAGGTAGGCAAGAGGATCATGGCAACTGCCATCAACACCTTGGACATCTCAGGCCTCACCACTGGAGTCCCCTGAAGTCCTCATAGGCACTAAGCCCAGTGAAGGAAGTTGCCTAGGGTCCACATAGCTGTGTTCCGTGTGGCTACTGTGCTATGCCATCTTGGAATTGGAACTATGGCTGGAGTGTGTCTTGCTCCAGAGGTGAGTAGCCATGGCTCCCTTTCATTCCTGAGGCTAAGCTGTGGCTGAGCCATTGCTAGCCCAGTGGCCCAACATTCCAAAGCTGAGCTGTGAGCAGCTGTTACACCCTTCCCAGGGGGGTCAAGCAGAAGTAAAGCTAATCCACCTGCCCCTCTCCCCACTCCCTTGGGCCAGAGCTGAAGCAGTATGCTCTCTTCAAGGAAAACAGTATCTTGGCTGCTCAGAACAGTCATGCCTCCACAGTGCCTAAGCTGAAGCCAGTGGCTGCATCCTAGGAAACGGTGCACTGACTCCCCAGAATGAGGTACCCCAGTAGCTAAAATAATATGGTTCCCTGCATTCCAGGGAAAGGATGCCTGGGCTACTCAGAACAGTCACACCCTCCTGGGCCTGAGCTGAAGTAGCACACTGTCCCCTGGGGAATGGGTGCCCTAGCTGAGCTGAGAGGGGGTGCATTCCAAGGCTGAGCTGATACAGGACCCTGTGTTTCAGGGAAAAAGAGCAGTGTCTGAGCTGAGACACCCTGCCCTACAGGCCAAACAACTCTAGTGCCTTGCTTTCCTGGAGCTGCACTAGCCCCCTAGAGTCTGAGCTGTTGAGATACGCCTCTCCCTGGGGAGTAGAGTCATTGCTCTGCTGTTCCCTGCCCCTCTGTAGCCCAAAACACAGCTATACTCTGCCATTCCCGGGTATTTGCTAAGCCTAAAGAGGGACCATGTAGAGTCACTGCTACATGGTGTATCAATCCCTGGGACCCAAGTTGCCATTGAGCCTTATTGACTCAGGTTCCCAAATTCTAGTTGTATCCTCCTCCCTGAAACCAAACCTCCAGAACATCCCTTCTTGCCCAGGGTGAGGCCAGTGCTGTGCTCTGCCTACCAGGGGTAGAATCACAGCTGGCCCCTGACCTGAGCTGATAGAGGGTTCAACAGAGTCATATCATAGATCCTGGCCCGGAGGGCAGTCCACATCCAACCATGCTACGGAGAGTGAACCTGCACCCCAAGACCCAGCTGCCACAATAGGTTCATGAGACTCTGAGCTTAGAAACCCAACGCCACATAAGCTCCAAGCACCAGTACCTAGAACCCAGCACTGCTGCAGCTACTTGTAGGCCATGCCAGACCTGACACTAAGAGGGATCCCCCTGACTGAGTCTCCTCATTTGGGGAAAATGAGAAGAGAAAGACCCAAAAAGCCCTTTACGCTAAGGATATTAACAACCTATGCTACCACCGCTGCTGCACAAACTTCTATAGTCTAGGCCACTGAGGCACTCCCAGTTATTGTTGATGTTGAACATAGGCAAAGAAGCTGCATGGAGACTATACCATTGCACCTAAGTGGAAACACAGTCATCACATCCTTCTCAACTGGAACACTAAAACCCAACTGCAGGTGAAAGTCTTTCTCTAAGAAATCCACTCCAGAAAGTCTGGAAGAGGTGATCTTTCCACCAGAAGCATGGACACTTAACATGAGGACACAAGAAACACAAAAAAGGAAGGAAATATAACACCAAAAAAGCACCAAAGGAACTCTGGCTAGTAACTAGAGCCCAGTGAAAAGGAGATCAACAAATTACAGAAAGGGAATTCAAAATAATGACCTTAAGAAAACTCAATGAGGTACAAGAAAACACACACAATTCAAAGAAATTAGGAAAAAGAATTCACAATATGAACAAAAAAATTCAAAAAAGAGAAAGAAAAAAAAAAACCCAGAAATCTTGCAGCTGAAGAATTCAATGAATGAAATAAAAAACACAACAGAGAGCTTCAACAGCAAACTTGATCAATTAGAAGAAAGAATATCTGAACTTGAAGAAAGGTAGTTTGAAATTACCCAGCCAGAAGGAAAGGGGGAATACAAATGAAAAGAGTGAAGAAAACCTGCAAGACTTATGGAACACCATTAAGATCTACAGGGAGAGACAGACTCTAATATAATCATAGTTGGAGACTTCAACACCTCACTCTCAGCATGGACAGATCACCTAGACAGAAAATCAACAGGGAAACAATTAGATTTAAACTGCGCTTTAGATCAAATGGACCTAACAACACTTCATCCAACAGCTGCAGAGTATAATTCTTCTCATTAGCACATGTGACATTCTATAGGACAGACCTCATGTTAGGCCAAGAGATTTTAAAAGAATTGATATCACATCAAGCATCTTTTCTAACCACAATGGAATAAAACTAGAAATCAGTAACAAGAGGAAATTTCAAAATTGTACAAATACATGGAAAATTAAACAACATGCTCTTGAATGATTTAATGGGTCAATGAAAAAATTAAGAATGAAATTTAGAGCCGGGTGTGGTGGCTCATGCCTGTAATCCCAGCACTTTGAGAGGCCAAGGTGGGCGGATCACGAGGTCAGGAGATCGAGACCAACCTGGCTAACACGGTGAAACCCCATCTCTACTAAAAATACAAAAAATTAGCTGGGTGTGGTGGCGGGCACCTGTAGTCCCAGCTACACAGGAGGTTGAGGCAGGAGAATGGTGTGAACCTGGGAGGCAGAGCTTGCAGTGAGCCGAGATCATGCCACTGCACTCCAGCCTGGGCGACAGAGCGAGACTCCGTCTCAAAACAAAAAAAAAAGAAAAAGAATGAAATTTAGAAATGTCTGGAAACAAATGAAAATAGAAACACAACATACCAAAGCCTATGGAATACAGCAAAAGCAGTATTAATAGAGAAGTTTATGGCAATAAATGCTAATACCAAAAAAGTAGAAAATTTTCAAATAAACATCCTAATGATGCATCTCAAGGAAGCAGAAAAACAAGAACCAAACCCAAAATTAGTAAAAGGGGAAAAAAAAGATCAGAGCAGAAATAAAATTGAGACAAAATAAAACTGATCAACAAAATGAAGTTAATTTTTTCAAAGAATAAACAAAATCAAACCAGTAGCAAGACTGACCAAGAAAAAACGGGAAAAGATCCAAATAAATACAAAATCAGTCTGGGTGTGGTGGCTCATGCCTGTAATCCCAGCACTTTGGGAGGCTGAGGCGGACAGATCACTTGAGATCAGGAGTTCGAGACCAGCCTGGCCAACATGGTGAAACTCCGTCTCTACTAAAAATACAAATATTAGTGGGCATGGTGGCACACGCCTGTAATCCCAGCTACTCGGGTGGCTAAGGCATGAAAATCGCTGGAACCTGGGAGGCGGAGGTTGCAGTAAGCTGAGATCACACCACCGTACTCTCCAGTATGGGCGACAGAGTGAGACTCTGTCTAGAAAAAAAAAAAGAAAAAAAAAGGCTGGGCATGGTGGCTCATGCCTGTAATCTCAGCACTTTGGGAGGCAGAGGCAAGTGGACTGCTTGAGGTCAGGAGTTAGAGACCAACCTGGCCAACATGGCAAAACTTTGTCTCTACTAAAAATAGAAAAATTAGCCAGGAGTGGTGGTGGGCGCCTGTAGTCCCAGCTACCCGGGAGGCTGAGGCATGAGAATCACTTGAACCCAGGAGGTGGAGGTTGCAGTGAGCCAAAATCGCGCAGCTGCACACCAGCCTGGGTGACACAGCGAGACTCCGTCTCAAAATAGATAAAGGAATAAAATAAAAAAGAAAAAGGAGACATTGTAACTGACAGCATAGAAATGCAAAAAGGATCATTAAAGATGATTATGGACCAGGTGCAGTGGCTCATGCCTGTAATCCCAGCACTTTGGGAGGCCGAGGCGGGCAGATCACGAGGTCAGGGGATCGAGACCATCCTGGCTCACATGGTGAAACCCTGTCTCTACTAAAAATACAAAAAAAAAATTAGCTGGGCACAGTGGCACGTGCCTGTAGTCCCAGCTACTTGGGAGGCTGAGGCAGGAGAATCACTTGAACCCGGGAGGCGGAGGTTGTAGTGAGCTGAGATCGCGCCACTGCACTCCAGCCTGGAGGACAGAGCAAGACTCTGTCTCAGAAAAAGAAAAAAGAAAAAAGATGATTATGAACTATACACCAACAAATTAGAAATCCTAACAGAAATGGATAAATTCCTGGACAAACACAACTTACCAAGATTGAACCCAAAAGAAATAGAAAATCTGAACAGACTAATTATGAGTAATGAGATGGAATTTGCAAAAAAAAGTCTCCCATCAAAAGCAAAAACAAAAAAGGGCCCAGCTAAGACCTCAGAAGCACCATCAAAAACAAAAAATAGACAAATGGCTGGGTGTGCTGGCTCACATCTGTAATCCCAGCACTTTAGGAGGCCAAGATGGGCAGATTCAAGATGGGCAGATTCCTTGAGGTCAGGAGTTCAAGACCAGCCTGGCTAATGTGGTAAAATCCTGTCTCTATTAAAAATAGAAAAATTGGCCAGGCATGGTGGTACATGACTGTGGTTCCAGCTGCTCAAAAGGCTAAGCCAGGAGAGTCATTTGACCCTGGGAGGCAGAAGTTGCAGTGAGCCAAGATCGCACCATTGCACTCCAGCCTGTACGACAGAGGGAGATTCTGTCTCAAAAGAAAGAAAAAAAAAAGACAAATGGGACTATATTAAACTAAAAATCTTCTGCACAGCAAAGGGAAACAATCAACAGAGTAAAGAGACAACCTACTGAATGGGAGAAAGCCATTCTGCAAGCTATTCATCTGATGGAAGGTTGATATCCAGCATATACAAGGAACTCAAACAACTCAACAGCAAAAAAAAACAAATAATGGAGTTGAGGCAAATTAGCTGAAAATAGTTATCTTTCAAACGAAGACAGAAAAACAGCCAACATTCATAGTAAAAAAAAAAAAAAAAAAAAAAAGCTTGCCGTCTCACTAATCAGCAGGGAAATGCAAATCAAAACCACAATGAGATATTATCTCACCCCAGTTGGGATGGCTATTTTCCAGAAGAAAAATAACAGATGCCAGTGAGGATGTGGAGAAAAGGGAACTCTTACACACTGTTGGTGGGAATGTAAATTAGTACAGTCGTTATGGAAAACAGTATGAAAGTTCCTCAAAAAACTAACAATAGAACTACCTTATGATCCAGCAATCCCATTACTGGGTATATATCTGAAGGAAAGGAAATCAGTATGTTAAAGAGCTATTTGCACCCCTATGTTTATTGCATCATTAGTCACGATAGCCAAGATAATGGAATCAACCTAAGTGGTCATCAACAGATAAATGGATAAAGAAAATGTAGTATGAGTCCATGTATATGAGGCATCTAGAGAAGTCAGACTCACACAGACAGAAAGTAGAATGGTGGTTTTCAGGGCCTGAGGGAAGGGGAAATGGGGAGTTGTTGAATGGTTAGAATTTCAGTTTGGTAAGATGAAAAGATTTCTGGAGATTGATTATATAACAATATGAATGTACTTTACTGAACTGTGCACTTAAAAATGGTTAAGATGATATATTTATGCTATGTATTTACTACAATTTTTGAAAAGAAAAAATCATTCAGAGGAAGGAAAATACATATAGAATAATAAAAATTAAAATAACTGCTGATCTCTCATCAGAAACAATGAAGGTCAGAAGACTAGAATGGTATCCTTTAAATGCTGAAAGAAAACAGAACTGTCATTCTGGAATTCTATACCTAGCAAAATCTCTCTCAAAACTGAAGGTGAAATTAAGAAATTTCCAGATAAATGAAAGCTGGGAAAATTTCTCACCAGGCCACTCACATGGCAAGAAATGGCAAAGGGAGCTCTTCATACTAAAGAGTAAGAAAACCAGGTGAAAACCTCACTAGACATTGTTTGAGTTTTGCTTCTAACACTTATACATATTTTAAAGAAGTTAAAACGGAAAAATAATCTTTCACAGTTATGCAGGGATTTACTATTTCTGTTGCTCTTCCTTCATTCCTGAAAATTCAAGTTTCCTTCTAGTACCATCTTGCTTCAGCCTGAGGAAATTTCTTATCAGTTTTTAAAAGCAGATCTCTTGGAAATGCTCTTATTTTTCCTTTATCTGAGAACGTCTTAATTTTGTTTACATTCCCAAAGGATACTTTTGCCGAATATAAACTCCTTGGTTGGCAGAGGGTTTTTTTATTTTCTTTTTTTCTTTTTTTTTTTTGAGACGGAGTTTTGCTCTTCTCGCCCAGGCTGGAGTGCAATGGCGCAACCTCCGCCTCCAGGGTTCAAGCGATTCTCCTGCCTCAGCCTCCCAAGTAGCTGGGATTACAGGCGCCCACCACCATGCCTGGCTAATTTTTTTGTATTTTTAGTAGAGACGGGGTTTCACCATGTTGGCCAGGCTGGTCTCGAACTCCTGACCTCAGATGACTCACCTGCCTCGGGCTCCCAAAGTGCTGGGATTACAGGTGTGAGCCACAGTGTCCGGTGGCAGAGGGTTTTTTCTTTCCATTAGTTTCAAGTGTGTTTTCCTTTATTACATGGAATGTTGTTTTCACAGGAGCTTTGAAATCTGTGTCTGATAATTCCAACATCTGGGTTATTTTGAGGTTTGTACCTGTGACTTCCATTGAGAATGGGTTATATTTTTCTGGTTTTCAATATGCTGAGACATTTTGGATTACAGATCCTGAATGCTGTGAACATGATGTTGTGTAGATGCTGGGTTCTGTTATAATCCCATGGAGAAGTGCTATTTTTTTGTTTGTTTGTTTTGAGACAGGGTCTCACTCAGTTGCCCAGGCTGGAGTGCAGTGGCGTGATCTCGGCCCACTGCAACCTCCACCTCCTGGCTTCAAGCGATTCTCCTGCCTCAGCCACCTGAGTAGCTGGGATTACAGGGGCCCACTACCAAGCCCAGCTAATTTTTGTATTTTTAGTAGAGATGGGGTTTCACCATGTTGGCCAGTCTGATCTTCAACTCCTGACCTCAGGTGATCTGCCCACCTCAGCCTCCCAAAGTGCTAGAATTATAGGCGTGAGCCACCGCACCCGGCCGAGAAGTGATATTTTTATAGGAAATCAACCTGGTTAGGCTCAGACTGCAAGTTCTGTCTCTCCTCCTGTGTATGGTAGTTCAAATCTTCTTTCAGTTCACATAGGCTTTGTTGCACTCGATTCGGTTTGTCCCACACATGTGTAGCCCAAGGTGATCCTAAGACTCACATAGTTTCATTCCCAGAGTTAGAAGATCCCTTCTCCAGCTCTCTTCATTCTGGAATATACTAGCTCCTTCCAGCCCCAATGGGGCTCCTCTTCTGGTTCCCCTACTCAGAAAGATGGGGTTTTTTATGACATTTTAGCCATTTGCACTGTGCTACTTTGTGATGGGGCCCAACCTGGAGGCAAATGCATGAAAGACAAAAAGTTCATCTCTGTGTAGTCACTTCTACAAGTTCTTCTCCTCTTTACAATCTATCTCCTTTTATTTATTTTTCAGAGTCTTTGGGTATTGCACTTTGGATTTTGTCCAGAGTTTTTAGTTGTAATCAGTGGGAAGGAAAGCCTGTGGTGGCTTCCACCACCATAGTGGAACTGGAACTACCCAATTCTTTTTCGGTTTCTACATCCATCCTAAAATCCACCATCTCTTCACCTATTATATCCTTTACCCACAATAGATTAAAAAATTAACATAATTATTTTAAAGTCTTGTAGGCTGGGTCCAAAATATGGGTTTATTTTGATCTCTTTCTAGATACTGAGTTCTCTCAACTATGGGTTAATGTATACGGTTTCTTCATATGTCTGGCATTTTCTCATTGTATACTGAATATTCTCGACGATATATTATTGGAACATCATAGGAAAAGCCATGTAAACTGAATTTCACTTCTTTCAAGAGTCAGATCTCTTGCAGTTTCTGCCTTTTTTATTGCTCTTCAGGGCCTTAAAAAAGTTATTTTTTAATATTTTGTCCAGAGTTTATAATTATTACAGTAGGTTTAGCATGATGCGAGCAACTCCACTACTACAAGAAAATATATCGTCTTTCTGGATTTAAGAAAGCTTCCTTCCTACCCTCCCAACTTCCTTTGGAATTCTGCAAACATTATTTGAACTTATTTTCTCCAAAAGTCTCCCTGAGATCCTGCTCATTACCCTCTCATTCCCTCATCCACACAAGTGAAAACCATGACAGAGAAGAACATGACTTGGTCAAAGGCCTACAACAATGTGACTTCCTCAGCTGCGTAAAGTTCTATCTCTTCTACTAGCTTATCCCTCTACAACATGGATTTGTTCAAATTATTATGCACCTACTGTGAGCTCCATCATCAAATAATAGTAATGTATTAATATAAAAATCCATTCTACAAGGCAGAAAGTTCCAAATGTTGTGAGAGAGAGAGAGAGAATAAAAAACTGCTGTGGCAATTCAGAGAAAAAGTGAATTCCAGGTAGGAAGATTAATAGGGATTTCACAGAGGAGGTAGGGGTGCAGAGAGTGGGCCCTAAAGGCTAATTCAAGCAGAGATGTTTCTACGTTTGTTCTCTGATGCGTCAGCAGGATCACTGGAGTGGTGGTGGCGGCAATTGTTACTACTATATAAAGCCTTCTACTTAGTGTGAGCTGTAGACAATCTGTGCTGGTATCATCTGGAGTTTATTAGAAAGGACCCCAGGACCTAGGCCAGGCTTACTGAGTCAGAGTGAGCATTTCAGTAAGATCTTCAGGTATTTCATATGCATGTTAAAGTCTGCAAGGCACTACAGCTAAGTACTTTGCCTTTCACTACAACTATGATTTTAAGACCTCACCTTATCTGCTCCCAGGCAGTTGTCTATGTAGTAGAAGAGGATGGGGCATAGGAAGAACAGGTAAAATGTATTTACTCTCTACTACTATTTTATGTATGTTTTATCATTTTACACTCATTAGTAAGCCTTTGAATTAGTTATTCCCATTCTGAAGATAAGAATATTGAAGGTTAATTAGGTTAAATAATTGGCCCAAGATCACAAAGAAAGTAAAAGAACCTGAATTTGAACCCATATCCGACTGACTCCAAAGCCTGAACATGCTTTTCATTATACCACACTGCCTATCTCTGGTTAGTGATTCGGGAGAATCAGGTACTATTTACAGTTAACGCCACTAACTAGTTCAGTGACCTTGGCTAACTCACTCTATCTTTTTAGGACTCAGCTCTTCATGTATAAGTTGATGGAAGTTGAACTAGTGAAAGTTCACAAACAAATGAATCATGTTCTTCATGAAAATGGGTATCTGAGGCAGCCTTAAGATTAAGTGTTGGAGCCTCTTCTGTGTGACAGCAGATGACTCAGAAAAACAAAAGTAGGGTAGCATAGTGAAAAGAGTACAGGACCAGAAACAAGAAGACCTGGGTTCTAGCCCAACCTCTGCTATTTATTAGTCATGATTCTCAGTTCCTTCATCTTTAAAATGGAGATAAATTTTGTATACTGGCTATTTCTCAGTGTATTGATTGGTTCAAATGAGATTATGTATGAAAATATTCTCAAGGACAAAATCAAGTAATACATTAGTACAGCCATTTTTCTATTTGCCTTAATTGTCATAACATGAATTAGATCTTGTAAGTTAATTAAAATGTGATTTGTAATCTGCTGGCTATGGTAGCAACTGGGAATTAGCTCTGGCAAAGCCTATCAGCTCTGCACTTTTGCTTAGCCTAACAATGGGAATAAAACATAATAAATACATTTACAGGTTCTGCACCTGTGAAAGAGCTGATGATGTTAGAAAAACAAAAGACCATTATCCTAGAACAGGGAGTCCTTGCTCTAGAACTTCGTTATGATGGAAATTTTCTGTATCTGTGCTGTCTGGTACAGTAGCCCCTAGACATATGTGTCTACTGAGGACTTGAAATGTGGCTAGTACAACTAAGGAACTGAATTTTACATTTTATTTCATTTTAATTAATTTAAATTTATGTAGACATATGCAGGTAGTAGCTACTATACAGAACAGTGCAGTTCTAGAGCAAAAGCAAGGTATGGATTTGTTGAACTATGTTATGGTTTTATAGCTATACTTTTAAGCCCAAGTAAATTGACTGTTTTTTTTTGCAATTCGGAAACTGTGTCCCCTAATGCCTTCACCCCTGCCTCCAAATCAAACATTTTTTATAGCATGATTTTTGATAATGAAAAGTTTCTCTGGCACCCAGTTATCACTGTGTAGCAACACAGATGATGCCAATAAAATATGAAGGCTACAGAAGCAAAAAATTATGTTTTGTCATAGACGTGTTTGTCTACCTGAAACGATATAATGTTTTGCTTGTCTTTAAAAAAGCAAGGACTGAAAAGTACTAGGCCCTGTGAGCGGTCACTAACCCACCTAATGGCTGTGGCAGCCTCCTACCTTGCATTTTCTGCTCTTCGGCTTATGCACTGGTGCAAGTAGAGATACTCCTGAGGTGCGCTGGTGGACAAGGTGGGCTGCATGTGGTTTGACACAGGGGGTTCAAACGTGAACAGAGTTGGCTGGCTGGAGTGTGATGGGGCTGAGGACTTGCGCTCTCGGAGAAGGTGCTGGCTAGAGCTGCTGAGCTCAGCTGGAGAAGAGCGGGGGCCATGACCGGCTGAGGAAACATTTCTCAGGGAGTCTGAAAAGGAGAAATAGCTCTGTGAATGAAAAAGGAAGGAAATGTATCCTTATCCCAAAGTGAGTTGTCAGAGGAAGAAAAAAGAGTAAGAGCAGAGAAAATAATCCAGCACTAGCATTCTCTCCCTCTCATATACCTGCCCCTTGCTGCCCTCCTGGCCATCTTGGTTGAAGAAGAGGTCCTCTTTACCTTTGTATGGCTTCTGGGGTAGCCTGGAGGTGACTTCCTATCACAATGTAGGCCATATCTGCCCCACTTCCAGGAAGTACGGCTACCTGTGGTCTAGGAGTGTGACCCTGACCCTCAGGCAAGGTCTGCCTCTAGAGTAATGAGTACGACCACCTTCCCACTCTTTGGTGGCGCCTGCTGTGGTCAAAGGATGAAATCATGTCTTTTGCAGCAACATGAATGCAGCTGAACATCATTATCCCAAGTGAATTAATGCAGAAACAGAAAACCAAATACCCTAATGTTCTCACTTATAAGTTGGAGCTAAACACAGGGTGCACATGGACATAAAGACGGAAACAGTAGACACTGGGGATTATGTTAACAGGGAGGGAGAGAGGGGGACAAGGATTGAACAACTACCTATGGGGTACAATGCTATTTGGGTGATAGGATGAACAGAAGGCCAAACCTCAGCATTAGACAATATACCCATGTAACACACTTGCACATGTACCCTGGCATCTGAAAAACAAGTTGAAATTTAAAAAAAAAATGAAATTTAAACATCTAATTACAGGAAAAAAAAAAGCTAAGGCTGGCTTTGTTAAATGAGGCTTTGCTTACTGAAGACTCATTAATTGAGGCTCTGGACTGTGCCTTACTGCATTAATGAGAAAAGCACAAATGCATTTGGAGCTGTCCCTTAATACTGGACTCCAGCTGCTCCTGCCTGGCCTCCTAAGACCTCCAAGGACAGTTACATTCCCCACTGCCTACCACTCCCTGTCTATTGGTCATTTTCCCTCTTATCTCAAGCTTTTCTCTGTTGTGTTAGTAAGTGAGGTATTAAGGACGGATAATAGCTTATAGTACTACACCCCAAGCCAAGGTCATTATTCATTTGGCTGGCTCT
The DNA here is from genome assembly GCF_000001405.40 of Homo sapiens. NCBI lineage: Eukaryota > Metazoa > Chordata > Mammalia > Primates > Hominidae > Homo > Homo sapiens. Next base: position 78,251,485 of record NC_000011.10, read on the forward strand.
CTAAGCTAGTCCAAATTCCTTAGCATAACATACAAGGCTTTTGACAGTCTGACCTACTTCCTGCTTTTCTCCACCCATAAACAAGGCATATGGAAGCATCATCAGTCCTTGAACACACCAGCCTCTTTTATGATTCTTTGTTTTGGCTTCTGCTGTTCCTTCCACTTGGATTTCACCTCTACTCTACTGGCAAGCTCATATGCAGACTTTTAGACCCTACACAGATATCATATTCTCTCCCAAATCTTCCTGGACTTGCTTCTTCTTCTGTGTGCCAGCAGCACTTGGCCCATGCTCCCATTATATCCATGGTCACTATGCTTCCTTGTCTAACCCATGGCTTTCTGAGAACAGTGACTGTGATGTTGTTACCATTATAGGCCCAGCATTTACCTAATAAAGGCAAGGTACATAGCAGATTCTTAGTTCATGTCTGCGGACTAAGCAAACACAACACATTCATTCAGCACTCAAAAATTCCACTAGTGAAACTTCTTGTTCGAAAGAAATAAAAGTTTAAAGATGTAATCTTAGGCAGTATGATAGCTGGTGGGTTAACGTTGTGGTGGTGTTGATTTTCTAAGGTTATTCAACTCATGTCAAAGGGGACACAGTTCACCTTCTACGCCCTGTCATCTGACCTATCTCAGGCTGTACCCTTCTCATGGTCCTAGGCAGGATCACCAGCTCATTAATGCTCTACAGTATTAATTACTCTCCAGGCATTTCTGCTGCTGGGCAGGACACCTGCCAGTGTACAACAGAAAAAGCTGATGGGCCTCTGGGGAAAAACTTTTCCATTGACAGCTGTATTGACCCCCAAAATTAACTCCCATTACAAGTCTTTCAGTAAACTGGACATTTGTTAACAGAATCGATAGCTCATTACTCCATTAGATTTGCAAGATGAACTCTCTAATAGTGGAGGAGAGAGGGTTTACATTATGGGACAGAGTAGCCACAGGGCCATGGAAAGAATACAAGCTACTGCCTAAGAAGACACAGGGAACCTGCAAAAAGCAAGCCTCTGGTGAGATTCTGTATTCTCTGTTGTCTCGTTGGACTCCTCTTCCTTTGCCTGCCCCTTCAGTGGAGGCATTCCTCAGGGCTCCACTCTAGACCCTCCTATAGCCTCTCTCTCCCGCTGAAGACTCTCCAGCGGGTAATCCTGTCCACTTCCACAGCTTCAGTTACCACCTATGTGCTGACAACTCTCAAATCTTCATCTCTAGCTCAGTTCTCTCTCCGGGACTCCCTGCTATATATCCCTTCACCTGCTGAGCACCTCCCTTCAGACGTCCCACTAGTGGGCCAAACTCAACAATCTAAATTGACCTCTTCATCACTCGTGTTCCCTGTCTCAGTGAGGTCCATCATCACCAGCCAATAAGTTCTCCAAGCCAGAAGTCCAGGCATTATCTATGACTCTTCTGTTTCTCAGCAACCATGTCACGTCATTATGTCACCGTCCCTCTTAAAACTCTTCTGTTATACCTCAGATGACTTACAAATATCTTTCCTTTTTTTTTTTTTTTTTTTTTTGTGAGACAGAGTCTCGCTCTGTCATCCAGGCTTAAATGCAGTGGTACGATCTCGGCTCACCACAACCTCTGCTTCCTGGGTTCAAGTGATACTCCGGCCTCAGCCTCCTGAGTAGCTGCAACTACAGGTGTATGCCATGACGCCCAGCTAATTTTTGTATTTTTAGTAGAGATGGGGTTTCACCATGTTGGCCAGGATGGTCTCGATCACCACTGCCTCAGCCTCTCAAAGTGCTGGGATTACAGGCGTGAGCCACCATGCCCAGTCAAAGCTCTCTTTTTTAGAGACATGGTCTTGCTCTGTTGCTCAGGCTGGAGTGCCATGGTGCAATCATAGCTCACTATAACCTCGAACTCCCGGGCTCAAGCAATCTTCCTGCCTTAGCCTCCGGAATAGCCAGGAATACAGGCATGCACCACCACGCCAGGCCAATTTTTAAATTTTTTTTGTAGAGACAGGATCTCACTATGTTGCCCAGGCTAGTCTTGAACTTCTGGCCTTAATCAATCCTCCTGCCTCAGCCTTCCAAAGGGCTAGGATTACAGGTATAAAGCCCTGCACCCAGCCTCTTTTTTTAAAGACATTTTCCTGTTTCTTTCTTCAACCTTGTTTCTTACCTGTGCTTCCCTGTGTTTCAAATAAAATTCCAGGAAAATACCAATCTTTCTCTCATCACTTTGTACATCAGGCTGTAAACACAGTGATGGCAGAGATTTTGAAATGGTTTTATCCTCATCATTAAGCCCAGTGTGTGACAAAATTCAATAAATACGCGTTGATCAAAAAAAGTACACACCATAAGAAATCATTATTCCTCAGTAACATTCACTGACTCCTTATTGCCTTCAGAATAAAGTCGAGTTTCCTCAGTATTACAATAAACGCCATTGACACAACCTACTTATTCTGCCTTGTCATCAAATGCATCCTTCATGCCCCCTATGTTGAATGCTTTGGCTGTGAGTATGAATAAAAGAGGAGTGACCCATCCTCACCTCTGCAGCCCCTTCCTTGAGCTCAGCCTGTGGAGTCATATCTGTGACTCAGTCTATTTAGCTGCATACTTGGGGAAGTCACTTCACCTCTCAGAGTCTCAGTCTCCTTATTTACAAATCAACATAGGGCAGCTATAAGGATGAAAAGAATGAAATACACATAAGGTCTAGAAAATCTTGAATGTCATAGGTACATGGAACACCTTCTATCACTTATGTACCCCTAGTGCCTAGAACAGCCCCAGCCATGGTATGTATTCAATACACATTTGTTGACTGATCATACTGAAAAAATAAAAGAATTTTCCCTGGCGCAAAAATCCAAATATGTGTGTTTCTTGTGGTCAAAATCAGAGAGGTTTTAAGGTCTGTTAAGAAGATGAAGTAGGGATTAGGATGAATTGGGCCTTCATCCAACAGAAACTTGGATTTCTACTCTACCAGCACAAAGTCATGTCAATGAAACTAGCCAGCTCCATCTAATGATCTATAGCTTAGCTGGGTGCAATAGCTCATGCTTGTAATCCCAACGCTTTGGGAGGCCAAGACAGGAGGGTTGCTTGAGGTCAGGAGTTTGAGACCAGCCTGGGAAACCTAGTGAGAGTCGTCTCTATCAAAAATTAAAAAATTAACTGGGCGTGGTGGTGTGTGCCTGTAGGCCTAGCTACTTAGGAGGCTGAGGTGGGAAGACTGCTCCAACCCAAGAGATTGAGGCTGCAGTGGGCTATGATCGCGCCACTGCAATCAGCCAAGATGACAGAGTGACACCTTGTCTCTAAAAAAAGAAAAAAGAAAAAAGAAAAAAAAAAGTATGTAGCTCCAGAAAAATTCTTTCAAAGCTGTTTTGGCACTAAAACTTGCCAAAATCCCACTTCTGCTTGCAACTTTAAAAAGATCTCTGCCTGAATTTATGTGATTATTTCTTAGTGTCTATACTAGGTTTACTAGTGTCCTTCCAAAACTCATGTCTACCTGGTATTTCAGAATGTGACCTTACTTGAAAATAGCGTCTCTGTACATAGTTAAGAGGAAGTCATACTGGATTAGGGTGGGCCCTCATCCAATGAACTGGTATCCTTATAAAAGAGACACAGAGACAGAGAAACACAAAGGCAGAATACCATGTGATGTATGGGTCAAGGTAGAGATCGAAATGATGTATCTACTAGCCACGGAATGCCAAGGACTGCTGGCAGCCACCAGGAACTAACGGAAAGGTAGAAACAGACTCTCCTTAGAGCACCCAGAAGGAACCAATACCACCAATGCCTTAATTTTGGATATCTAGCCTCTAGAACTGTGAGAGAGTAAATTTTTGTTGTTTTAATCTACTCACTTTGTGGTAATTTGTCATGGAGGTCCTAGGAAACCAATATATACCATAAAACCTAAAACATCAAACAAGGTTTTCTTGCTTATCTCAGGAAAAATAATTACAAAGCTAAATTCAGAGACAACTTTTCTGGAATAAGATTTTTCTCATTTTGGACCCTGATGGCCGAGTACCCCTGCTACTTCTTCCTCCGTGGTTCCAACCCCCAATTCTGATGAGCTGCCTGTGCCCCAATAGATGAGGTTCCGGGGAGGTGCTACCTCACTTTCCACATCAGTTGGAGGCAAGAGCTTCAGCCAACTTGGGTTTGGTGCTGTTTTGTTTTGCTCACTGAAAGCTGCTCCCTTCAGATGGCTTGCCATTGGTAAGTGGAGTACATTCTACATGGCCATTCTGGACAGGGCTGATTAGTAGACCTGGCACTGCTGTGATTCATGGCTTCATCACCCCTCAGGGTCACTCCCTATAATTAAAGTTTTCAAATATACTTCCAAACATTTCATAGAACAAAAGCGACATGGTGTGCTACATGTAACAGAAAAAAATGTATTAGGCTAATAGTGGAGAGACTTGGCTCTGTCCCTAGATCTGCCTAAAGGCAGATCTGCTTGCTATTTGACCTGGAGCAAATCACTTAGCCTCAGTTGCTTCATCTGTAAAAAGGGACTATTAATATCTAGGATAACTTGCCCTGCAGTTTATCATAGAGGGTTGCTGAAAGGATTGAATTAAAACACAAACACCAAAAACTTATAGATGAATGTCCATATCAGCATTATTCATGAGAGCCAAAAAATGGAAACAACCAAAATGTCCTGACGAATGGATAAACAAAATGTGATATATCCACACAATGGAATATTATTTAGCCATAGAAATAAAAAATACTGATATAGGTTATCTTGATGAACCTTCAAAATATTACGCTAAGTGAAAGAAGCCAATCATAAAAGACCACAGATCTAGAGTTTTGTTAAGAAGGTGGGAGGAGTGTTTGTATGCTGGACAGGCTTCCCAGGGGTGATTGTGGAAAGGAAGGGGAGTGATTCTAGAAATGATTTCATTTATGTGAAATATCTAGAAGAGGCAAATCTGCAGGGATGTGAAAAAGATTAGTGGTTACCTGGTGGCAGGCATGGGGGAGTGAGAATAGATCTAAGTGGGTTGAAATTTTACTCCCAGTGAGTGAACCTCATGCACGGGACAGAAGTCAAGAGACCAGGAATCCAGTTCCAGCTCTGCCATAAACTTGCTGTGAGATCATGTGTGGTCGCTGAGCTTTAATTCATAACTATCAAGTATTGGAGGATAATCTCTAGCCTACCTGTCTGTCTCACTGGGTTGTTTTAGGAGGTGAATGAGATAAGGGTTTGGAAGCAAATCCATGCACATGCATAAGGCATTAATAGGATTTGTTTTTATTGCCTGGGTACCCCTTGGGAGAAGAAAAGAATGGTGAAAATAAAGGAAGATATTAAACAATGTGTGGCTGGGGTGTTTTTGGTACTTCTTGCTGTGTAACTGACCTTCCTAATGACCCAAAACACAAGAAGAAAATGGAGGTTTCTAGACTCCTGGCCTGAGCTTCTATCTCCAAGTCTAGACTAAAGATAATGCCCACAAATGCCTGAGTCAATCTATTTTCTTTTAAACAGTTTTTTTTTTTCTTCTTCCTGGCTTCTTTTTAGGGCCCTACAGAATCACTCCCCTTCCTTTCCACAATCACCCCTGGGAAGCCTGCCCAGCATACAAACACTCCTCCCACCTTCTTGCAAAACTCTAGAACAGGAAAGCTCTGAAGGATTTCAGCCGAGGAGCCCAGCCCAGGCCAACCCAGCCATCGACTGGCTAGTGATAACATGAGCAGGAAAGGGGTGGTTGGCGGGAGTTTCTGGAAAAGATGACTGGCCAAATAATGACTAGTTCCCTTATCTCAGTGCCCTTTTCATCTTTATCCCTTCTCCCCCAAAAATTTATCCCCACCCTCAAGCCTCAGTGGGTCTCAGAACCCATAAAGTGGTAGACCAAAAGCTGTATTGGAGCTGGATTCAAAGTCTGACTCTGCTAACTCCTAGCTCTGTAGCCTTGGATATGTTAATAAGCCTTTTTAATTCTCACTTGTTCAATAGGGCTAAGTACTTTGTAGGACTGCTGTGAGGAATAGAGATCATTTTATATCATGCATTTAGCCACTCTTATTGCTCCTATTCCTGGAGTACACATGGAGCTGGTTGAGACCTTGAGATTGGCCAAAGAGGTACGAGCTGCTTTCCAAGACATGACGGATGCTTGGAAGGTAACTGTCACTGTTTTGGTCACAATTATATGCCGTACAGATGGTATACGGGGAATTAATGAGAACCAAAAGGACAACAGTGACTGTGGTAAGCACAGCTGCCATTTACTAAGCACCTATTATGTGCCTCTAGTCTACCCTGTGAGGTACATATTATTACCTCCATTTTTTTTTTTTGGATGAAGAAAAATAGGCTCAGAGACATCAATAGCAAACTCTGGGGTCACACAGCCAGAAAGTGGCATAGCCTAGATCTGAATCAGATCTCACAGTCTCCAAAGCCAATTCTTTTCACCTGTGCAGAGGAAGAACTCCCACAAGAGCCCTATGAGGTGAATGGTACTAGGGAAGGAAAGTTAAAATATGAGGATGGGGGTCCAGGCCTAGCTCTACCGCCTACTGGCTGAGTGAATCTGGGCATACCATTTCATCTTCCCAAGCCTCACTGTCTCTATTTACAAAAAGAAGAGGTTGGATTAGATCGGGGGTACACATCAAAGTTATCTCTGGGAAATGTAAATGCAGAGGGCTGGTCCCACCTCAGACCTCATTAGTCATATTTACAGAGATTCAGATTAGGATCCACTGGTTTGGTTTTAACAACCTCTGGTTCTTAATTCTGGGGCAGAGACAGAAGGGTTAGGGTCTACTGAAGAAAAGGCAAAGCAGGCTTTGAGTGACAAATGAAAGAGCAAATATTTCCAAAAACCTTCCTTTGGATCATCAAAATTGCAAATTGATAAGCATCCACGTTCTCTCTGGCCCTTCACATAATCTATGGCTCCAAAGGAACAAGGTATAACAAAAATAACCCTGATGTGGACTTCCCAGACACAGGTTCTGAAACTATTTTATTTAATTTTTTTCCCCTCAATGAGAAACATGTATTTAAAAGTTTTCTTAAGAAGCTTCTTAGAGTTGAATTATAATTTTTTTTAAATTTTTTAATTTTCTGTTTTTTTTTTGAGACAAGATCGCGCACTGTTGTCCAGGTTGTAGTGCAGTGGCACAATTATGGCTCATTGCAGCCTCGACCTCCTGGGCTCAGGTGATTCTCCCACTTTGGCCTCCCAAAGTGCTGGAACTATAGGCATGCACCACCATGCCTGGCCTGAATATATAAACTTTAAATAGCACATACAATATATGAATCAGTTATAATTCCATATATAGGGTACCCTTTTTGATTTTCATAAGTTTATAATGTTTTCATTGGCATTTTTTCTTTTTAAACTTTTAGGTTCAGGGGTACACGTGCATGTTTGTTATGTAGGTAAACTTGTGTCATGGGGGTTTGATGTACAGATTATTTCATCACCCAGGTACTAAATCTAGTACCCAATAGTTATTTTTTTTGCTCCTCTCCCTCCTCCTACCCTCTACCCTCTGGTAGGCCCCTGTGCCTGTTGTTCCCTGATTTGTGTCCATGTGTTCTCATCATTTAGCTCCCACTTATAAGTGAGAACATGTGGTATTTGGTCTGGAACTATCTTATTACAGGGCCTTGAGCAAAACTTTTAATATCTTTATCCCTCATTTCCCACACTGTCAAATGCCAAAGAGAACACCTACTCAACAGGGTTCTTTTGAGGATTTGATATGAAATATAGGTAAACAGTAATTATTAAATACTCAATAAATGGCTGTTGGCCTGACACTTGTCCCATTTTTTATTACTAGAAGTGGAATGGTGGTAAAATTCTAAAAGTTCTAGTGCAGAGAGGATGACGAAAGAATTTTGACAACAGTATTTGATAGGATTCTAAGGAGTGTGTGGTCCCTGTAGAAAGCTCACTGAAAAACAAGGAACATATGAAGAATCCTAAAAACAAAAGCATGCTGACAGGTGCTGAGGGCAAGACTGGATCCAAAGCTCCAGGTCACTTTTCATCATAAGCCTGAAATTATTTAAGAAGGATTAAGTCTCAAAGGCCTTTGGCATATATCATAATTTATGCCAGAGGAAATTCATAAATTCAAGGCCAAACATAAAATGGCTCAACTTTACACAGTAACTCACATAATATAGCAATTGGAAGGGTCCCCAGAGTCCAGTCTCTAATTTATCACCACCACCCTCCTCCTACCTCTCAAATCTCTCATCTACAGTTTGAGAAACTGTGGCCCAGAGAAATAAGACTTGTCCAAGGCCACACAGAAGGTCAGAAATGAACCCTGGAATAAGAATTCAGAACTTACTCCAAGAGCCCTTACCCTGCACTAAAAGATGTATCGCTATGAATGAAGATGTACTCTCTGTAATGTGGGCCTGGGGGCAGGAGCAATCAAGCTATGAGATCTGGTCAGGACACTAACTGGACCAGATCTGTTATTTGTTTTGAGTTTATAGTATCACTCATTATTTGCATGGTAAGTAAACATTTGTGGATCAAAGTACTAAACACTAGTATAAATAGATTCTCGAGTTCAGAAATATAAGTTTCCTAATGTTTATAAGAACTATAAAGCGGAGGAAGAAAAAAGAAAAGACAGACAGGCAGTAACATGAGATCCCATGAGATCTTTCTGGACCTATGATTCCCCATCCCCCTTCCAAGGGAAGACTCTGAGAAAGAACACCATCTCCGCTAGGGAGAGCCAAGTCAGAACATCCTGACCTTGATGCATACGATCTCACAGTATACATTAGCAGAAATTGATTCTGTGAAAGGCAAAGAGGAAAGAGAGCGAGTGACTGTAGCTTAGTGACACAGCACAGTTCCTGGTCACACGTCCTTTTACAACCTTCTTTGGCTCGAGGCATCTCATTTCAGAGATGGAAATGCCTTGTCTCCCTAGTTAGAATTAATCATGCCTTCTAAATCTTTTTTTTTTTTTTGAATGGAGTCTTGCTCTTGTCTCCCAGGCTGGAGTGCAATGGTGCGATCTTGGCTCACTGAAACCTCCGCCTTCTGGGTTCAAGTGATTCTCCTGCCTCAGCCTCCCGAGTAGCTGGGATTACAGGCACCCACTGCCACACCTAGCTAATTTTTGTATTTTTAGTAGTGTCAGGGTTTCACCATGTTGGCCAGGCTGGTCTCAAACTTCTGACCTCAGGTGATCTGCCCGCCTTGGCCTCCCAAAGTGCTGGGATTACAGGCATGAGTCACCGCGCCCAGTCTATGCCTTCTAAATCTTTTGTAGTACATAATTTTGCCATTTATTCTAATTGGGAATTCATAAATCTGTCATGTGAAGTGAAACTATAAGCTGTTAGAATCCAGGATCCAGACCATATCTTTTTCTCTAATCGTGTTTAGCACAATGTTCTATGCCTAGAAAACATTCCAATTAGAACAAGGAGGTCCCAGCCCTTTGGGAGGCAAAGGCAGGAGGATCACTTGAGCTCAGGTGTTCAAGACCAGCCTGGGCAACACTGGAAGACGCTGTCTGTCTGTCTCTATATATGTATGTATGTATATATATATGTGTGTGTGTATATGTATGTCTGAGATATATATATATCTCACGCATACATATAAATTAGCTGGGCATTGTGGCAGATGCCTGCAGTCCCAGACTGGGGGGCTGGGGAGCTGAGGTGGGAGGATCACTTGAGCCCAGGAGGTCGAGGTTGCAGTAAGCTGTGACCACACCACTGCACTCCGGCCTGGGCGACAGAGTGAGACCCTGTCTCAACAAAACCAAAACAAAAACCAGAACCAGAACCAGAACAAGGCGATCTTCAATAAACACACTAGAGCAGCAAGTTCTGTTGGAATCTTTCCTCCCTGGGTTAGAAGAATGACCAAATGAGATCCAAATGTAAACAGTTATTTAGGGTACAAGAAATTGTTATCACTTAGTGAGGTTTTCTGGGTTGTGTGTATTTCTGTTTGGGGATAGCAAGTCTATCTTTAGCCATGCACTGTGCTGTTGATTTGCAAGAGGTCAGGTTACAAGCTTTGTTTATACCTATCGTACCCCTTAGCTGCGGCAGACCCTTCTCCTGTTCCTTCGTGTGGGGCTTGGGTTGGTTAGTTGGTCCCATCAAGGATTCATTCATATTTGAAATGAAGCACTCTTGTGATTTACTTAGGGTCTGGAGCAGGTACGAGAGGCACTACTGAGCTGCAGGCCAGCCCCAAAGGGTGGCCTATGCTTTATGAGCTTACATGCAGTCAGAAAGAACAAATTTATACTCGGAGGAGCACTTCAGCCCTCCCCCGAGGAACTTTGGGAACCCATTAGTTTTCCCACAGGAATCAATCCATCAAGTGGGTATATTAAGTTCACATTAATGATGCATTTGACCCTTGTAACCTTTCCACAGAAATATCCAAAATACATCACTGTATTTTGAAGCTAACCAACTTTATAAGAGATAAGCTTTTCCCTCCTTTCACAGTGACTCTGAGACAACTGGCAATTGGTGTAAAACAGAAGCGTCAGACTTATCAGTTGTGGATGCTTATCAAGAATCGTGATCAGCGGCAATAATCACAAGATTGCACCTTAAACTGGTATAGTGTGGATGGCTAGGCTAGGATTCAAAGAGCTCCAGTTTTGCCTAGGGAATTATGAGATCTACATAATTCTCTGAAGGGGAACTTCGGCTTCAGGAGAAGCAGTGTGCTACTGGGAAAGGAACATGCACGTTGGAGTCCGAATCTCAGCTTACTAGTTGTGAAACCTAGGGATGGTACCTGAATCCAAGAGTTCTAATTTGTAAAATTTATAAAACAGCTACCTGAAGAATTGTTCTGGGGAATAAGAAATGACATAGTCCCTGCACATGGGTGCTCCACAAATGGTAGCTGGCCCTCAGCACTGCACTGTGGGAGGTAACCTGGTGAGGGAAAAGATCTTGAACTCTGTGTTCCCAGACCTTCAGGGTTTGACCAGAGGCAGGATCTGTCGCAGAGGGTACAAAAATGGGGTCAGCTGCCCTTCATGTGCTGAGTAGAGGACTTCAGCTACAGAGCCTCGCAGGACCCAGCTTGTAGCTGGCAGCTCTTTCTCAGCCCCTGCCTCCAGTCCCGGGGGTCCCAATAATCTCCTGGTTTCACATCTGTAGTTTCCCTACTCATCTCCCAGACTTGTGTCTTGTTGCCTTGCCATCTCTAGGTTTTTAAAATTGCAGTCCAAAAGGGAGAGTTGTCTTTTTAACACCACTGGGAAGGCCAAAATACTATCTGTACTGAGTGGGCCTGCATACTGAGTACATTATTTGAGCAGGCCTGCCAAAGCATATTATTACACCAGAACAGGGGTCAGCAAACTACAGCCCATACATTACATCTGGTCTGTTTCTGTGGTTTCACTAGAACACAGCTGTATCAACTTATTTACATAATTGTTTATGGCTGCATATATACTACAACAGCAAAGCTGAGTAGTTGCTACAAAGTACAGATGACAAAGCCTAAAGTATTTACTATCTGGCCCTTTACAGAGAAAGTTTGCTGACCCTTAGACTAAAAGTTCTCACTCTGGTTTGCATAAACATGTCCTCCTTCAAAATATTAGCATCTAATTTAAGTTCATCACCAAGGATACAGATTTAAGCTAAAACTGAAACCATCGAATCCCAAATTTATGCTTTGAAATAACCAAGAGAAGAAATGACAAGATAAGCTAGTTTGAAGAGCCCATTAGTATTATTATAAGAAACCATATTCCTTTTTATTAGAGCACACCTTAGGCACAAACAATGTGCTAGTTGTTGGTCAGCATACAGAATTTAAAGATTCAAGAGTCTGGCCGGGCGCAGTCACTCACACCTGTAATCCCAGCATTTTGGGAGGCCAAGGCGGGCAGATGACGAGGTCAGGAGATAAAGACAATCCTGGCTAACACGGTGAAACCCCATCTCTACTAAAAATACAAAAAATTAGCTGGGCATGGTGGTGGGTGCCTGTAGTTCCAGCTAGTAGGGAGGCTGAGGCAGGAGAATTGCTTGAACCCAGGAGGCAGAGGTTGCAGTGAGCCGAGATCGCGCCACTGCACTCCAACTTGGGCGACAGAGTGAGACTCTGTCTGGGGGAAAAAAAAAAAAAAAAAATCAACAGTCTAATATGGTAAACTTGTACTAACAAGCTTAAATCACCAGCTTGTTCTTTCTGATTCTTAACCATTTATTCTTTTTCCATATCACAGAAGCACAGGTCTGGAAATAACCCACGGGATCATTTAGTTTAATATTAATACTTTACTGACAGAAAGCCTACAGTTCAGAGAGATCAAGTGATTTTCTTACCAGTGACTGAGTGCCTAGTCACCTGGGCAAGGATGTCAGTCTCCTGTCAATTTTTTTTTTTTTTTTTAAGTAAAACATCTCATTGGGGGAGCAATAAACATAACTTCTGGGTATATTTTTCTACTGTAAGGAAAATGAGAACAGCTTTTATTTACCAATCTAACATATCTCCACAAAATTCTCTAAAAAGTCCAACATTGTAACTGAAAAAGGTCTGAATTATTATTGACATGCTGTTGTGTTAAATAGTACTGTTTTCATATATTATATAGTACTTCCTAATTTGCTTTGATGTCAATACAAACAAGCCTGCTGGGATCATGACAGAGATTGGACTGAATCTACTGATTAATATGGGGAGAACTGACATATTAACAATACTGAGTCTTCTCCATAACACGATCTCTCTTTCCATATTCTGGGTCTTCTTTAATTTATCCCAGTAATGTTTTGTTGTTTTATGTACAGAGATCTAGGATGGCTTTTGTTAAATTGATTCCTAAGTATTTTATTTTTTGATGCCATTGTGAAAGGAATTTTTTAAAAATTTCTTTTTCTTTTTTTTTTTGAGACACAGTCTCACTCTTTTTGCCCAGGCTGGAGTGCAGTGGCACGATCTCAGCTCGCTGCAGCCTCCGCCTCCCAGATTCAAGTGATTTTCCTGCCGCAGCCTCCTGAGTAGCTGGGACTACAGGCACGTGCCACCATGCCCAGCTAATTTTTGTATTTTTTTTTTTAGTAGTGTCGGGGTTTCGCCATGTTGGCCAGGCTGGTCTTGAACTCCTGACCCTCAGGTGGTTTATCTCCCTTGGCCTCCCAAAGTGTTGGGATTACAGGCGTGAGCCACAGCACCCGGCCAAGACATCTTTGTTTTTGAGTACCACAACGACAAGTGTAATGCCCCTCAAATCAGGAAATTCAGCAAGATTTATTATTTGATAAACATATTAATCACACATAGCAAAAAGGTTTTTGAGTTTGGGCAAAACAGAGATAGGGGTTATTTAGGATATTTTAGTTTTCGGGAGATAAAAGTAGCATGGTAGACGTCTCCAAAGGGCTGTTGTGAAGATCACAGAGAAGGCAGCAACAAGTTATTAGTCACAGATTCAACAGACATTTAATATGTACTTATTGTGTACCAAACACTATGCTATATGCTTTAAGTGGATTCTTAATCTTCATAATAATCTTGTGAAGAATGTCTTATTTCTATTTTACTGATGCAGAAGTTGAAGCTCAAAAAATTAAATTTACTTATCCAAGACCACGTTTAGACTAAAGTCATTAATGTTGTGGGTTCATATTCATGCGATTCTAAGACCCTATGTAATAAACGGGCCTTCTATACCACATATATATATATATATATATAAAAGCACTCTATAAATCATAAAGTGATTTTTATATGATCACCACCATAACCATCAACATCATTTAAAACACAAAAGTCAGGAAACTTCGATTTTAATTCTAGCCTGGCCAGTCAGCTGCATGATCTTGAACAAATTAGTTGCCCTCTCTTCACCTCTAGACACTCTGTCATTTGAGCAGTTTGGAACTAAATGCTCTCTAAGGACGCTTTGAGATCTCGTATTCTAGAAGTTTCTCATTCTATGAAATCTATTCCCTTCTGTCTTGGCTGAGTGTTCTTGCTAATAATGATTCACTAGCCATGAAGAATTTTGTTCACTGACCTCATCCATAAAAGGGCCGAGGAGGTAGCAAATAAAAGCAAACAATAAACAAATGGTAGATGTGTAAAATAAACTTCAGGTCTTTGGCAGGCTCTATCTCTTCAGCCTAGTTAGTATATCATCTCTTTTGAGCTTTTCTTCATTTTTTTGTTTTTCATTGTACTTTATACCATGTTAAAGTACATGTTATATGTTTCAATATACAGAATTTCAGGTATCTCACACTTTGTCACCTATGAGTAAGATGAGAATGTTTTTAAAGCTTTCTGTTCTCCCCAACAGTGAATTTCTCAAAATGAAAATATCTGGAAATAAGTCAGAATTTTTAAAAAGAATTTTGTGTAACTATTTACAATTTATAACCAAACACTGTAACTAAAACATTCAGCCAGGCATGGTGGCTCATGCCTATAATCTCAGCATTTTGGGAGGCTGAGGCAGGTGGATAACCTGAGGTCAGGAGTTTGAGACCAGGTTGACCAACATGGTGAAACCCCATCTCTACTAAAAATACAAAAATTTGCCGGGTGTGGTGGCGCATGCTTGTAATCCCAGCTACTTGAGAGGCTGAGGTGAGAGGATCACTTGAACCTGAGTGGTGGAGGCTGCAGTGAGCCAAGATTACACCACTGCACTCCAGCCTGGGTGACAGAGCGAGACTCCATCTCAAAAAAAAAAAAAAAAAAAAAAAATCATGTGGATATTTACTGGGCAGCTACTCTGTGGCTACTAATACGGTGATCTAAAGAGGAATAAGACGCGTCCTTACCCTTGTCTCCCATGCATCTCCTCCCCCAATCCCAATCCCAAACTGTGCTCCAGCCTTCCAGCCTCAATAAACTGTCTCCAGCTCTCTAGGCCTTGGGGCACTTAAAATAGCAGCCCAGGCACAAAAGAAGACAAACTTGAATTTACTGAGAAAATCCCATATTGACCAGGAATACCCGGAGTTGATTAAAACTTACATTTCTATCACTGGCCAGATGGGGGCTTGATGTTGAAACCAAATTCAGAATTAAAAAATTAAATATTTTCACACTTGAGGTTAACCCCCAATTTTTTATCTGGTAGTTATATCTTGGCACGGAGCCAGGCACGGTTCAGTTAAAAGCAGGTAAATCTTGCTGAAAACTGAGAAGCCCAGAACCTCTTAGAAGCAGACATAGAGGAGGCAGAGAGAATCACTAAGAGGAGTTCCAAGGCTGGTTTGGCAGAGAGAACAAAAACTGGAGAACATAACAAGGCTCAGGAGTCCACTGAAAGCAGGTCCATGTCTTATGCTCTTCTCTAACCCCTGTCCACTGGCAAAAGCAGGTTCTGAGTGGTAAGGGCACTGAATACGTGAACACAGAAACAGAAACTGAGGCATCACTAGAAATGTGGGCAGTAGAATCCAAGAGGAGGAAGAAGCATGTTCTGGGAAAAGAGAAGCAGATTTTTTTCAGTAATGCAGGCAGAGAGACCACATGCAACCCAGAAGCCTTCCAGTGGGCAGGCGGGCTCCAGCCACTGGTCTGAGGTGTGGTAAGACTCTGGTCTATGAGAAGTGGCTACATAAAAGCAGGACAGGGTCCACTCCTGGGTGGGATCTGACACTACAGGCAGGTTATCAGGGCAAAGACTGAGACACTGGAAAATTAGCCAAGATCCCAGGGCTAACCATAGCTAGCACACAAGAGCAGGGCTAGGAACAAAAGATCCTACAGCACTGGCTTTATGCTGGGATGCAGGGGGCCTGGACTTAATGGTAGAGTTCAGAGGCCCCTGGCCATGAGTACAGAAGCAGAAGCTGGCAACCAGTTAGTCCTGACACACGTATCACCTCTAGATCACTATTTCCCAGACTCTTCCATTTCATGGACAGGTGAAAACACTGCCTCTTTGTTTATACACTTGTGCACTTTTAGAAATGGACACATGGGGCGGCCAATTTTTAATAATGTCAAATATGGAAAACTACCATTTACTAAGACTGTCACTTCACACACACGAGAACACTAACATACATGCACAAAGAGAATCTCTGAATAGGCCAGGTGCGGTGGCTCACACCTGTAATCCCAGCACTTTGGGAGGTCGAGGCGGGTAGATGACGAGGTCAGGAGATCGAGACCATCCTGGCTAACATGGTGAAACCCCGTCGCTACTAAAAATACAAAAAATTAGCCGGGTGCAGTGGCAGGCACCTGTAGTCCCAGCTACTCGGGAGGCTGAGGCAGAAGAATGGCATGAACCTGGGAGGCAGAGTTTGCAGTGAGCCAACATCGCACCACTGCACTCCAGCCTGGGTGATAGAGCGAGACTCCGTCTCAAAAAAAAAAAAAAAAAAAAAAAAGAGTCTCTGAATAAAGGGAAGTCTTAAAATCTGATTACATTTAGTTTTATGAACATGGATTGTATCTTCCTCATGTTTTCATATTTTTATGGACTGATAAAAATTTCTGTAGCGCAGCCCTGCAGGTCCCTGTTTTGAAACATCTGCTGCGGACCAGTATCCTCACATTGTGTGCCAGCCTTCCCAAGCAACCAGTGGGGAGAAGGAAGGGTGGGCAGTTGAGTGCAGCTTGTATCACTTGACCCTCTCCTCTGCTATACTCAAAGTGGCTCCCTCTCAATTGTTTCATAAATTATTCTGTTTCATGTGAGATTTGGTTAAAAAGCAATGCTTTAAAAAAGGTTTGGAAATCACTCCTAGTTTACTGTTGAAGAAACTGAGATAAATCGTAACAAAGCTGAAATTTAAAACCAGAACTCTGTTTCCCAGCACAGATCCTAGAGAGAGAAGACTGTATCTACTGATTTTGTAGAGTTCTGAATCCTACGTAGCGCTACACATAACCGGATGTTTAATCGTAATCAAGATCTTCAGAGGTCCAAGGTGACCTTACCACTAAATACAAAGTTCTAATTCTACCTCTAGCCCAATATTAGAGTTAGACTGGGCTTTGGAATCCAGTCAGGGACCAATTCAACAATCATTTATTATCCTCTTTTAATAGGGATAAGCAGAAGCACTCAACCAAAAAAGTAGGGGGGATCTTATGAGATGTTTGGGAGCCATTCAAAGCTTCTGGCGCTGTGGAGTTGGGACGAGATGCTCCCAAGTCTAACAGTCTTTGGGTTTTGGCAGGTAACACTAGACTATCTATGCTGGCTGGCTGGGGTGGTGAGGGGGAGTGTCTGGTATTTAAAAAAAAAAAAAAAAAAGGCAGAAATAAGGATGAAGACTTAGAACGAAGAGAATAGGGTCAGGTTTCTCCCTGTCTCCTTTTCCTCCTTCAGAGGATTTGGAATTCCCTGAAGTTGGTCAAGGTTGGAGTTTGTTCTAGGACAACACAGAAACATTTGCGAGGATTTTATGGAGCTCATGTCTGAACTCACGGCCTGTTCTGTGGATGACTAGAACCAGCTGTAAATGAAAAATGACAAGCAAGAGATGGAGGAGGAAGGCCTGATATTTCAGGGTTATTTAAAATAACCTTTTTTTCTTTCTTTTTTTTTTAAAGGAATTAGAATTTCAGATCTGGCTGGAAACTGGTCTGGATATTTATTTTCCTCATTGTCTCAGTGGAAAAAAAGGGTGGGTGATTCAGACAGCAGCCTCCGCCTCTGGGCTGGAGCCTGGGTCAGTCTCCACTCTGTTCTTTCTTCCTTGAGAGAGGAGTCTCAGCCTGGGGAGAAGATGCATATTACCGCCCACATTTGCTTTTGGCTTCCAACAAGGGTTCCCCAGAGGAGTTGGTCTGATTTCAGTTAATAAAACAAAACCCAAAAGGTCAGGGAGGGAATGAGGGAGGAAAAGGCCCTCCCAGGGATGAGAAGACAGAAAGAGTAAGGTCTCTGAGCAAGGCTTCTCCCTGGCTCTCTGTCTCTCTTTTCATGGTGGGGGAAGGACCAAGGTCATCAGAATGAATCTGAATGGACTACTTGGCTCTACCACAGTTCTCCCTGCTGTAAGAAATCCAGCTTGAATAAGAGGTCCTGACTTTTAAGGCACCAGTCATTCTCTCTAGAAAGAGCTATTTGAAGACCCCACTAACATTCCTCACTGGATGCTGAAGACTTCCCCAAAAGCATTCCTATGGGTATCGTTTGACCCCAGGTGGGACCCAGGACTTAAAATAATTTGAGTGTTGACTTACTCGGGAAACTTAAGGATTACTAGAAGTTTAAGTATTTACAAAATATTTAAAGGGGACAGTCTCACTAAAATTTTAGTAGAGAAAAGGTGGGGAAGATATAAAGAAGAGTTGGTCAGAACTTTGGGAATTCTTTATTCCATAAGATTAGACATGTGACTACTGTGAAATTCCTGCCAAGGAGTTCGAGAAGGTAAAAAACTAAAATAGTAGAGAAGATACAGTGGAGGCTTTGGCCTTATTTCAAAATCTCCAAGAGTTACAAAATGGGGCTCTGGTGAGCTAAATTGCCTGAGCTGTAACTCACAGTAGCTTGTAGGTTCCTCTAAGAAGGATCATGTTATCTTGCTAGTTTAGCCATCAGAGGTTAATATCGATGTACAGATAGCACTGAGCACTTTGGAAGGCCAAGGCGGGTGGATCACGAGATCAGGAGATCAATATCATCCTGGCCAACATGGTGAAACCCCGTTTCTACTAAAAATACAAAAATTAGCCGGGCATGGTAGTGTGCGCCTGTAATCCCAGCTACTCAGGAGGCCGAGGCAGGAGAATCGCCTGAACCCGGGAGGTGGAGGGTGGAGGTTGCAGTGAGCTGAGATCGCGCCACTGCACTCCAGCCTGGGCAACAGAGCGAGACTCCGTCTTAAAAAAAAAAAAAAAAGAATAGTCAGTTCTCAGTGATTTATAAACCTCTTGCTCCTCCTCTTCCTTCTTGCTGTCCGTTTTGTGACTTAGAAGCAGCCATGGTAAACAGCTCTGTGACAATGGGTTGGGAAAAGTGAGGAGTCAGAGGACACAGCCATAGACGGTAGTCAAAAGCCTTGGATTCTGGGCCCTTCCACTCTGCTTTCTGGCATCATCACTTAGTGCCTTTAAGCCTTAGTTTCCTTGCTTTTGCGATAGGAATGATATTATCAGCCCCTACCTATCTCACTTTGTTTCCTCATGCTTAAATGAGACTGCGTAAGTGTTGTATAGACTATAAAGTTCTGTAAAAACACCAAATATTTAAATTATATTCTGTTCATCTTGTCCTACAGACATAGAAATCATCACTACTATTGCTACGACCACTACAAGGAAAAAGTGAAGTGAGCAGCTGCTGTTCACAATGTGTACCTGTACATTCTCCAAGCTTTACCTGTGCAACCTCCCAACAACGCTGTGAGGAGCATCATCTCCATTTTACAGATGATAAAACCTCCAAGAGGGAAAGTGATTTATTCAACATCAATAAGGCAAATGAGTAGCAATGTTGAGACTCAAGTGCAGCTAGCTGCCTTTCGGAGTCCCTGTGATAGTGGCTGTGCAGGCCCTAGAATAGCTACTGAATAAATGGAGGAGGGATGGGATAAAAGGAAAAGAGAAGTCCTCAGCTTTGAGAATTCAAAAGGGGTGATGGCTTTCCTAACAGGGGTTGACTCCTGAGCACATGAATAATTCATCAAAGCTCTCTACTGAGAGATGGCTCTTTTTGTGTGTAGTACATCTGGTCAGGGATAGCTGCCCACAACTGAGCCACAAATGTGAGGACTTGGATCCGCCTGCCTATAAACACAGCTCAGAGCAGCTCTCTGCTTCCTTATTCTGAGGACTGACAGCTATTTTGATTCCAAGAGGCAGGTGAGGTTCTTTCATTTGTACACACAAAATAAGCAAAAATAAATCCCACATATATGATATAGCATCTTGATATGTGTTCCTGAAACTGCTTTTCCTTCTAGAACATCATTCCTGGTTTCCTTTTGGAACGAGTTCTCTCTCAAGAGATTGTTTCCTTCAACCTTATGTTGATTTCAAACTCACTTTCACTCCTGGTCTGGTCTTGAACCTGCAGGTTTTATCCTAGACATTTTTGGTTGGAATATGTGAAGACTGGAAGGTGGCAGTAGAAATAAGAATCTGGAGGTGGCAAGAAGGATGAAAAAACAGACAGTCTCCATCTGCCACAAACCTCTTCTAGCTGAAAGTAAACATGTAAGTTTTTATATGAGTCCTATCACAACTCTTTAAAAAAAAGGTAGTCAGGCACAGTGGTTCATACTTGTAATCCCAGCACTTTGGGAGGCCAAGGCGGGTGGATCACTTGAGCCCAGGAGTTTAAGACAAGCCTGGGTGATATGGTTTGGCTGTGTCCCCACCCAAATCTCATCTTGAATTCCCACGTGTTGTGGGAGGGATCCAGTGGGAGGTAATTGAATCATGGAGGCAGGTCTTTCCTGTGCTTTTCTTGTGATAGTGAATAAGTCTCTTGAGATCTGATGGTTTTAAAAAGAGGAGTTCCCCTGCACAAGCTCTCTCTCTTGGCCTGCTGCCATCCACGTAAGACATGATTTGCTCCTCCTTTCCTTCTGCCATCATTGTGAGGCCTCCCCAGCCACATGGAACTGTAACTCCATTATGTCTCTCTCTCTTTTATTTTTTGTAAATTGCCCAGTCTTGGGTATGTCTTTATCAGCAGTGTGAAAATGGACTAATACAGAAAATTGGTAGCAGTAGAGTGGGGTGCTGCTGAAAAGATAACTGAAAATATGGAAGTGACAGGAACTGGGTAACAGGCAGGGGTTGGAACAGTTTGCGGGGCTCAGAAGAAGACAGGAAAATGTGGGAAAGTTTGGAACTTCCTAGAGACTTGTGAATGGCTTTGACAAAAGTGATAATAGCGACATGGACAATAAAGTCCAGGCTGAGGTGGTCTCAGATGGAGATGAGGAACTTGTTGGAAACTGGAGCAAAGGTGACTCTTGTTATATTTTAGCAAAGAGGCTGGAAGCATTTTACCCCTGCCCTAGAGATTTGTGGAACTTTGAACTTGAGAGAGATGATTCAGGGCATCTGGGGGAAGAAATTTCTAAGAAGCAAAGCATTTAAGAGGTGACTTGGGTGCTGTTAAAGGCATTCAGTTTTATAAGGGAAGCAGAACAAAAAAGTTTGGAAAATCTGCACCTGACAATGCAATAGAAAAGAAAATCCCATTTTCTGAGGAGAAATTCAAGCTGGCTGCAGAAATTTGCATAAGTAAGGAGGAGACGAATGTTAATCCCCAAGACAATGGGGAAAATGTCTCCAGGCCATGTCAGAGGTCTTCACAGCAGCGCTTCCCATTACAAGCCCAGAGGCCTAGGAGGAAAAAATGGTTTTGTGGGCCGGGCCCAGGGTCCCTCTGCTGTATGCAGCCTGGGGACTTGGTGCCCTGTGTCCCAGTCACTCCATCCGTGACTAAAAGGGGCCAAGGTACAGCTTGGGCTGTTGCTTCAGAGGGTGGAAGCCCCAAGCCTTGGCAGCTTCCATGTGTTGAGCTTGCAGGTGCACAGAAGTCAGGAATTGAGGTTTACAAACCTCCGCCTAGATTGCAGAGGATGTATGGAAGTATGGATGCCCAGGCAGAAGTTTGTTGCAGGTGTGGGGCCCTCATGGAAAACCTCTGCTAGGGCAGTGCAGAAGGGAAATGTGGGGTCAGAGCCCCCACACAGAGTCCCTTCTGGGGCACCGCCTAGTGGAGCTGTGAGAGAAGGGCCACCATCCTCCAGACCCCAGAATGGTAGATCCACTGACAGCTTGCACTGTGTGCCTGGAAAAGGTGCAGACATTCAATGCTAGCCCATGAAATCAGCCAGAAGAGAGGCTATACCCTGCAAAGCTATAGAGGTGGAGTGCCCAAGGCCATGGGAGCCTACCTCTTGCATCAGTGTGACCTGAATGTGAAACAGGGAGTCAAAGGAGATCATTTTGGAGCTTTAAGATTTGACTGCCCCACTGGATTTTGGACTTGCATGGGGCCTGTAGCCCCTTTGTTTTGGCCAATTTCTCCCATTTAGAATGGCTGTATTTACCCAATGCTTGTATCCCCATTGTATCTAGGAAATAACTAACTTGCTTTTGATTTTACAGGCTCATAGGCGGAAGGCCTTGCCTTGGATGAGACTTTGGACTGTGGACTTTTGAGTTGATGCTGTAATGAGTTAAGACTTTGGGGGACTGTTTGGAAGGCATGATTGGTTTTAAAATGTGATGACATGAGATTTGAAAGGGGGCAGGGGCAGAATGACATGGTTTGGCTGTGTCCCCACCCAAATCTCATCTTGGATTCCCACATGTTGTTGGAAGGACCTGCTGGGAGGTAAGTGAATCATGGGGCAGGTCTTTCCCAGGTTGTTCTCATGATACCTGACGGTTTTAAAAAGAGGAGTTCCCCTGTAAGAGCTCTCTCTCGGCCTGCTGCCACTGATATAAGACATGACTTGCTCCTCCTTGCTTTCTGCCATGATTATGAGGCCTCCTCAGTCATGTGGAACTGTAGGTCTATTAAACCTGTTTTTTTTTTTGTTTTGTTTTTGTAAATTGCCCAGTCTCAGGTATGTTTTTATCAGCAGTATGAAAATGGACTAATACACTGGGCAATATAGTGAGACCCTGTCTCTACAAAATTTAAAAAATTTAGCTGGGTGTAGTGGTGCACACCTGTAGTCCCAGTTACTTGGAGGCTGAGGTGGGAGGATCACTTGAAACTGGGAGGCCATGATTGTGCCACTGCACTCCAGCCTGGGCACAGACAGACAGAGAGACAAATGAGAGAGAAAGACAGACACAAAGGAGGACAGATGAACAGATGGAAGGAAGGAAAGAAAGGAAAAGAGGGAGTATCTGCTTGAAAGAGGCTCCACATATGATGAAGCCTCTATAGGAGCAAACCAGGGACAGGGACACTGGATTGATCAACTCCAGGGGATACCCCTACACAGAAAACAATGTGAATAGTCCTTTGGGAAATGTGCAACTTGAGGTGCTGCCAGTGGGTTCTATGTCTGTCTGGATGCATCCATGGAGAAGCAGAAGCATGGGGTGAGAACAGAAAGTATTTTATCCCTATTTTATAAAAGGAAGTTGAGACTTTATTAAGTGACCTGCTCATGTAATCAGAGTGGTGATTTGAACTAAGACATCCTTGTCCCCAGTGTACAGACTAACCAATAGAGCCTGATGACTGGATTAAAGCCCTTGAAATTACTAAATTAGGAATATTCTAGACCAAGGACTTTGGCAATATGGGTTAGTAAGCAGAGAGAACCTCAGCCTGCCATAGGGACCCCTGGGGGTGCTTCCAGTACAATGCATAGTGTCCAAAGGGGCAAAAATATCCAGGCCTGTTTCTGGCAGATGCTTATATTCCAGGAGAACAGGGACAAAAACACAGCACATTATAATGCAAAGTCAGGCCTGGGTTAGACTAGAATCCCAACTGTCCCGTGTTCTAGCTGTGTGACCTTGGGTCAAATCGTTGTTGTTTCAAAGGATTACTGTGACTTTTTAGTGGGAATTTATGTAAAGTCTCAACTTTCACAGAACAGATGCTCAATACATAGCTGCGATTATGTCTTTTTGTGGCCACCAAGGGTTAGGTACTCTTCACCTAAAGCAGGTGCTGACATGAAGACTCAGGTGACTGGATTGTTCTCAACAGGCTCCAGTAAAAGGAAAGCAGTGTTGCATTAAGGAAGAGTTTCTGGGGCTGATAAGAGTTGGGTAGCCCTTCTGAACCCAGCCAAGGATGGGGAGTGGGTAGACGGAGAAGATTTTTAGCCCCGGGGAGTTATAAAAGTGCTAGGCAGGGAAGAAAAAATACTCAATTTCATCATATGAAAAATGGAAATAAAGGTGATAAAGTGATTAAATGAAATAGGCTACTAAGCAAAAGAAAGTAGTCAAATGTTAACTTTCTGTTTCTCCTCAGATCCCAATTCTCAGTTAAAAAAAAAACACTGAATGAATTATTAAGTTTTAATTTTTTACCTGAAGGTTTTACAGATATAATCCAGTTTTAAGAGAGCCACTAAATTAAAACATAACCCATCATGTGACTGAATCTTTTAACATACCAGATTCTCCTCTGAGATAGAAGAAAAGCCAATTGTTTTCAACAGAAGGATCTCACAAATAACCTTAAACCTCTATCACAGATGATATTCTTGCTCTGATAATTAGAACACTAGACATCTAATAAAATAATTCCTTTAAAAAGGCTTAAGAAAATATATAGATGCATATGTGTATATACATATTTCTGTGTGTGTATATATACACTAAAACACACACAGATATATATCTATATATCTATATCTATATATATGAATGAATATATTTCCGGCCAGGCGTAATAGCTCATGCCTGTAATCCCAGCACTTTGGGAGGCCAAGGTGAGTGGATCACTTGAGGTTAGGAGCTTGACACCAGCCTGGACAACAGGGTGAAACCCTGTCTCTATTAAAAATACAAAAATTAGCCAGACATGGTGTTGCCTGTCTATAATCCCAGCTACTCAGGAGGCTGGGGCAGGAGAATTGCTTGAACCTGTGAGGTGGAAGTTGCAGTAAGCCAAGATTGTGCCACTGCATTCCAGCCTGGACGACAGAGCAAGACTGTCTCAAAAAAAAAAAAAAAAAGAAGAAGAAAAGAATATATTTCCTAGCCAGGAGCCGTGGTGCATGCCTGTAGTCCCAGCTACTCGGGAGGCTGAGGTGGGAACGCTGCTTGAGCCCAGGAGTTCGAGGCTGCAGTGAGCTGTGATTATGCCACTATATCCCAGCCTGGGTGACAGGGCTCACAAGACCCTGCCTCTTAAAAAATACAGCTCACTGCAGTCTTGAACTCCTGGGCTCAAGCGATCTTCCTGTCTTAGCCTCCCAAATAGCTTGGATTACAGGCTAGGAAATATATTATTTAATAAGGCCATTGACAAAACACTCAATTATTTGTCACCCTCTAATACTCTCCTCCTTAGGGAGGCCTAAGCTGGTGGTGTATGTGTCGCTAATCTTGGTGATTCCCGTTATAGCATGACTCTGTTACTATCTGGTTGCATGCCTGTCCCCTCCTCTAGGCTATGATGTCTGAGTACTCAGACTCTACTGTTCATCTTTGTAGCCTCATTGGTTATGACAGGAACTTGCATAAAATGAATGCCCCATAAGGTTTGCTGAATGAATAATGTGTGAATGAACAAATGAACCTTGCTACCAAAGAAAGCAAGCTCAGATAATGTAGTTTCCACATTTTCATTGTACTGAAGTCCTATACAGTAAAAGGATTCAGACAATATCTTTTAAATATGTGATTTTTATTTATTTTATTTATTTATTTATTTATTTTTGAGACGAAGTCTCGTTCTGTCGCCCAGGCTGCAGTGCAGTGGCACAATCTCGGCTCACTACAAGCTCCGCCTCCCAGGTTCACGCCATTCTCCTGCCTCAGCCTCCCGAGTAGCTAGGACTACAGTTGCCCGCCACCACGCCCGGCTATTTTTCTGTATTTTTAGTAGAGATGGGGTTTCACCGTGTCAGCCAGGATGGTGTCGATCTCCTAACCTTGTGATCTGCCCACCTCGGCCTCCCAAAGTGCTGGGATTACAGGCAGGAGCCATCATGCCCAGCCTAAATATGTGATTAAGAAAGATATCTCCACTGAGTAATTTTTGCCACATCTCAAGAATATATTTTCTTGATGAGAACACCTCTAATCCCACAAGAAAATAATTCAATTAAAAGCCATTTGGTTTTTGGTTACATTTTCCCCTCATCATACCTATTTCTTAAAAAGCTGAGGTACTTCTTGGACCCATTTCTCACATTGTTAGAGTAGGTAGCTAGGCAGACATGAGCAGGGCAGGAGCCTCTCCTGCCCCCATCTCACCAGGAATGTCAGGCAACCATCAGGTGAGAGTCAGGCGGTTAAACTCTCTAAAATAACAACTGGTTGCAGCTGGTGCTGGGGAAAGACGGTCTCCCAATCGATAGAAAACACCTGAAACTGGTGATCAGCAGCTTTCTGATACCATCTCAGGAGATAGGCAAGTCTCAAGCACGCACACTATGAGGCAAAATGGTCGAGTTTAACTGGTATTTGGCCTTCCTCTAGGAACACTTGGCTGGTAAAAGAATGCCTCAAGTGGGCATGTGTACAGCTTTAGTAAACACACTGTGCATGCAGCCCCTCCTAAGTGCTGGCAGGCCACTGCACATGCAGATAGCCCTCTCCAAGGGAAGAATCAGGAGAGAAGGGACACAACCCCCTGGAAGCATGCCAATATATAAAACTCCAGATCAAAGGTCAAACAGTGCACTGAAATCTCTCAAGTTGCCCGCTTGGCCCTCTTCCAAGTGTTCTTTACTTCCTTTTGTTCCTGCTCTAACACTTTTTAATAAACTTTCACCCCTCTTCTAAAACATGGCTCAGTGTCTCACTCTGCCTTATGCCCTTTGGCCGAATTCTTTCTTCTGAGGAGGCAAGAATTGAGGTTGCTGCAGACCCAGATAGATTTGCCACTGCTAACAACATTTATGAAAGCTTTGAGACTGGTGTGTTTGTGAAGTTTTTCTTCCCCTGCTTTTTTTTTTTTTTTTTTGAGACAGAGTTTCACTGATGTTGCCCAGGCTAGAGTGCAATGGCATGGTCTTGGCTCACTGCAACCTCTGCCTCCCAGGTTCGAGCGATTCTTCTGCCTCAGCCTCCCAAGTAGCTGGGATTACAGGCGCCCACCACCATGCCTGGTTAATTTTTGTATTTGTAGTAGAGATGGGGTTTCGCCATGTTGGCCAGGCTGGTCTTGAACTCCTGATCTTAGGTGATCCACCTGCCTCGACCTCCCAAAGTGTTGGGCTTACAGGCGTGAGTCACCGTGCCCAGTCTGCTTTTTTTTTTGTTTTTTGTTTGTTTTTTGAGACAGGGTCTCCCTCTGTCACCCAGGCTGGAGTGCAGTGGTGCGATCTTGTCTCTGCAACCTCTGCCTCCTGAGTTCAAGCAATTCTCTCACTTCTGCCTCCTGAGTAGCTGGGAATACAGGTGCACGTCACCACAGCCTAATTTTTGTATTTTTAGTAGAGACGGGTTTTCACCATTATTGGTCAGGATGGTCTCGAACTCCAGGCCTCAGGTGATCTGCCTGCCTCAGCCTCCCAAAGTGCTGGGATTACAGGCGTGAAACACTGTGCCCAGCTCCCTGGCCTTTTAATTCGTTTCTTATTCCCCACCCCCAACATTTTTGTTTTTTTTTTTAGGACACAGGGTCTCGTTCTGTCATCCAGGCTGGAGTGCAGTGGTGTGATCACAGCTCACTGCAACCTTGAATTCCTGGCATCAACCAATCCTCCTACCTAAGCTTCCCTAGTAGCTGGGATTACAGGCATGCTACCATGCCCAGCTAATTTTTATTTTTTATCGAAATAAAAATGTTACAGTGAACCATGATTGTGTCACTGCACTCTAGTCTCGCTATGCTGCCCCAGCTGGGGCCCCTTTCCCTCTACCACTTTTTTTTACTGAATATGCATTGCTCTCCATCAGGAATAAAATAAAGGAAAAAAACAAAAACAACCTCCATGAAACCTATAAATGACAAAGATTTGGGGAAAACAGGAAATTCCACTCAGGAAGCAAGAAGATTATACCAAAGAACTTAATAAATAGGGGCTCATTATCCTTCCCCAAGGAAGATAAAAATCACAGAATTCCTAGGTTAGGATATCTAGTTCAGGAATGACTGGCTACATAATTTGCAGAGCCCAGTGTAAAATGAAAACGCAGAACTTCCTGTTAAAAAAACTATTAAGAACTTCAAGATAGTAATAGTGGAGTGTTAAACGAAGTGCAAGACCTTCTAAGGATGGGGCTCTTTGTGACTCCACAGTTCACATGTCCACGAACCTGGTCTTACATCTAGGGGCTCCCTAACCTGGCTGGTCCTCAGAATCACCTGAGGAACTTTTTTTTAAAGAATGAGACATAATTTACACGCCATAAATTTCAGCATTTTAAAGTGTAAAATACAGTGGTTTTTAGTATACTCATGAAAGTGTACAAATATCATCACTATCTAATTCCAGAACATTTTTACCACTCCAAGAAGAAACCCCATACTCATAAGCAGTCGCTTCTCACACTGTCACTCTCAGTCACCACCAATGTACTTTCTGTCTCTGTGGATTTGCCTGCTCTGAGCCTTCATACAAACGGAATCATAAAAAGATGGTCCTCTCTGTCTTCTTTCACTTAACATGTTTTCAGTACTTCATACCATTTTATGGCTTAGTAATATATATGTATATACCATATTTGATTTATTGATGGATATTTGGGTTGTTTCCACTTTTTGGCTATTATGAATAATACTGCTGTGAACATTCTTGTACAAGTGTTTGTGTAAACATGTTTTGGGAATATGCCTGCGAGTAGAATTCCTGGGTCAATTCTACTGCCCCAGAAAAAACTCTGCTCTTCAACCATCCCAGAGAGTTTGAGATGAGCCTAAACAAATGTTAAGGAGCATTTCTACAATTTAACACTCATTTCAAAAAGGTGAGCTACTCTTTTGTGAAGATTATAAAAACCCAAACATAAATCACTGTTTCCTCCTTTTATCTGTCCCCTCCCAAGTAAACATAAATGAACACTGAATCGTCAATAATCATCACAAAGAACCCGCACAAACAAGGGTCAAGTGTGACTGTGCAGGATGGCCTGAAATGGGCTAGGACAGACAGAGATGAAGGAGAGAAGGGACCAAGGTGAGACCTTCCCTATGGGATGGGTGACAGATAATGGGACACAGAGTGCTGGACAGCACAGGGAAGAGAGAAAACAGGAGGGATGAGGAACGGCAGTGGTGTTGAGGCACCTAAGGAAACACCACAAATACCTTTAGCTTTATCACAACCCCAACACTTTTTTTTGGTTTCCAGTTAGAGCATAATTAGGGCCAGGTGTCCCTCTAATATTTGGCCAACCCCTTCACACTCTTTACCCTTTATCTATGAACGCTCTTCCAACAGGAAACCTTAGCTAGAGCCTGCTCTCAATGCTCCAGGAATCCAAGGGCCTCACCTCAACCCCCTATGAGAAAGATCTGTGTGCGTTCTCATACCTGTGCTCTCCTCAGCCTGATTGAAGCCACAGATCTGGCAGATGCTCTGGACCCACTTATTCATGTCCTCTTCTGTCTCAGCCACCAGGTAAAAGGTGCGTTCACTGGTCTTGATGTCAAACACAAAACTATCCTGCAGCTCCTTCTTGTTAAAGGTCAGGCCTGCATCTACCTGCTCACAGAAGTTCAGGTTGATGATCCGCAGAGGCTTCTTGGAGTGATCGTTCTTGTAGTATTCCAGAACATCTGGGTCACCGCTCATCCGGCCACTCCGCAGGATAAACCAGCGTTTCTTCCAGGCCTAAATCATATCAGGAAGGAGTAAGAAGAGGGGGAAGAAGTCATTAGTTATTTCAAAGCTTTTTTCTTTCAGAGACAGGTCTTGCCCTGTTGCCCAGGCTGGAGTGCAGTGGCACAATCAAAGCTCACTGCAATCTTGAACTCCTGGGCTCAAGCGATCCTCCCACCTCAGCCTCCTGGGTGGCTGGGACTACAGACGCACATCACCACGCCCAGCTAATTAAAACATTTTTTTGTAGAGACAAGGTCTTGCTATGTTGCCTAGGCTGGTCTCAAGAGATCCTCCCAACTCAGCCTCCTAAAGCACTGGGATTATAAGTATGAGCCACTGTGCCTGACCTTAATGCATTTTTTTTTTTTTTGAGATGGAGTTTCACTCTTGTTACCCAGGCTGGAGTGCAATGGCATGATCTTGGCTCACTGCAACCTCCGCCTCCAGGGTTCAAGCGATTCTCCTGCCTCAGCCTCCTGAGTAGCTAGGATTACAGGCATGTGCCACCACGCCTGGCTAATTTTGTGTTTTTAGTAGAGACAGGGTTTCTCCACATTGGTCAGGCGGGTCTCGAACTCCCAACCTCAGGTGATCCACCTGCCTCGGCCTCCCAAAAGTGCTGGGATTACAGGCATGAGCCACCATGCCCAGACGACCTTAAAGCTTTTAATAGGTCCTCAGATATCATAGGTTAAAGACGGGGACTGTGGGACCTGCAGGTGCCACATGACCTGTCCCCTTTTCAGATTTCCCAAGTTTCAAAAATGGAGGATTACTTTGGAATGCATGTTTGTGCAGCATCTCACTATGTAAACAGGGTCTTATCACTATAAAGTAAGATGTGGCATTCCCACTGTCTAGATCAGGAAGTTAGATGATGACACTTTAGAGCAACTATTTCTTTAGGCTAGAATACAGATCCAAACTCACAGCATTTTTAGGCAAGGGAGAACTTGCAAAGCCATAATCAGTTTATCCATGGGGACCCCCACTAAGGCAGGGTGAGTTGAAGTAACAATGTTACACACAGTAAGTAGCAGAAAAACAAGTTTTCTAACTTTTTAGTACAACCTGCTTTTAACCAAAACATGATGCCTTAGAAGAATCACAGAGAAACTGCTCTAAAAACATGTAACCTCAGGATTATATTTCCTGTCTTGTTCATTGATGTTTCCTTAGTCCTTATGATAATGCCTTGTACCTTACTAAGCTTTCAATATGTATTACTGAATGAGTAAACTCCTTATACCATTCCAT
Source organism: Homo sapiens (assembly GCF_000001405.40). NCBI lineage: Eukaryota > Metazoa > Chordata > Mammalia > Primates > Hominidae > Homo > Homo sapiens. Next base: position 78,282,150 of record NC_000011.10, read on the forward strand.
ACCACAGAATTGAACACGTGATTACATATTCTCTCAAGTTGTCTTCCATATTCCATCTCTTCAACAAGACTGAGTAATCTGTAAGCAGACATTGCACAAAGACTACATATAACAGAAATCTGCGTTCAGTCTATGCTTTACCATTGACTGGCTGTGTGAATTTTTTTTTTTTTTTGAGACGGAGTTTCGCTCTGTCACCCAGGCTGGAGTGCAGTGGCATGATCTTGGCTCATTGCAACCTCTGCCTCCTGGGTTCAAGCGGATTTATCCTGCCTCAGCCTACGGAGTAGCTGGGATTACAGATGCCCACCACCACACCCGGCTAATTTTTGTATTTTTAGTAGAGACAGGGCTTCACCATGTTGGCCAGGCTAGTCTCAAACTCCTGACCTCAGGTGATCCACCTGCCTCAGCCTCCCAAAGTGCTGGGATTACAAGTGTGAGCCACTGTGTACGCCCGGCACTGTGTGATTTTTGATTAAGTCATTTACCTCTTTGAATCCTGCCTCATCTATATGAAAATCACTACCACCACCACCATTTTCCCTACCTACCCCATAGGGTTATTATGTGAGCCCAAAGCACTTTGTATACACCCTGAAGCACTACAAATGTCAAGGATTTGATTATCACAATTCTTTAGACCCCATGGGATCTACACTCCATTAATTCTACCATCTTTTCACTCTCACCTTTCATCCCTGTCCTCTTTTCTTTCCTTATCCAACTCTATTTCTGCGATCCATTATCATAATTATTCCCTTGCTTCTTTCTCCATTCCTCTTATTTACCCAGCAAACCCCAGCTAAGTCTAATGCTCTGCCAACTCTACCTGTTCCCACTTGGCTGTACATACATGGAGAAAATCATATGACCATGCTGACTGGTCTCACTTTTACTTCAAGTGGCCCCTCATGTTGCCCAACAATCCTACTATATTTACCTAGTCAATGACTTTCTCCTGTTCTTTGGCAACAATCTCTTGGCCTCTCTCTTTAAACCTCCAATGCCTCCACTCTTTTATATCTTATTTCATGAGAAAACACAAACAATCAAAAGAAAATTTACACATGTTCCATGACTACATTTACCATCCTGCCTGCACCTGTAGCTGTGAGCTCTGTTACTAGGGAGCATAGACAGTCCACCCAATGAAGGCCAACCTTTTTCCATTTGTGCACAAAGACATCACTTCAACAATTCTCCCCTTCTTCAGAATCGTTGCATTTTTCCTCCTGACTAGGATGATTCCCATCAAGACATCAACGTTTCCTATCTCAGAAGAAAAAATTAAAAGTTTGACTTGATCCCACAATTCTTCACCAACTATGGCCCAGTTTTTCTACTTCTCTTTATAGTGATACTTCAAAGAGTATTATATACTACTAATCTTTGTTTCCTCCCCTCCTATTCGAAGGCACTATAATCAGGCTATCCCCCATCCCCCCACCACCCCAACTGCACCACTGAAATAGCTCATCAAAGGTGTCAAAGACTTCAGTGCTGATAAATCAACTCATGGGCCTTAACTTGATCTCTCTTGATCTCTCTCCAACATCTGACAACAGTTTATTATTCCATCCTCTTTGAAACACTTTCTTCACCTGGCTTCAGCATGCACTCTCAACTCTCCTTCTATCTACCGGGCCTCTCTTTTTCAGTCTCCAGTGCTGGCTCCTCTTCACCTCCCTGACATCCGAACATTAGAATGCCCCAATGCTCAGTTCTGAGATTCTTTTTTTTTTTTCTACACCCACTCTCTAGGTCATTTTATTCAGTTTCACAGCTTTAAAAAACCATCGAATTGCTGTGATTCCCAAATTTATATCTCTAGCCCTAGAGTTGTATATCCAACTCCTCACTAGTAGGTATCTCAACATTAATGTGTTCAAAACTGAGGTCCTGATATCTCCCAGATCTGTTCTTCCTGCACTCTCTCCCATCTCATTTACCAGCACCTTCAGCCTTCCAGTTGTCAGACCAAAAATCTATGTATCATAGCTGACTCCTTTCATACTCTACATCTAACCCAAAAGCAAATCCTGTCAGTTCAGACAGTTCAGAATATATCAACAATGAGCTTGCTTCTCCTCACCTCCACTGTTGCTCACCTGGTCTAGTCCACCATTTTGTAGTCTTCCTGCTTCCACCCTTTCATCCTGCAGTCTATCCTCAACCGCAAAGTAAGAAAGCAGGAAGTAAATCAGAAGATGCCACTTCTCCGCTCACCATCTGCAATGGCTGTTCATCTCACTCAGAGTAAAGCCAAAGTCCCCACAATGGCCTACAGGCCTGATGGGACTGAGCCTCATCCCACCCCTCACCTCAGCTCCTGCTGCCCTCTGCCTTGCCTATTCTGCTCTGGCCACGTGGCCTTACACAGTGCCAGGCGTGCTCCTGCCTCACGGTCTTTAGTCTAGTTGTTTCCTGGCCCTGGAACACTCCTCCCCCAGATATTTCCATTGCTTAATCTTTTTTTCTAGTCCTTATTCAAATGTCACATTACTGGACAGGCTATTCCTGGTCCCCGATGCTCCCACTCTCTTTCCCCCCTTACCCTGCTTTACTGGTCTCACAAAGCATGTATACCCCCAAAAGATATCAATTTTTATGACTTTTCCGCACCCACCTCCCAGAAAGTAAACTCCTCCAGGACAAGGATTGGTTCTTTTTATTCCATGATGCATCCTTGGTGTTTAGAATATTGCCTGGCACATAGCTAGTAATCAATATATATATAATTAATGAATCATTTTCTTGCATGAAATCCTTCTATTATCTAGCAGGTCAAAGGAGACATAACTGGTGCCCAATAAGCCTTAGACTGAAATGAAAATTGAGGTATAGCCAGATAGGATGGAGCTGAGAAAAATAAAAATAAGTACTATTTATTTATAGTAATTTAAAATCTTAACCCGGTCACTGCTTTCAGAATTATGCATGTACTTCTGTGTGCTGCAGGTTCACACATAGACACATAGTGTGTGGGCACCAAGGTGCATTTTAAAAAGATCTGTTTCTAGTTCAGCTGGCATTTCAGTTGATGTGTCCCCGTTAGTCTTGTCTCTGTGGAAAGAGCTGTCCCCAAATCTCTGGTATGCAGGTGCAAGCACAAAAAACACAGACACCCTCATGAACAAGAAAACCATGTTTGCTACAGATAATATCAGAGCCTGTCAGGTTTTGCTTCCAAGTAAGTGGTGTAGGCTGATAAATGGCTGCCTACAAAATACTGATATATTTATGACAGAGTCAGCAAGGCTGTCTAGTCTAGTCCCAAATTCACACATCCCTCTTCCACCACAACACCTTCTCTCCACTTCCAGGTTTTATTTATTTATATATATTTTTAGAGTACCCAGGCTGGTGTGCAGTGGCATCATCTCGTTCACTGCAACTTCCACCTCCCAGGTTCAGGCGATTCTCCCGCCTCCGCCTCTCTTCAGTAAATGGGATTACAGGCGTGTGCCACTATGCCCAGCTAATTTTGTATTTTTAGTAGAGACGGGGTTTCACCATGTTGGTCAGGCTGGTATTGAACTCCTAACCTTAATTGATCCACCCACCTCAGCCTCCCAAAGTGCTGGGATTACAGGCGTGAGCCACGGCATGGGGCCCCATGTGTTTTTAAAAAGCCAAACAATTCAGAACCAAGTACAAACAACTCTAAGTGTCTGGCCTCAGTGACAACTTCCCTGATCCATTCATCTGAAGTGGACCTCTATTTCCTCGGAACCTTCATAATGCTTTTTATGTTCTTTTCAAGGCATGTCAGTTTTTACAACAATCATGAGTGTTTTTGTACTTGTCTCTTCCCAACTAGGACATGAACAAAATTCTTTATTGCCAAAGCTTTCTTACCGCTCTCACCTCAATTATGTTTCCTTCCTCCATCGCTCTTTCCCTCCTTTGTTTCCTTACATCCAACAAATATTTATTCAGTGCTTACTATGCTCTAGGTATTATTCTAATGCTGAGGATACAGCATGAATTCCTCGTCTCACAGAATTTACAGGAGCACTAAAAATTACCTATTATTCTCCAAATAGTAAGTCATGTAATTTCATGACTTTATGTCTTTGCACAAGCTATGGCTTCTGCCTAGAAAGGCTTTCACCTTACCTCATCCATCTGGAGAATTTCTATGTTCTCTCAGTGCCAGCACAAATGTCACTTCTCCTGGAAGGCCTTTATTGACTCCCCCAGGTAGAGCTGGAGGTGCTTCTGCTTGTTTTCCCTTACTAACCTGTGCTTACCCCACGCTGGCATTTCTTTCCCCGGGTTTGACATTTCTACTCCCTGCTTTGGCATTTCTAATGCTTATATGTCTTTCTCCCCTTTAAGTTCTGAGCATCCTGAGATTAAGGTCCAATGTGGCCAAAAACTACATGGCAGAGTGCTTAACACATATAGGAGCTCAGGGAAGATCTGTTGATTTTTTTTCATTCCATGAATATGTTAATTTGTTCAAATTAATAAAACTTATACGTAAGCTTTCACAGTAGGAAGTAGAAAAGAAGGACAGCAAGAGGATTACAGAAAAAAGAATAAGATAAAGATGTGTAATAGATTCTCTATGGTGTGAGTTATTTGGCACCTTGTTCCCTTCATTCTGATAAGTGCAGTATCCATGTAATAAATATTTATAAGGGGGGTCTGGGAGCTTCACCTGAAAAGTAACCCATGATACAAAAATGAAAAATTGCTGTTGGATTACTGACACATAATGCAAGGAGAATACGGGACATGAGTCCTGAATATGCTATTAAAGAGAAAGCTTTTTCAGGACTGTTCTAACGTCTATATAAAATCTCATACAAAAATTAACTCAAAATGGATTATGGACTTACACATAAAATACAAATAGAATTCAGCAATCTATAAAAACACATGACCAAATGGAATTTATTCCAAGGAGGTAAGGCTGATTCCATATTTGAAATCCGTCATCTACCATATTAATAGGCTGAAGAAAAACTGCATGATCATATCTTTCAATGCAAAAAATATTTGATAAAATTAAACACTCATTCTTGATAAAAACTCTCAGAAAAACAGGAACAGAGGGGAGCTTCTTCAACTTGAAAAAGAGCAGCAACAAAAGACCACTATCAAATGTTATACTTAGTTTTTTTTGGTTGTTTGCTGAGGCAGGGTCTCACTCTGTCACTCAGGTTGGAATGCAGAGGCATGAACATGGCTCACTGCAGCCTCAACCTCCTGGCTCAAGTGAATCTCCCACCTCAGCCTCCTGAGTGGCTGAGATCACAGGTGCATGCCACTATGCCTGGCTAATTTCTAAATTTTTGTAGAGATGGGGGTCTCACTATTTTTCCCAGGCTGTTCTTAAACTCCTGGGCTCAAGTAATCTTCCTGCCTTGGCCTCCCAAAATGCTGTGATTACAAGTGTGAACCAGCAAACCTGGCCTATACTTAGATTTGAGAGACTGAATCCTCTTTCCTAAGATCAGGAATAAGGCAAGGACATTTGCTCTTATCATTTTTTTTTTTTTTTTTGAGACAGAGTCTTACTCTGTTGCTCAGGGTGGAGTGCAGTGGCACAATCTTGGCTCACTGCAAGCTCCGCTTCCTGGGTTCAAGTGATTCTTGTGCCTCAGCCTCCCAAGTAGCTGGGATTACAGGTGTGCACTGCCACACTGGCTAATTTTTGTATTTTTATTAGAGATGGGGTTTCACCACGTTGGCCAGGCTGGTCTTGAACTCTTGGCCTCAAGTGATCCACCTGCCTTGGCCTCCCAAAGTGCTGGGATTACAGGTGTGAGCCAGCGTGCCCAGCCACTGTTATCACTCTTATTCAACATATTGCTGGAAGTTCTTGTCAAGGTGATAAAGCAAAAAACATATATAAAAGGTATACTGATTGGAAAGGAAGAAAAAAAAATGGTCCCTGTTTGCAGAGGACATGATTATCTATATAGAAAAATCGTGGCTGGGCACAGTGGCTCATGCCTGTAATCCTAGTACTTTAGGAGGCCGAGGCATGTGGATTGCTTGAGGTCAGGAGTTCAAGACCAGCCTGGCCAACATGGTGAAATCCCATCTCTACTAAAATACAAAAATTAGCTAGGCATGGTGGTGGGTACCTGTAATCCAAGCTACTAGGGAGGGTGAGGCAGGAAAATTGCTTGAGCCCAGGAGGTAGAGGTTTCAGTGAGCTGAGATGGTGCCACTGCACTCCAGCCTGGGCAACAGAGTGAGACTCCATCTCAAAGAAAAAAAAAAAAAAAAGAAGAAGAAGAAGAAGAAAGAAAAAGAAAAAACACAAAAAATCTACAACAAAACCCAACAAAACTCTCAGGACGAATAAGTGAGTTCAGCAAGGTCACAGGATACAAGATAATCATACAGAAATCAATTTACTTCTAACTAGCGATGAATATGCAGGCATATAAAATAAAAATACAATGCCATTTATAATTGTTCTTAAAAATTGAAAAGGTATAAATCTAAAAAAATCGCTGTGCAGGGCATGTATGCTAAAAGCTATACAAAGCTAATGAAAGAAATCAAAGGAGACTTAAATAAATGAAGAGACATACCATATTCATGGATTGGACAACTCGACTTGGTGCATCTCCCCAAACTGACGTACAGATTTAACACAATTCCCATCAAAATCCCACAAGAATGTCTGTAGATGTACGTAAGATTGTTCTAAAATGTATATGAAAAGGCAAAGGAAGCACAATAGCTAAAATAATTCTGAAAAATAAAATGGGAAGAATCAGTCTGCCAGATTTTAAGACTTATTATATAGCTACAACAATCAAGACTGTGTAGCACTGGCGAAGAGACAGACACAGAAAAGTGGAATAGATCAATTCTTGGCCGTTTGGCTAAGATCAAGTGAAGAACAATGGATTAGAACAGAAAACCCAGAAACAGACCCTCACAATATGCCCAACTGATTTTTCACAAACGTGTAAAAGCAATTCAATCAAGAAAACAGCTAGTTGTCATGGTTCGTGCCTGTAATCCCAGCACTTTGGGGGGCCAAGGTAGGTGGATCACTTGAGGCCAGGAGTTCGAGATTGGCCTGGCCAACATGGCAAAACCCTGTCTCTACTAAAAATTTTAATATAAAAAAGAAAAGAAAAGGCCTTTTCAAGAAATGGTGCCAAAGCAATCAAGCATCCATAGGGGAGTAAAGACCTTAATCTAAGTCTCACATCTTATACAAAAACTAACTCAGAATGAATCATGGACTTAAACGTAAAATGTAAAACTATAAAACGTTTAGAAAAAAAGGTGAAAATCTTTGGGATCTAAGGTACATTTCATGAGAAATCAACAAGCTCCTTGTATAGAATTCAGTAAAAACAAACACAAAATGTGTTGAATGCTTTGACAGATAAAGAGGCAAGGCCCAAAAATACTCCTTTGAAGTAACTTACAATATTTACAAAGTTTCAGGAAGTTAAGACATTAATATATATCCCTAAAACTAGAAGATTTTTTTGTAAGCACCATAAAAAAAGACATAATACGCTAGTAGACCACTGAAGCAGGGAATCAAACTTTCAGGGTTAAGAGAGAGAAACAGCATGAGAGAAAGCAAACATGCACGAGAGAGAAGGAGCAATGAACACAAACAATGAGGAAGGTAGGGTTTGATATGCGGTTTTGGAAAGGAAGAACAGGACCTTTTTTTTTTTTTTTTTTTTTTTTTTAAATACAACATACAGTATGACCAATGACCAAGGCCTGGGCATGGGAACAGATAAAATAGGTTCAGAGAATATGGCACAGTCTTCTCAATATGGAAAAGAGGGAGGAAAGGAAGAGTTTGGAGGTCCTGAAAAGCCTTGAATGCCACCCTAAGAAGTTTCATCTTTCCTTTATTTGTAACGGGGAGCCATTGAAGAGTATAGATCAGCAGAGAAATGTTAACCAATGCTGTGCTCTCATCTGGCAAAGTGCGGGAGACAAACCAGAAAAATAAAAAATAAGAGACAAGAAAACAATTAAGAAGCTGTTGCGATAGTCTGCAATGGTGAGAGAAGATGGCAATCTAAATTAGGGTAGTAATAACGGAGACAAAAGACAATGAAAGTCACTTTACTTAACAGTGGGGCTTAAAGAAGTATATGGATAGGGTCTACTGTCAAGAAAGTTGGAAAAAAGAATTTGTGTCTAGGATCAAGGGTATGCCACTCCCATCTCTGATGAAATAGAAGTGACTGTTTTCCTTCTGTCAGAAAACAAACCATTTCACAACCATCAAGACCACAAAGTGTGGGTACATATGACCTGGAAGTTGCATCACTCCTAGCTGTTGAACAGACAGTACATGTCACATGAACCTGTCTCTATCCTTTGGGTTAGATCTCAAGGTCTTCAAGCATGTAGAATGAGGCTATAACTTCCTCTTATTGCTCTTGGCGCCCAGAAAACCTAGGTGGGCCACAATTTAGCTGTGCAAGAGTGTTATGCTCCCTTCTGGTGACAATGAAGGCCCGTGAAAGTTTATCACACCAGGATTCTGCAAGATTCTGCCTGGAGTCATGATCATAGTGTTGTTCTAAGATATAAAGGGCCGCCAATATGTGGAAGAGCGATTTGATTTATTTTTAGTTACTCAACATACTCAAGTTGAACAAGTACCAGCAGGAGCAGTCTACGGAAAACCAAATTTTATTTTTTTTAGAACGTAAGAACTTTCTAAATGAGTGGTCCAAAGCAGGTCTCTTGGAAACTGGAGAATACTCAACACTGGAGATTTTGAAGAAAGAGGCAAGGTGAGGGATCAGCAAACTTTGTTAAGGATGTTAGCAAATATTTTGGGTTTTACAGGTCATATTTTCTCTGTCATAACTACTCAGTTCTATAGTGGCATGACAGCAACCATACACAATTCATAAGCAAACAGGCATGGCTGTGTTCCAATAAAACTGCTTAGAAAAAGAAGTGGTGGCAGGATTTGTTTGTTGACTCCTGGCCTAAACAAAGGGTGGGAAGGTTGGGGAGTGTGACAGAAGAAGGGCTCAAAGAGTAGATCAAGGCTGGGCGTGGTGGCTCACGTCTGTAATCCCAGCATTTTGAGAGGCCGAGGCAGGCAGATCACGAGGTCAGGAGATTGAGACCATCCTGGCTAATACGGTGAAACCGTCTCTACTAAAACGACAAAAAAAAAAAAAAAAAAAAAATTAGCCAGGCGTGGTGGCGAGCACCTGTAGTCCCAGCTACTCGGGAGGCTGAGGCAGAAGAATGGCTTGAACCTGGGAGGCAGAGCTTACGGTGAGCGGAGATCGCACCACTGCACTCCAGCCTGGGCAACAGAGCAAGACTCTGTCTCTGTCTCAAAAAAAAAAAAGAGTAGATCAATAGATGGACAAGAGACTACCTAAGGTCTATTCTCCCCTATCTTGAGAGACTTACTTTTTTCTTTTTCTTTTTTTTTTTTTTTTTTTTTTTTTTTTGCGACAGGGTCTCCCTCTGTTGCCCAGACGGGAGTGCAGTGGCGCAAACATGGCTCACTGTAGCCCCGACCTCCTAGGCTCAAGCGATCCTCCTACCTCAGCCTCCCATTTAGCTGTGATCACAGGATGCGCCATCATACCCAGTTAATTTTTTTTTTTAGAGATGGAGTCTCACTATGCTGGCTAGGCTAATGTCAAATTCATAGGCTCAAGTAATTCTCCCACCTCAGCATCCCAAAGTGCTGGAATTACAGATGAGCCACTGTACCCAGCCCCTTATGTATTTTTTAACTAAGAAAACATGATATGGTAACACCTCATTTAATCAGATTACTCAGATTCTTAGAACAGAGGGATGTGTTCTTCTGAATAACCACATCTCCACCTGGGAGCTTCACTAAGAGGTGTGTAGGGGTGTGTGTGTGTGTGTGTGTGTGTGTGAGAGAGAGAGAGTCAGTCTTTGTTATTGGTGAATTTTTAAAAAATAAGGCAAAGAGCTTTTTGAAGATACAACTGTTATGTTCTTCATATACCCGCCTAACAGGTTTAAATTATAGGTATCACCCAGTAACCTCAGTTAGATTCAGATTAACCATAAACCTCACTTCATAGGATTCTCTAGGTTTACTGGCAGTTTTTGGTTTTACCCTCTTCAGAAAGCGGGAAGTTAAAAGGACACGCCTATTCCAGGAGTTTCGCAAAAGCCTCTTCCAAGTAATGTCTTGCCCCTTCTACAACCTTAGCCACAAGGCACGTGAGATTTGGTATCAGAAAAGATGATTTGAGACCTTGAGAAGTCCTTAGTCATCAAAGAAGAGTTCTGTTATCTTTGGTATACCAAAGTCAGGGCAGAAGATAGAAGATTCTGGAGGTTTAGAAATATTTTCAACTGTCAACTCTCAGGTGGTGATGTGGTTGAGTTCTAGCTCAAACAAACACAAAGACACAGGGGAATCTGATCTCACTTCTGAACATATGATGTACAAGTCTATCCTAATATATTTCAACACGAAGCTACTATGCCAGTCTCGTGTCCCATAATAGTTAACAGCAAACATTACAAGAGTACAGTGGGAGTCATGTAACAGTTACACATTTTTGAAGGCACACTTCCTGAGCGAGGAAAGGCTTTTTGCTATCCTTCCTCTAGCAATCCTTCGACTACTCTGGACCATAGAGACTTTATACTCTCTGAGGAAATTTTTAAAAGTGTATTTGCTGAGCTCTTGCTACCTGCCATGTGCTTTCTACTCATTATCACATTTAATCCTTTAACAAATGCTGCAAGGTAAATAGGATCCTCTTAACAGGTGAGGAAAAAGAAGTTCATAGAGATTAAACAACTTACAGAGACCACAGCCCAAGATCTTCTTATTCTGTGGGTCCAGACCCACAAAGAACTTGAGGTGAAGCTACTGCAGATGAATTGCTCACTACACTTTGAGAAACACTGGCCACAGAGTTTATGAATTCAAGTTTATAGTTAATTGGTGATGGCAGATGGCAATAATGCAACTAGAATCTAGGCCTCAGCTCCTAGTCCAAAGTTATTTCCACTCCTCAAATGCAGATCCCCTAGAAGAGAGCAGCATAGTTAACTGTATTTGTTCTGGACTCATTCATCTGAGAAAGGGCAGATAAGTACAGTTTCCCTCGGACTCTAAAGGAACTTATTTGCTCCTCGGGCACAGAATGAATTTTTTCTTACCCCAAGACTATGACATTCTGAGGTCAGGGGCTTTTGTATCTCCAGCATTTATTTAGCACAGGACTTGATACTTCCAAAGCACTATATAACTGTTCAATGAAAGTTATACCAAAGGAACAAAATAATGTTTATTTGCTTCTGTTTTGGGGGAAAAAAACCTCTCAGTCAGATGATCTGTTAATTTAACACAATCTCTATTCCAGGTAAGATGGTACACAGACACCATAAACACAAAAGATCACCTAGAATCCTTTATATAAAGCTGACTCCAACTATAGGCTTCAAGGAGTAGATCATGGTAATCTAGATTAAGCCAATTTGCACCATTTCATCCTACATGCCACTGTGATCAGTTTAGCGACAAGCGTTATGTTCCAAGCCAGCTCAGAGTCATTAAGATTCAACTCCAGGACCTTTGTTTTGTGTTACTCAAACTGGCTGTGTCACTGGACAAAGGGTTGTCACAATATTTCCCTGAAGTTGCAGGAACCACTATTTGTCGCCTAAGAACAGCCAACCGAGAGAGAGCAAGAGAAAAAGAGTACGTGTGAGAGTGAGGGAGAGCGAGAGCATGCAAGCAGGTTAAAAGATGGATATTGATGAAATATGAGTCTTTTTTTATTTTTATTTTTATTATACTTTAAGTTTTAGGGTACATGTGCACAACGTGCAGGTTAGTTACATATGTATACATGTGCCATGTTGGTGTGCTGCACCCAGTAACTCCTCATTTAGCATTAGGTATCTCTCCTAATGCTATCCCCTCCCCGCTCCCTCCACCCCACAACAGGCCCTGGTGTGTGATGTTCCCCTTTTTGTGTCCATGTGTTCTCATTGTTCAATTCCCATCTATGAGTGAGAACATGCGGTGTTTGGTTTTTTGTCCTTGCGATAGTTTGCTGAGAATGATGGTTTCCAGCTTCATCCATGTCCCTACAAAGGACATGAACTCATTTTTTATGGCTGCATAGTATTCCATGGTGTATATGTGCCACATTTTCTTAATCCAGTCTATCGTTGTTGGACATTTGGGTTGGTTCCAAGTCTTTACTATTGTGAATAGTGCTGCAATAAACATACAGGTGCATGTGTCTTTATAGTAGCATGATTTATAATCCTTTGGGTATATACCCAGTAATGGGATTGCTGGGTCAAATGGCATTTCTAGTTCAAGATCCCTGAGGAATCGCCACGCTGACTTCTACAATGGCTGAACTAGTTTACAGTCCCACCAACAGTGTAAAAGTGTTCCCATTTCTCCACATCCTCTCCAGCACCTGTTGTTTCCTGATTTTTTAATGATCGCCATTTGACAAACCTGACAAAAACAAGAAATGGGGAAACGATTCCCTATTTAATAAATGGTGCTGGGGAAACTGGCTAGCCATATGTAGAAAGCTGAAACTGGATCCCTTCCTTACACCTTATACAAAAATTAATTCAAGATGGATTAAAGACTTAAATGTTAGACCTAAAACCATAAAAACCCCAGAAGAAAACCTAGGCAATACCATTCAGGACATAGGCATGGGCAAGGACTTCATGTCTAAAACACCAAAAGCAATGGCAACAAAAGCCAAAATTGACAAATGGGATCTAATTAAACTAAAGAGCTTCTGTACAGCAAAAGAGACTACCATCAGAGTGAACAGGCAACCTACAGAATGGGAGAAAATTTTTGCAATCTACTCATCTGACAAAGGGCTGATATCCAGAATCTACAATGAACTCAAACAAATTTACAAGAAAAAAACAACCCCATCAAAAAGTTGACGAAGAATATGAACAGACATTTCTCAAAAGAAGACATTTATGCAGCCAAAAGACACATGAAAAAATGCTCATCATCACTGGCCATCAGAGAAATGCAAATCAAAACCACCATGAGATACCATCTCACACCAGTTAGAATGGCGAAATGTGAGTCTTAACCTGAGGCTGAGGCCAGATTTAGATTTTCCCCTTAGACTTTCCGGGTCAATAAACTCTTTCCTCATTTAAGGTAACTTAGGTCACTGATCAATACAGGCTGTAACCATATGTCCGAACCAGTTTGCTACCACCGGAGTAACTCAGGGGTCCTTTACAAGAGCCCTGATCATATTCATTATTCAATCCACTTTCTTTTTCCTTCACTTTCAATGTCTTTTCCATTAGCACTTACTCACACCTACACAAACTCTCCCTTCCTCATTCCAATCATTCAATCAACATTTATGAAATCCAGTAATGCCAGGTCCTTCAGGATCTCATGACTTATGGAAAGGGCAGACAAGTACAGTACATAGGTAACTCAGTACATGGTCAGTGCTCTTATAATGGTATGAACAGAGGTTCTCAGCACAGTTCATGTAGGTGTTCTCAGCACCCACATGAACAGTGGATGCTTGACGGAGAGGACTACTCTGCTTGCCTCGAGGAGTCACAGAAGTTTTACAGGACAGGTGGCACTTGGATTGGGTATTGAAGGATGTGAAGAGTTTTGCTGGGTGAAGAAAAACTGCTGGAGGGAGAACTTTCAGGAAAAGAGAGTAAGATGAGTATAGGTGACTCTTGTTATTTCTGGTAGTTATGGTCTGTAAAGTCAGCACAAACACTGTATTAGTTAATATTGAATCATTCCTCTGGGGCAGCGATCCCCAACCTTTTTGGCACCAACGGCTGGTTTTGTGGAAGATAATTTTTCCATGGAAAGGGGTAGGGACGGTTTTGGGATGAAACTGTTCCACTTCAGATCATCAGGCATTAGATTCTAATAAGGAGTATGCAACCTAGGTCCCTTGCATGTGCAGTTCACAATAGAGTTTACTCTTCTATGAGAATCTGATGTCACCGCTGATCTGATGGGAGGTGGAGCTTAGACAGTAATGCTCACTCACCAGCTGCTCACCTCCTGCTGTGAGGCCCAGTTCCTAACAGGCCAGACTGGTAAGGGTCCTCGGCCCAGGGGGCTGGGGACCCCTGCTCTAGGGGAAAAATACCAGATTAGGTTCCTCTTAGCCTCTGGTCACATTTTTATCAATCGGTCAATACATAACCTCGTTTTATATGTGTTTCTGTTTAAAGACACCTTATTTAATATTTGTTGATTCAGTAAGACTGAACTCATGGCTAACAGCACTTCAACTCTGCCTGAACAAAGCTTATCTAATACATGTATTTTCTCAGTAAGGCACATTACAGCCTTCTTGTGTTTAGAAACACTAGACAGAACTTCAGCACTATGCTTGGGGATCTTTTTAAACAGTGAAATCACCAACAAAAAGCACAAAAATGCAAAAAACATGGTACCCGATATATGACAAAGAAGACACTTGTTTACAGGATGAGAGGTGAAATAAGTACACAAAACACTGCCTTGTGCCACCTCAGCTGGGAATGTGCACGTCAGGAGACTCAGATGTTTTCACTGCCCTGTCCATGTGAATGTCTGAGATTAACAGCCAAAGCATGCTGTTTGGTCTGTTCAGGCTGGTAAAACAAAATACCTCAGACTGTTATTTATAAACATGAAATTTACAGTCCACAGTGCTGGAGGCTGGAAAGTCCAGGATCAAGGCACCAGCAGATTTGGTGCCTGGTGAGGGCCCTGTTTCTAACAGATGGTGGAGGGGACAACGGAAGCCCTCAAGCTGCTTTTGTAAGGGCAAAAATCCCCTTCACGAGGGCTCTGCCCTCACAGCCCACCTAATCACCTCCCAAAGGCCCCACCTCCTAATACCAACACATCAGGGATAAGATTTCAACATACACGTTTTGGAGGGACACAAACATTCAGTCCATACATGGTGAGTATTGATTTTGGGGTTACAAGTAAATTTCAGTGAGTACAGAATCTAGAATGTGTGAATATGAGGATTCACTGTATATGAAAAAGTTTGGTGTACTCAAATGATAAAGGTAAGTTTGGTGACGTTTATGTCGGGAGGATGAGAAAACTGTGGAGAGAAAATTATTGAAGGTAAGTCAAATATTATAATAATATATTTTAAAATATTATAAAATTAAAAAATCTGAGAATTCCTCCAGAAAATAACATATTTTTAAGTATTTGTTAATGAAGAAAAAACTACAATGAATTCATGATTCCTTTAATCAGAATATCCATATTTTTTGGGGAAAAAAGTACAAATTCATGGAAAACACTTATTCAGTTCATAAGCAATACTGGGTGTGAGGGAGTGTGTGTGTTTTGAAGGACCCAGGACACAGCAGTCCATCATATGGGAACTACTGTCGTGCACCCAGGGGAGTAGCTCAGGCAGGGAGAACAGCATAGGTAAAGGCCCTGAAGAGGAAGCGAGCTTGGGTTATGGGAGAACCTGACAGGAGGTCATGGCTGGAACACAGTAAACAAAGGGGAAAGTAGAACAAGCAAAAGGCAGGGGTAGATTGAAGTTTAGATTTTATCTTAAATAAAATCCCTCAATAGGGGCATGATTAATAAATCAATATATTGGCAAATGAGCTTGAGAACCATGTATTATACTATTTATATTATTCACATATTATTTATATTAAATATACCATGTTTATGTACACAAACATACATACAACCACATAAAGTGTATATATAGCATACACACATACACACATTTTACAAATGCTTAGAAAAGCATTTCAAATTGCTACCAATGGCTCCTTGTTGAGGGGAATGGGCATATAAGAGAAAAGATACAGGGAACTTTCACATTTTAATCCACATAATTCTATATTTTTAAGTAAACAGAACATGAGAGCTGTGAATGGTTTTAAATTTTTCCATATTTAAAATTCTAAAAGATCATTCTGGCCTATAATAATTGCATTGAAGTAGGGCAAGAGCATGAGTAGGAAGCCCAGATAGACTACTGCTCAAGAAATAATGGTGATATGGACCAGGGCAGTGGCAAAAGGTATATACATTGAAGAGGGCATATGCAACCAAGATATATTTCAGAGGCTGAAATGACTAACCTTGATAATGGACAGAATATGGGAGATACCGGAGAAGGAAGAATAAAGACTTCAAGATTTCCAGCTTGAGCAAGTGGGTGGGCTGTATTATGACTCATTATGATGGAGAAGAGAATCACAGTCACATCTCTCTGACAAGTCTATTATGGTGCATTCTATCCATTCTCTGCCTCTACCACATGAAAGACAAAGGGACAAGATGAATTTGATGTGTATGAGAGAGACAGGGTCACATCTGGGAAACCAAAAAGCCCTGTATCAGTAATTACACTGATTGAATTCTGTGAGGTTCATTCCCCAAAGACCAGGTCAACCTTTCTACAGAGGACTCGAAATCCATTAGGGGAATTACCTCTCCCATTGACAAAGCAACAAATGAGCTGTTGCCAACCCTTTAAATATTGGAGAAAGAAAGGTCATTCCCCTGAGGGACCTTGCTTTCATGTCCTTGAATGGTCTGATCTCAGTTATATTTAAAGCACTGAATTAAGCAAAGGTTACCAGGGAAAACCAGGGCAAAGCTGGGGGAAGAGTAGACAAATGATGCCCAGGAATATAAATTGTTTCCTTTCTTCTGGGACAAAGGCTTCTCTCTCAGTCCCGCAGGCCCTCCAAAGACCTGGTTCCATATTTTCGTAAATATACATCTGATTGTTTTACTTCTTTGCTTTAAATTAGCTCACTACTGTCTTCAACAGTGGTATTCAAACTTCAATGTGCATCAGAATCACTAAGACATCTGTTCACAATGGAGAATACCAGGCCTCAGTCTCAACAGGGATTCAGATCAGTAGGTCTGGAGTACAGTCCAGGGATACAAACCTCAAATGACTCTACTACAGACTATTCAAGGACCCTATTTTGAGAAACAATGCACTAAATTGTTAATGATGATTGACAGGATGTAGCCTTGACTTAGTGACCTGCACTAGAGGAATAAATGTATCAGGAGTTTAGATATTCAGGTTGTGATTCCAGCTGTCTTTGAAATGTGAACTTATGGGGGAAAATAAACACTTTCCTGCTCTGGGCCATTTCCTCATCTATAACGTACAAGTGTTGACTTTATTATTGTTCCCACCATCACTTCAATTTCTGACATTTTAAGATCACAGGAAAAGACAGAGGATTGAAAATGTCAGGCAGAGCTTCTGGACTGTGCTAGACTGACTCTCCCAAAGGTGCCCAAACTGTGAAGACACATGAACATGCGCACAAAGTCTGGTGCTTTCTGGAGAGCTTTTCCCATCTGGACTAGCCATCTGGAGTCCAGTACACAGTGGAATTTGCTGGTCATAAGCAAATACAGTATCATGAAAAGCTACTTCCAAGGTACAGAATGAACAAATAATGGGGCCCTTCAGGAACTTGGCTTCTCTTCCCTGGTCACAGTATTCTACAAAAATGGAGGGAAATCATTCAAAGGATGACATGAGAAACAGAACCAAATTCCAAAGATTAATTCAGGTGATCAAGTAAATGGACTATCTTGCTCCTGGGAGCCCCAATTTACATCAGTCCAGCTGCTTGAAGTATTGCATATGTAGCTGGAAAACATTCCCATACAGAGACTTCCTTAGCCTCTCTAGGAGCTATTGGAAAGGCTTTTGTTTAATTTGTAAGAATTCAGTATACAGAATTAAAAGAATGACCCTGGGCTGATCCTTTTTTTTTCTTTTGTTTCCTTGTTGCCAGAAATCATCATTACATAGATATAATTTAGATAACGTAAAATGCATCCATCTTAACAGTTCAGATGGCTGAATTTTACAAATGTATTTACCATCTAACCACCACTTCAATCAAGACACAACATTTCCATGACCCCAAAGAGTTCCCCTGTGCCCTTTCCAGGTGAATCCTCACTCCCTATCCTGGTGCCAGGCAAACACTGATCTGCTGTTACTATAGATTAAATTTGTCTTTTCTAGAACATCACAAAAAATGGAATCATGCAGTATATATTCTTTTGTGCCTGGCTTTTTATGCACAACATGAAGTTGTAATTACTGACTCATATTGCTGCATGTATCAGTAGTTTAAAAAATTGCTGAGTAGTGTATGATGGAGGTACCATTATTTAGCCATTCACCTATTGAGGGATAATAAATAAGGTTGTTTCCAGCTTGGAGCCATTATGAACAAAATAGCTATGAACATTATTGTACAAGTCTTTTTTGTGAGCATAGGTTTTCATTTCTCCTGGTTAAATACCTAGGAGTGGAATGGATGGGTCACATAGTAAGTCTACGTTTAATTTTATAAAAAAACAAAAAAACAAAAAACTACCACATTGTTTTCTGAAATTGTTGTACTGTTTTTGCAGTCCTATCAACAACGTATGAGAATTCTAATTCCTTCACAAGACTTGGTCATTATGGCGACTGTAGGGGATGGGTAATGTTATCTCACTGTGTGGTTTTTTTTTTTGGTTTTTTTTTGTTTTTTTTTTTTTTTTTGAGACAGAGCCTCACTCTGTTGCCCAGGCTGGAATGCGGTGGCATGACCTCGGCTCACTGCAACCTCTGTCTCCCAGGTTCAAGCAATTCTCCAGCCTCAGCCTCCCAAGTAGCTGGGACTATAGGTACCTGCCACCATGCCCAGCTAATTTTTGTATTTTTAGTAGAAATGGAGTTTCACCATGTTGCCCAGGCTAGTCTCCAACTCCTGACCTCAAGTAATCCACCTGCCTTGGCCTCCCAAAGTGCTGGGATTACAGGTGTAAGCCACTGCACCCAGCCTCGCTGTGGTTTTAATTTCCATTTCTCTGATGATTAACGATGGTAAGCAACTTTCCATGTGTTTAGTTGTCATTTATCTTCTTTTGTGATAGGTCTGTTCAATTCTTTCACCATTTTAGAATTAATTTTGGGGGTATTATTGAGTTATAAGTCCTTTACATATTCTGGATGCAGTTGTCAGACAGACACAGACACATATACACACACATAATGGGAGCAAGGGAGGACATTTTCTCCCAGTCTGTGGCTTGCCTTTTCTTTTTTGGAATTTAAATTATTATTTTTAATTGACAAATAATAATTATACATATTCATTTTCTTAGTGGTATCTTGTGGTTTTTTGTTTTTTTTTTGAGACAGAGTCTTGCACTGTCACCCAGGCTGGAGTGCAATGGCGTGATCTGGGCTCACTGCAACCTCTGCCTCCCAAGTTCAAGCGATTCTCCCACTTCAGCCTCCTGAGCAGCTGGGATTACAGGCACCCACCATCAAGCCTGGCTAATGTTTGTATTTTTCTTTTTTAAGACGTGGTTTCACTGTGTTGGCCAGGCTGGTCTTGAACTCCTGACTTCAGGTGATCTGCCCACCTTGGCCTCTCAAAGTGTTGGGATTACAGGCGTGAGCCACCGTACCCAGTCTTTAGTGGTATCTTTTAAAGAACAAACGTTTCTGAGTTTGATGAGTCCAACATCAATTTTTAAAATGGTTCAGGCTTTTTTGAGTCATTTAGCCACATAACCAAAGCAAGGCTAAGCAAAGAACAAATCTGGAGGCATCACATTACCTGATTTCAAACTATACTATAAGGCTATAGTCATTAAACAGCATGGTACTGGTATAAAAACAGGCACATAGACCAATGGAACACAATAGAGAACCCAAAAATAAACCCAAATATTTAAAGCCAACTGATCTTCAACAAAGCGAACAAAAACAAAATGGGAAAAGGACACCCTATTCAACAAACAGTGCTGGGATAACTGGCAAGCCACATGTAGTAGAATGAAACTGGATCCTCGTCTCTCACCTTATATAAAAATCAACCCAAGATAGATCAAGGACTTAAATCTAAGACCTGAAACTATAAAAATTCTATTAAGATAACAGAAGAAAAACCCTTCTAGACATTGGCTTAGGAAAAGATTTCATGACCATGAACCCAAAAGCACAGGTAATAAAAACAAAGATAAATAGCTGGGACTTAATTAAACTAAAGAGCTTTTGCATGGCAAAAGGAACAGTCAGCAGAGTAAACAGGCCAGAGTGGGAGAAAATCTTCACAGTCTATACATCTGACAAAGGACTAATATCCACAATCTACAATGAACTCAAGCAAATTAGCAAGAAAAAAACAATCTCATCAAAAAGTGAGCTAAGGACACTAACAGACAATTCTCAAAAGAAGATATGCAAATGGCTAACAGACATATGAAAAAATGCTCAACGTCACTAATGATCAGGCAAATGCAAATCAAAACCACAAAGCGATACCACCTTACTCCTGCAAGAATGGCCATTAAAAAAAAAACAAAACAGATGTTGGCATCGATGCAGTGAAAAGGGAAAACTTCCACACAGCTGGTGGGAATGTAAACTAGTACAACCACTATGGAAAACAGTGTGAAGATTCCTTGAAGAACTAAAAGTAGAACTACCATTTGATCCAGCAATCCCACTACTGGGTATCTACCCAAAGGAAAAGAAGCCATTATACAAAAAAGATACTTGCACACACATGCTTATAGCAGCACAATTTGCAATCGCAAAAATGTGGAACCATCCCAAATACCTATCAATGAGTGGATAAAGAAACTGAGATATATATATGTATCTATACAGATAGATATATGATGGAATACTAGTCGACCATAAAAAGGAATGAATTAATGGCATTCACAGCAACGTGGATGGGATGGAGACTATTATTCTAAGTGAATTAACTCAGGAATAGAAAACCAAACATTGTATGTTCTCATTCATAAATGGGAGCTAAGCTATGAGGATGCAAAAGCAAAAGAAAGAATGATGCAATGAATTTTGGGGACTCGGGAAAGGGTGAGAGGAGGGTGATGGACAGAAGACCACAAATTGGGTTCAGTGTATACTGCTCGGGTGATGAGTGCACCAAAATCTCACAAATCACCACTAAAGAACTTACTCATGTAACCAAATACCACCTGTTCCCAAAAACCTGTGGAAATACAAAATTTTTTAAAAAATGGTTTAGGCTTTTTTTTGTGTCTTATCTAGGAAATCTTTGCCTACCCCAAGGTCAAAAAGATTTTTTGCTTTTCTTATAAATGTTTTATAATTTTAGCTTTGATATTTGTCTATGACCCATGTTTGTATAGAGTATGAGAAAAAGGTCATGGTTCAATTTTTTTACACATGGATATCCAGCTGTTCTAGCAGCATTTGTTGAAAAGAAATATCCTTTTCTTATCAAATTACCTTTGCATTTTTGTTAAAAACCAATTGATCAAATACATGTAGGCCTATTTCTAGACTTCCTATGTTTAAATAATATCATTTTTCATATATGTCAGTATCATGCTGTCTCAATTACTGCAGTTTTATAATAAGTCTTGAAATCAGGTAGTGTAAGTTCTCCAACTTTGTTCTTTTTCAAAGTTGTTTTGGTTATTCTTGGTCCTTTGCATTTCCATACGGATTTTAGAATCAGTTTGTCAATTTTTACCCAAAAAAGAGAAGTGCTGGGATTTTGACTGGGGTTTCACTGAATCTATTGATCAATTTAGGGATTATGTTTCCTTTACTGTTTGATTGAATTTACTGAAGAAGCCATCCAGGCCTGGAGGTTTCTTACCTCTCCCGTTGGCAAAGCAACAGATGAGCTGTTGCCAGTCCTCTGCATGTTGGAGAAACAAAAGTTATTCTCTTGAGGGACCTCATTCTCATGTCCTTGAAAGAACTGATCTCAGTTATATCCAAAGCACTGAATTAAGCAAAGATTTAGTGAAAATCAGGGCAAAGTTGGGGGAAGGGCAGACAAATGAGGCCCATGAATTATATTTAAATTATATATTTAAAATTATAATTAAATTATTTTAACAGGTATAGGGCTCTTCAGATTTTTTGCTTTCTTCTTGTGTCAGTTTTGATATGTGTGTCTTTTATAGAATTTCATTTATCAAATTTATTGAAGTAAAGTTGTTCATAACATTCTCCTATTATGCTTTTATTTTTTAATGAGATATAATTTATATTCCATAATATTCACCCCTTTCAAGTATACAATTTAGGGTTTTTTGTATATTCACAAGATTATGCAAACATCACCATTATCTAATTCCAGAACATTTGCATCACCCCAAAAAGCAATCCCATACCCATTAGTCAATCTCCATCTTCCCCTTCTTCCATCCCCTGGCAATTACTAATCTCCTATTAACCTTTTAATGGTATAGGATCTGTAGTGATAGGCTGACTCATTTTTGGTGTACTCGATTTCGCCAAGGGCCAGGCTCCCAAGGCAAGAATCTAGAGTAGAAGTCACATTACAATCTTAGACTCTGGAGAGACAAAGAAGAAATATTTTTCCTGAAGTTTCTTAACCAGGCTCCTTATTGCCTAGCAGTGCTTTTCAACCAGTGATGAAGTGCCAAGTTATTAAAAGTTTTTAATTCCTTTAGCCCTCAGAGAAACTGTAGTCCCTGGGCCAGTTACCCCTTGCCAATAGCTACCTGCAGCCTGACATTAAAGTATTGTTTTCTTTGTATAATGTAATATGAAAAAGTTTGAAAAGCACTGTCCTACAGTGCCAAGTCTAAACTACTCAGGATAGCATTCAAGGGCCTTCCTTCATTTGGTTCCAAACTGCTACCTGAAATTTTCAACCTTCCCTCCCCTCCATGCCTATTTCTCAGCCTCAAAACATCTGACATTCCAGGAAAAGCAAACTGCTTTAATGTGATATTCCCTGTGAAAATCCTATTAATCCTTCAAGATTCCACTTGAATGCCCAAAAGCCTTCCTTACTCTCTCTGGGAGGACAGGCACAGTGCCTCTCCTTCCCTTCTAGAGATAGCACGGGAACTGAGCTGAGCTGAATGCCAACTGAGGACTCAGTACTGATGAGACCTCAGAATATAAATCCCTTTTCATACTTTCAAAATTGCCTTATGAGTAGGGAAAGAAAGGGATTATCATAATCATTTTACAGATCAAGGAGCAGTGGTTGAGAAAATGGTAATATCTTACTAAACTCATACATGGAAGTCTGTGGCAGAGCTGGGACAAAAACTCTAGTCTTTTTTTATTTTTTTATAGATAGGACCCAAAGCCTTTTATTCTAAAATGAGTCTTGTCTCTGAAACTGCAAAAATTGCCCAGCAGTGTTCTACACAATTTAGATTTACTTTAAGGTATAAAACTAATACAGAATGGAGATCAGGGCTTTAGACAGGAATGAATCCTGAATGTTTAGGCAGGGCAAGAGAGAGCTCCACAGAGGGGAGGTGGCACAGGGAGGCTCCAGGTGCCTTGCAGCCAGCCTTCTTTGTAACTTTATAATCTGGTGTGGCCACTTAGCAGGTTCAGAGTTGCCTCTTTGTGTGGAGGTAAGTGATGAGCACTTCTGGATATAAAGCACCAGGACCTTTTCATCTTAAGAAGTGAAAAATCCCTGGTCTTTTTATTTCTGGCACTTTTCTTTGCCTGTGCCTGAGTGGAAAATGCAGCTAAATAAATATTAGAGTTGAAACATAGTTTTTAGATAATTTTTCATCTTGAGACATCCTGACCCTGAGGAATAGGGCTCTCTGGAGTCCGGGATGCATTCCCAAGGTCTCAGTTTCTCCCAAGACCTCAGAGCAAAAGTTTGCAGATTCCAACTGAGGAGCTATGGCTTCCTAGAGGAAAAGGCAAGCATTGCCCATGCTCAACCCTAGTGAAATTCTAAATAAAATTCTAAGACTGAAACAAACCATTTCTGTCCTTAATCCTTCTCTGAGCAAAAATATTTTTTACACTGTAGCAGTCAAAAATACAGAATCAAGCCCAGCAGTTTAACGTCTAGAATGCAAACCCCTATATTAAAACATCTATACCCATTTACCAAGCCTGCCCTATACCTAGAAATTTAATACTTTATCTTTGTTAGAACCTTCAACTTTACCCCAAATGGACATGAGCTTTCAATAAACTAGAATATAACCTGATTTACTAATATAAATCCATCCCAACCTAATCTAGAACCTATATACTTTTTTATTTTTATTTATTCATTTTTTTTGAGATGGAGTCTCACTCTGTCAGCCAGGCTGGAGTGCAGTGGTGCGCCCTTGGCTCACTGCAACCTCCGCCTCCCAGGTTCAAGCAATTCTCCTGCCTCAGCCTCCCAAGTAGCTGGGACTACAGGCACACGCCGCCACGCCCGGCTAATTTTTTATATTCTTAGTAGAGACAGGATTTCACCATGTTGCCCAGGCTGGTCGTGAACTCCTGAGCTCAGGCAATCTGCCCACCTTGGCCTCCCAAAGTGCTGGGATTACAGGCGGTGAGCACTGCGCCCGGCCCCTATATACTTTCTTAAGCTATCAATATAGTCATTCAGATCATAAGTTTTCTCTGAAAGGATTATAAGTATAGATTTCATTTGGAAGCAATCCTTGGTTTATAAAGCTACAAGCTTCATCATGAATGTTATTTATGTTATTTCAGGTACACAAGTGTTTGCAAGCGTCTTGAAGGCAGAGAGTGAAAGGATGTACAGACAGTGGAAAATAAACAGGATTTAGATTCTGAAGATACAGGTTAAAATTCCAGCCTTTACTTATTAGCTGCATGACCCTAATGAGTCACTTAACTTCTGCTGTGTGCCTTAGTTTCCTTGTTCGTAAAATAGATCACATTCCATCCATCTCACATAGTCACAGAAAGAGATAAAGTAAGGTATATATGTTTTACAAAATGTGTTATGTATAAATATCAACTTTTATCTTCTAATTGTTTTGAACATGTATCTCTCACCAGGCCTGTATTTGGGCATAATTCAATGGAACTGATCACAGCAAGTAATTAAAAATACTTCCTAATATTTATGTAGGAGACAGTATTAATGGTCAATAAAACCAAGCATTCTAAGAAAAGTTAGATACAGCACCCTTATGTGAACTCATAACCTTGAAAAAATTAACTTTCCAACTCAGTCACTAAGAGTAGCCCATGACAGCAACAGTGCTTATGAACACTACAACCTCTACAACCTCATGTGCACCTAGAGTCCTAGAAGTGGGTCCTTTGCATTATTCTCTACCAAAGGAATCAAAACTCTCTGGAAAGGGGTTGATTCTATGTTGTGAAGTTAAAAAAAAATTTAAGGTAAGCCTGAAAATTATTTTTGTTCAATAATAAAAGCAAGGTTGCTTTAAAATATATCACAGAATTGTGTATGAAATTTGTGATGGGGAAAATAAATAAAGGAAAAAATAAATCACAGAAAAAAAAATGTTAAGGACTTGGCCAGGCATGATGGCTCACACCTGTAATCCCAGCACTTTGGGAGGCCAAGATAGGAGGATCTCTTGAGCCCAGGAGTTTGAGACCAGCATGGGAAAGATGGTGAGATCCCATCTCTACAAAAAATGTTAGAGAGAGAGAGAGAGAGAGAGAGAGAGAGATGTTGAGTCAAAAGATACGATTTAAAGGGGCTCCCAATGTCCAAGTTGTAACATTTTAAGTTTATAACTAATTGAATCTGCAAACATAGGAGTTCATGATATTCAATGGAATAAAGTGTATGAGTTATTTTTTAATACAAAAGAAGTGAGAATATAACAGTGTAATGGTTAATTTTAGGTGCCAACTTGACTGGGTTAAGTGATACCCAGATAGCTGGTAAAGCATTATTTCTGGGTGTGTCTTTGAGGGTGTTTCTGGGAGAGACTGGCATTTTAATCAGTGGACTGAGTAAGGAAGATCCATTCTCACCCAGTGTGGGTGAGCACCATCCAATTTGTTGAGAGCCTGGAAGAACAAAAAGGCAGAGGGAAAACATTTTCTTTTCTGAAGCTGAGACACCCATGTTTCTCTGCCCTTGGACATTATTGGAACTCCAAATCCTTGGGCCTTCGGACATCGGAACTCCAGATGCTTGGGCCTATAACACTTACAATACAAGACATATTATAAGTGTTAAAACAGGGAGAGAGAGTATAAATAATTATGAAAATGAGTCTATTCTACTTTGAGGAGGGAGTCAAAAATACACTAGGTTGAAAGAGTAGAAAGACAGTCTAGATTTTAAGCACAGGACGCATAGAAAGAGAGGGCATACGGGAGGCTGAGGGTGCAGTAAGCCGTGACTGCAACACTGCACTCCAGGCTGGGTGACAGAGCAAGATCCCTACTCAAAGAAAGACAGGGCATCTTTGATGTGATTATGGGAAAGGATGTGGGGAGAGAGGTCACTGCAAATGAAGATGGAGAGGCAGGTTACAAGACAGGATCCTGGAGGACCTTGAATGCTGCCATTATCAAGGAGTTTGAACTTAGCATCTATGTGATTGGAAGAAACAGGATCAGATCAAGATTTTAAGAAAACACAACCAAGCTATATACACAACATGAGTAAATTTTACAAACACAAAGTTGAGAGAAGGAAGCGAGTATAAAAATGTGATTTCAAAAGTTCAAAAATAAACAGAACTAACAATATTTCTTGAGAATACACATACTTATGGTAAAACTGCAAACAAAAGCATGGGCATGACTACCACAGAAGTCATGATACTTGGAAGAAGGGATGGAGTGGAATAAGAAGAATATGACTGGAAAGAGACATTCAGGGATTTCTGGGATGCTGGCAATTTTTTGACCTGGGTGGTAATTACATGGGTGTTTCCTTTATAGTACAGTATATATTATATATAATTTTTGTGTGTGTATTCCATTTCACAATAAAAAGTTGAAGACATAGTTGGAAACATCCTGGAAAGATGCTGAGGGTAGGAGAAGTCTAGAGACAGGAAGAGAAATTAACAGCTAGTCACGACAGTACAGGCAAGGGAGAGCCTGAGTAATGTCACTGGGAGTGGGGACAGAAAAAAAGGTATTTGAGAATTACTTAGGAGTTAGGTCTTAGTGACCCACTAGAAATGAAAACTGCGGGAGAGAGAAGAGTCAAAAGTAACTGCCAGATAAAAGTTTCAAGCTTGGGAGATCAGATGACAGGTAGGGAAATATTAAGAGTAGCAGACTCAAGCAATTAAAAAAATTGAGATATGATTCACATGCAATACAATCTACCCTTTACAGTGTACAATTCAGTAGCTTTTAGTATACTTGCAAGGTTGTACAACCATCACCACTATTTAATTCCAGAATATTTTCATCACCCAAAAAGAAATTCCATACTAACTAACAGCCTTTCCCCAGTCCCTGTCCCCCTCCCCAGCCTTCATGTAATTTTAAGAGAATAAAATCTTGTGGTTAAACCCTGCCCCCTGCCTTTTTTTTTTTTTTTTTTAAATTGAGACAGGGTCTCAGTCTGTCGCTCAGGCTGGAGTACAGTGGCATGATCACAGCTCACTGCAACCTCAACCTCCCCAGGGTTGAGGGGATCCTCCCACCTCAGCCCCCTGAGTAGCTGGGACTACAGGCACATGCCACCATGCCTGGCTAATATTTTTTTAAAAAACCTGTCTTGACAGAGCAACAATGATATTCAACTGGTCTCAGCAGTTCAATCCCCAAGATCTTAATTTGCTTCTCTATTTCACAAAGTGGAGAGCTCTGGGGAAACAGAAAAGCTGCTTTTCTCAGGATATAGAGAGTAACATCCTGTTTCCTAGTTCTACCTTGGATAGGGACTCAAGTCAACAGAGAGAGATCAAGGGTGGCAGAGAGAGGTGTCTGGTTATAATGGCTTTCAATCAGTCCCAGTACGGTTCACTTTGGGGAGGGTTAGAAATGTGTGTGTGTGTGTGTGTGTGTGTGTGTGTGTGTGTGTGTGTGTGCGCGCGCGCCTGTGTGTGTGGTGGTGGCAGTGGTGGGGTAAGTTGTCACAATGATTGGAAAGCCTTACAGGCATTAGAGGGCAGAGGACAGGTATATTAACCTCAAACCATGCATAGGATAAAATCTCGCATAACAAAGAATTGTCCCACCTACAATTTCAATACACGCCTCTGAGAAATGTGGGGGTGGAGGGAGTGAGGGGTTGGGCAGAATTCCTATTATTTCTGCAAGTACAAAAACCAAAATGAGCCGGGTGCGGTGGCTCACGCCTGTAATCCCAGCACTTTGGGAGGCCAAGGCGGTTGGATAACGAGGTCAGGAGATCAAGACCATCCTGGCTAACACGGTGAAACCCCGTCTCTACTAAAAATACAAAAAAAAAAAAAAAAATTAGCCGGGCACGGTGGTGGGCGCCTGTAGTCCCAGCTACTCGGGAGGCTGAGGCAGGAGAATGGCGTGAACCTGGGAGGCGGAGCTTGCAGTGAGCCAAGATCGTGCCACTTGCACTCCAGCCTGGGCGACAGAGCAAGACTCTGTCTCAAAAAAAAAAAAAAAAAGAAAAAAAAATCAAAATGAAAGTTATGATCTGTAAGCGGGAACCAGGCCCAGGCCCAAGAATGTGTGGTTAAAAATAGCTTAGAGAACAGAAGATTTAAATGAGCTCACAGTGAAAAGGGTTATTAATGGAAACTCAGATATTAATAGTGATGAATCTCAGTTCACCAAGGCGAACCGCAGCCCAGGCCTGGTCGTGTTCCAGCGCCACTGTCCTTCAGTCTCTGATGTGTGTTACAGCTGCAGCTTCAGGTGTGGGAAAGAGCAAAGTTCATTGCCACAAACCCTGAGCCTCGTATCACCCATCAGAAAGAGTACCCTTGTGGGTATGTCCTACAGTTCATTCTAAAAAAATAAGAAGACCCATTAGGGAGCTCTCTACACAGGGGAAAAAAGTTTGATTTGTCTCCTTACTAAAGGTTTTTTCTTTCACTACAATGATTTTGTATGAAATTCTGCCACTGAAGAACCCTGTTAAAATTAGCAATTTACTTTCAAACATTTATTATGTGTGAAGCTCTGGGAAGCAGAGGCAACAAGATGGGACAGTTCTCAGATCAAAAGGGCTTCTGTTCTAGTGGGGAAGCTAAAATATGGGCACAACTTCATAAAATATACATCTGCCTATATAATGTACTGAGGTAAAAATAATTTACTAAATGAAAGTAAGTTTTTTCTTCCCCCCATATTTACTGAACACTTATTAGGTACATTTTATATACATGAAAGTAAGTTTTGGGGTCAGCTTCATTACTTAAGAGCTGCATAAAAATGAGCTCTTTCATATACCTAAGCCTCAGTTTCAATTATAAAATGAAGATGATAATCCTAACCAGGTTGTTACAAGAATCAAGTAAGGTAATATAAAGGTTGTTTTTTTTTCTTTCCCTAAAGAATATTATATATATAAACTTTCCTATAAAGTTCTATTACAGAAAAGGAAGAATTTTTATTTGATATAAGAACAGTTCAACAAAGGATAGAGCATTTGAACTGGGCTTCAAACATACGGTTAGGATAGTAAATGCATTACACCAAAAGTAATAAATTATTCAATAAGTTTTCACTGAGCCACTATAACATAACAACAAAAGCCTCTGCGTGCCAGGCTGTGGGCCAGGCAGTGGTGTTGGTACTGCTTATTATATTGCTTTTAAATTGCCTCCATGCATTTGTTTATTCATTAATTCTTTCCATAAATACATAAGATACAATTAGTTTACCAGAGTAGCAAGACACCTAGAAAGCCTGAGACAACTGGACTTGGAGCGAGGCGGTAGTTAGGTATGAGGCTGTGGGCAAGAAGAGGTGCCTACAGAAGCTCAATCCCACCAGGTCATACAGAGGCCAGAGCCCTGAGGCCCTGAGATGGGGTGAGAGAAACAGGTAAGAGGCAGAGCAGAGTTCTACCGACAATTTTACCTAACAAACAATGCCGTCCAGGGCTGGCTGTAGTGATAGACATCAGCTTCATGCCTTGCTGCAAATTACGAAGAATACCAACCTTCCTCCCATGTCTAGGCTTGAAAACAGCCCTTTTTCTAGGTCTGTGTCACAGGGCAGCACATTACATAAGATGCCCTGAACTGAGGGCACAACCAACTGAATGTTCCTGGTGTTTACTGTAAACTCTGAGCCAGCATGACCTGTGGAGTTTAAAAAAAAAAAAAAAAGGTAATTTCCCTACAGTTCTTCAATAAGAAAGTAAGAGGAAAACAAGAGGGAGATTCTGGGGTTTCTCCAAGCTGTGTGGTCTTTACCACCACCACCACCACCACCACCACAACAAAAACAAAATACAGTTACTTTGGGCCAGGCACTCTCCTAAGCACTTTACATATAAGAGTTCATTCCATCCTTACAACATCCTGTGAGTTGTTACTATTATTATCCCATTTTATTTTATTTATTTTTTGAGACGGAGTCTCGCTCTGTCGCCCAGGCTGGAGTGCAGTGGCACGATCTCAGCTCAGTGCAACCTCCACCTCGCTGTTTCAAGCAATTCCCCTGCCTCAGCCTCCCGAGTAGCTGGGATTACAGGTGCCCACCACCATGCCCCGCTAATTTTTTTTGTAGTTTTAGTAGAGACAGGGTTTCACCATGTTGGCCAGACTGGTCATGAACTCCTGACCTCAGGCGATCCAACTGCCTCAGCCTCCCAAAGTGCTGGAATTACAGGCGTGAGCCACTGCGCCTGGCCTATTATCCAATTTTAAAGATGAAGAAACTGGGAGGGTGAAGTGGTTAAGTAACTTAATTGTAGATATAAAGTTATAAATCGACAAAGCAAGGACTTATGACTCTGTCCTCTGGGCTCTTTTTGCTCACCAAGACCTGCCCCACGTGTCTCAGAAAAGTACTGAAACTTCTCAGATCTAGTGTCCTCAACTCCCATCAAGGGTGGCAGAAACGGGAACTAAAAAATATGTGTTTGTGTGTGTGTGTAATATAAAACATGATATACTGTTTCATGTTAATTCTTAGAGAATCTCTGGGTGGTGATCTATCAGTCCTTGGTCTGCTATTTATTGTGTGATCACCACATCTCAGGCAAGTTCCTTGGGCTAAGATTCATGAAGAAGGTGTCACTTGCTCTGTTCATAAGGTTGTCACGAGAATCTGATGTGTATAAGCCTTAGTGTATTCTTTGGGATCACTCTAAAGCTTTTTTTTTCCCAGCACTTTTTTTTTCAGTTCTTCACATGGTTTGGATCAATGCAGCTGCCAGATAAACAGCGTTACCTACCACAATAAAGCAAAGACTGAATCCGAATCCTAGACTGTTGAGAATATTAATGGCCACTCCTGTTTTACATGTCAAGCACCTCATATGATGCCTGACTCAGGGTTCAATGAATGGTTCCTTTACTTCCCCTCCTGGCTTTGTGCTTTTAAGGGTGAACTGCAAGGTGCTTGATGCTCCCAAATCCTGAGGCTAAGGAATAATCCAGCTAGGAACAGGACATAGAACTCTGGTATTGCCCCACCTCAGGATCACCAGGGATCATGTGCAAGACCCACAGCCTCCCTATGATTCAGTTTCTCCACCCCTCCAATAGGCTGATTCATTTGTTCAGGGTACACCATGGAGTCCAGCCAAATGCAAATAAACTGTCTATGGGGCATGTGCCAAGCTTTTCTGGGAGCAGGCTCATTACTGCCATAGTCACTACAACAAATAACAACAAAAGCCTCTAGGTGCAAATTACCACATATAATAAACTTAATTTAAGAAACACTGAAGAGACCCTTACTTGCATTTTAATTTACATAGCACCATTTATCACACAAGTGCCCTGGGGCCTCTACAAATTGAAAATAAGGTATCAGTACAGATTAGCTTCTACTATGCCTCAGTGATCCTACCAACTTAAATCCACCTACCAAAAAAATGTGAAGAGAGCACATGAAAGACTACAGAAAGAGTAATGGAAAAGAAGACACAGTCTGAAAAACATGGCAGAATTCTAAGTTCTAGTTCTAGCTGGGTTATTCAGCTAGTTAGCCTCTGGATGTGGGAGTGTCAAGTCCTGTGCAATTCACCCATAAAAGCACAAGGCCAGGAGGGGAAGTAAAGGAACCATTCACTGAGCCCTGAGTCAGGCAGGCATCACATGAGGTGCTTGACATAGGGCTCGCATGTAAAACAGGAGTGGCCATTAATATTTCCAAAAGTCCAGGGAGAAACCGTTGTGATGGTACTTGCAAGCCTCTTTTCCAAAGTAATACACTGAAAGTGTTATAACAGTGACAAAAAACACCATATAGACAGACAGACAATAGCAGCTTGCACTGCGTCCCATATGACATGCCAAAATTCTTCACTCACATGGTGTAATTTTTAATACAACCACTTAGGAAGTAGACGCTATTATCCTCATTTTGTAGATGAACAAACTGAGTAGCTTTAAGTGGTTAAGCATCTTGCCTGAAGTCAGTCCCCTAGGTTTAAGTCCCACCTTGATCTTCTGCTAGTTATGTGATTTCAGCCAAACTCCAACTTTGCTGTGCTTTAGTATCTTAATATAATGGAGATAAAACAAGTCTTCCCTGTCATTCACTGAAGGTTACAAGTATAACATGTTATACAGAATATTAAAGTGTCAAGTGTATATAGAAGTACCTTGCTTTCTCCCAGCTAGATTACAATCACTGGTGGACAGAGACCAGGTCACATGCTTACTTTAAATCCCGGAAGGTAAGACTATATTGCATATGTGGAATGGTTATGCAAAGGAACAAAAACTGTCGGTTTAGTCATCTTTTTGACACATTTACAGAACAGCCACCTCTGTGCCACAATGCTACTGGGACGCAGAGGTGAAGAGGTGCCACCACCGTCAAGAGGCCTTGGAGAAAGACCATGGCACATTAAAGGTAAAGTGAATAAAATGAACGTGGTCTGTAAAGGCAGGGCTTGCTATGGGAGCAGTGAGAACTAACATGACTCCATTACAGCTTCACAGTGGCAGCGAGGGAGACAGCAGATAAAGCTCAGAAAACAGGCTGGACACAGACTGTAGAAAAGCTTTCAAAGAGTTTCAGAAGAGACAGCAAACTGAAGGAGCTAATTGAGAGAGTAAGAGAAGGAAGGAGAGTAAAAGGGCAGGGGGGAGGAGGTCTCTGAGTGAATTATAAACACACTTCAAAGTTCTGCTCACGGCTGGCTGTCTATCCCAATCTTATTTTATTTTGTTTTGCTTTTCCTCTCAGTCTATTCCCCTCTTCTTCTCGCATTATTTCAAAATGGCTTTCCCCCCTTTTTAATGTCTTTGAACTGCCAAGGATAGCAAGAAGCCTGCTTTTAGGGGATCCTCAGGAATATTTCACCTTCTGTTTTCTCATCTATAAGGTAATTATAACACATCCTAGGACTATCACACAAATACAAAAGAAATAACAGAACTTTTCAGCAAATGGTGCTGGGAAAACTGGATATCCACATGTAAAAAAACAGCTGGACCCTTATACCATATACAAAAATTAACTCAAAATGGACCAAAGACCTAAATATAAGAATGAAAATGATAAACCTCTCAGAAGAAAACATAGAAAAAATGTTTCATGACAATGGATTTGACAATGTTTTCTTGGATGTGACACCAAAGGTATAGGTAGCAAAACAAAAAATAGATAAATTGGACATCAAAATTAAAACTTTAGTGAATCAAAGGACACAATCAACCAAGTGAAAAGACAATCCACTGAATGGAAGAAAATATTTGCAAATCATATATCTGGTAAAGGATTTGTGATGGTTAATATTAGGTGTCAACTTGATTGGATTGAAGGATGCCTAGATGGCTGGCGAAGTACTGTTTCTGGGTTTATCTGTGAAGGTGCTGCCAGAGGAGGTTGACATTTGAGTCAGTGTACTGAGAAAGGAAGAGTCACCCTTAATATGGTTGGGCACCATCCTACTGCCTGTCAGCATGGCCAGAAGAAAGCAAGCGGAAGAAGGTGGAATAAGCTTGCTTGCTGAGGCTTCTGGCTTCCTTCTCCCCACTCCCCCTCCCCCTGCCATATTGGATGCTTCCTCCCGCTCCTCCTGCCCTTGGACATCAGACTTCAGGTTCTTTGGCCTGACACTGGGACTTGCACGGGGGGCCAGGGGGTGGGTGTCCTGCCTTTGGGACTGACTTAAAGGCTGCACTGTTGTTTTCCCTGGTTTTGAGGCTTTCAGACCCAAACTGAGCCACTACCGGCTTCTCTCTTCCCCAGCTTCCAGATGGCCTATTGTGGGACTTTGCATTATAACTGTGTGAGCCAATTCTTTACTTTCATAATATACATATTATGAAATATGTATAAACTCCCTTTCATATATACATATTATTAGTTCTGTCCCTCTGGAGAACACTGACTAGTACAGGATTATAAGGGGTTAATAACTAGAATATATAAAGAACTACAATAACAACAAAAACAAACAACTTAACTAAAAATTGACAAAGGACTTGAATAGACATCTCTCCAAAGAAGGGATACAAAATGACCAAGAAGCACATGAAAAGATGCTCATGTCACTAATCATTGGGGAAATGCAAATCAAAACAATGAAATACTACCTTGCACCTATTAATATGGCTACTTTAAAAAATAGAAATAAGTGTTGGTGAGAATATGGAGAAACTGGAACCCTTGTGCAAT
Source organism: Homo sapiens (assembly GCF_000001405.40). Taxonomy (NCBI): domain Eukaryota; kingdom Metazoa; phylum Chordata; class Mammalia; order Primates; family Hominidae; genus Homo; species Homo sapiens. The sequence goes on from NC_000011.10 coordinate 78,316,679, forward strand.
GTTGGTGGGGATATAAAATAGTGCAGCTGCTATAGAAGAGAGTAAGGCAATTCCTCAAAAAATTGAAAATAGAATTACCATATGATCCAGTAATTCTACTTTTGGATACAGACCCCAAAAAACTGAAAGCAGGAACACAAACGGAATATTTTTACACCTATGTTCATTGCAGCATTAGTCAGAAGAGCCAAAAGGTGGAAGCTACCCACATGTCACTGGTGGATGAATGGAGATATAAAACACAGTACATGCATACAATGGAATACTATTCAGCCTTAAAAAGGAAGGAAATTCTGACACATGCTACAGCAGGGATGAACCTTAAGGGCATTAAGCTAAGTGAAATAAGCAGTTAGAAAATACCATGTGATTCCACTTATATGACAAAGTTACATGGCAAGCCTAGAGTAGCCAGATTCAGAGAGACAAAAAATACAACAGTGGTTATTAGGCCACCGGAGGAATAGGGCATCAATGTCTAATGGGTATAGTTTCAGTTTGGGAAGCTGAAAGGAGTTTTGGAGATGGATGGTGGTAATGGCTGCACAGCAATATGAATGCATTTAATGTCACTGAACTATACACTTAAAAGTGATTACGATGGGCCGGGCACAGTGGCTCACGCCTGTAATCCCAGCACTTTGGGAGCCAAGGTGGACAGATCGTAAGTTAAGAGATTGAGACCATTCTGGCCAACATGGTGATACCCCATCTCTACTAAAAATACAAAAATTAGCTGGGTGTGGTGGCGGGCAGCTGTAGTCCCAGCCACTCGGGAGGCTGAATCGGGATAATCGCTTGAACCTGGGAGGCGGAGGTTGCAGTGAGCTGAGATGGCGCCACTGCACTCCAGCCTGGCAACAGTGCGAGACTCCGTCTCAAAAAAAAAAAAAAAAAAAAAAAGATGATTATGATGGTAAACTTTATGTTATGTGTATTTTATCACAATCAAAAGAAGAAATAATTTTTTTAAAAAGTAACATATATTAAGCATTCAGCAAAGAACTTGGCAACGAATCTTTGCTCCTTCCTTTCCTCCTGATGCAATCTTTTGTTTCAAGGTTCTTTTTAAGTTACCTAAGGAGATCAGCCCTAAACAGCCCTGCCATTATATCTGGCTGATCATCCCAGGGTGAATTCTTTTCTTTTCTGGGCTTTGGTTTTGTCAACCATTAAAAAACAAGAAAAAGAAGAAGAAGATTAAACTACATTACATTTCCTTTTAACTCTAAAACTAAGAACACATTGAAGGTAAAAGAACTTACAAACAACCTGGCAGGAAGGAAGAAAAAGATATTCTGGAGCATTTATTATGTGTCAAATATTGTACTAAGGGCTGGGGATCCACAAATATGAATATACAAAAGGAAGATAATTCCTGATTTAGGGGAAAATAATAATAGAAATCACAATCTTGTATATAGTTGCTACTAGAGGGTTACAGGAACAGAACTGATTACCTACCAGGGAAAATCCATCAGAGAGTTGATAATTGAGGGAGACTTCTTTTTGAGGAGGGAGATGAGGGATCAGGAGTGAATCTGGTGGAACAGAGGCAGAAGGGCTATCAGGAGGAGGGACCAGCACAAGCACCTTACAGAGTGCATGCACTAGTCAGGGTCCTGGAACAGTCCAGAGAAGCGGTGGGAGCCAGTCAGGAAAGACATTTTGGGATCTGATTGTTAAATGCCAAAAAAAAAAAAAAAAAGCTGTGAAAAGGAGCTTGACTTTCATCCTGAAGGCAGTGGCGGACCACTGACAGTTTTAACTGGAGAGGGATAGGATCCAGTGTGCATAGTAGAAATATCACTTTGGCAACAGCATAGATGAGGATAGATTAAGGGAAACAGGAAGCCCAGACAAAACAGGATAAGGGCCTGAACAACGGCAGTGGCAGTAGGGAAGGAGAGGAAAGAAAGATCCCTTTGCCTCAAGCAGCTCCCACAGATAAAGGCAGGAATGGTACGCAAACTCCAGAAGGTTGGCTCTTGCACACCAGGGACCTTGAACCACATTCTTATTTCTAAACGGTTTCTGACGAATTCTGAATGTCCCCAGGTCCAGGGCAATCACTTAAAGGGAGGAAACTGGCATAAAAGTTAATCTGTTTCAGCTGCTATGTTATCCACCACCCCTTCTCACCAGAAATAATCGGAGGCAGCACTGGAAAAAGGAGCATCTGGATGCAGTAAAGACCCATCCCTTCCCGCACTGGAGCTGTTGGCTCATCCCTGGAAATCACAACAATCAAGAATGGAGAATCGTTCTTTTCATCCCTTCTCACAGCATTATCCCAGCAACCTCATCCCCTAACAATGGTGTGGTCTGTGTTATGTTTTCCCTCCATCACTGCCCCTCCCTGCTGCTGCACAACAGAGGTGCTGTGCCCCAGAGGCCGCTGAGGTTGCAGGCCTCTCAGCCTCTGAAACAAGGCTGTGAGCGTTTGGATGCACCCTCAGAAGGAGCTGCATAAATAATCAGATGAAAAACACCAAACCTTAACTAAAAATGAATTTTTTTTCCTCCATTTTTTCCTCCATTAAACCAGCTAAAAGATTTTCATGACAATTCCCTGTAGTGTGATAAAACAGACACCCTTGCATGTTGCTCTGAACTATTTGTTAGTATTATGTGTTTGGAAAATAATCTGGCAGTATTTCAAATGCCTTAAAAATGTTCATCCCTTTGTGCCCAATAATTCTCATTTCTGGCATCTGACTTTAAGGTAATAATTCAAAGGAAAGAAAAAGATGTATGTATGAAGATATATATTGCAGTACTAGTTGGGGAAAAAAGTGGTAGAGTTTCTGTTCTTTACAGTTTTCTCCCATGTTTTCCTCTCTAACTTACCCTTAGGCTTGGTAACATTCATCTCTATGGCTCTTGATAGAACCAGACATAATGACAGAAACTGGAATTTCTCACCCATGTTCACAACCTAAACAAGATCTGCTATAAAAATAATTTACTATATGACTAATCATACTTAGCAGAGAGCCACATTTGAGGCCTTTTCATTTTTATGAGATATAAAATTATTAAAGTGCACTTAAAATAAAAAATTAACTTACACATTTATTATTCTACTGTAAACCAGGCACTGTGCCACGGGCTGAGGATACAGCAGTAAACAAAACAGACATGGTCCATGATCTCAGAGCTGAGTATCTGGCAGAGATATAAAGAAACAGACTTTTTTTTTTTTTTGAGACCGAGTCTTGCTCTGTCACCCAGGGTGGAGTGCTGGAGTGCACCGGTGTGATCTCGGCTCACTGCAACCTCTGCCTCCTGGGTTCAAGCAATTCTCCTGCCTCAGCCTCCTGAGTAGCTGGGATTACAGGTACACACCACCACACTGGCTAACTTTTGCATTTTTGTGGAGATGGGGTTTCGCCATGTTGGCCAGGCTGGTCTGGAACTCCTGGCCTCGATCTGCCCCTGCTTGGCCTCTCAAAGTGCGGGGATTACAGGCATGAGCCACTGCGCCCAGGTGAGAAGAAACAGATAATTTTGAAAAACAATTTTATTTTCTTTTTTTCTAGAGACAGGGGTCTCACTATGTTTCCCAGGCAGGATTTGAGCTCTTTGGCTCAAGCAATCTTCTTGCCTCAGCCTCCCAGTAGGTGGGACTACAGGGATGTACCATCATGCCCAGCTAAGAAACAGGTAATTATGATAAAGCATGATCAATATTATGATCAAGGAAAATATGGTGCACCATGAGAATTAATAGCAAGGAAGAGGGTCTTATCCTTGTTCAATGTGGGAAGAAGATAAGGAATTTGGACATCATCCTAAGGACAACAGAAAAGAGGAGTGCTATGGCTGGATTTATGTTCTAGAAAGATCACTCTGGCTGCTGTGTGAAAAGCTTGAGAAGAGCAAGCCTAGCATCAGGTATACTAACTGGGAGATTTTTTTCTTTTTTGAGACAAGGTCTCACTCTGTTGCCCAGGCTGAAGTGCAGTGGTGCTATGACAGCTCACTGCAGCCTCCCAAGTAGCTATGATTACAGGTGTGCATGACCACACCTGGATAATTTTTGCCTTTTTTTTTTTTTTTTTTTTTGGTAGAGATGGAGTTTTGTCATGTTGCCCAGGCTGATCTATCTCAAACTCCTGGGCTCAAGTGATCCACCTGCCATGGCCTCCCAAAGTGCTGGGGTTACAGGCATGAGCCACTGTGCCCAGTCTCAACTGGGAGATATTATAGTCCCAGTAAGAAATTATGGCTTAAACTGTGGTGGGCAATGGAGAGAGAGAGAAGGTAATGCAAAAGAGATATTTAACTGATCAATTTCTTAGTCACTGCTGGAATGTGGGGGTTGAAACAGAGTGAAGAATGACTTACAGGTTTCTAGCTTGAGCCAACTATGACATCTACTGAGGCAGGTTTCCCGAGCTGTAGGCCAAGGATTTGGTCTGAAAAGTTCATGCATGGGTTGGAGATGTACATTTGGATGTCATCAGCATATAGGAAAGGTAACTGAAGCCATGGGGGTGGATATGAGTACCCCTGTACCAAGGACTTATTAACCTTAGCACAGTACTAAGAGCTGTGAGAGAGGAAAGAAGGGGAACAGATGTTTCCGACATCACTCCTTCCAGGATGCTCTCCCACAATCTTCTATCCATCCCTGGCTGATGGAAATGACCCGTATGTATGGTCTGCTCTACCTCCTGCTTACCTCTATTACCGATGGAACTTATCACTTTATGTTATACTTTTTGGCTGAATTACCTCTTTACTATAGATTTTAAGTTCCTTGCAAGCAGGAAAAATTGCTCATGTCTTTTTACTCCTAGCCCACAGCAGCGTGGAGTGCAGTATGTGTTCAGTAAGCGGAGAAATGGTTCCTGTAATTAAGAGATGCAGCACAGTTCACACTGCATTTCCTCTAGTATCTCTCATTTTATAAACATTGTACTAGAGGAGGGAGAAGATTATATGTAAGATTTAACAAAAGTTCAGTTTTGGGAAACTTTTGAAAAGTACTCTACTTGCATTTAAAAATTGACATGTTCTTCAGAGATGGAGGCACCACATTAGTCAACTTTCAAACTATACTAAAAGGCTATTGTAACCAACACAGCATGGTATTGTTACAAAAACAGACATGTAGACCAATGGAACAGAATAGAGAACCCAGAAATAGGGCCACACACCTACAACAAACTGATATTTGACAAAGTTAAAAAAAAAAAAACAATGGGGATAAGACTCTTCAATAAATAGTGCTGGGAAAACTGGCTAAACATATGCAGAAGAATCAAACTGGACTCCTACCTATCATGATACATAATTATTAACTCAAGATAGATTAAAGACTTAAATGCAAGATCTCAGCTGGGCACAGTGGCCCACATCTGTAATCCCAGCACTCTGGGAGGCCGAGGTGGGCGGGTCACCTGAGGTCAAGAGTTTGAGACCAGCCTGGCCAACATGGCGAAACCCTGTCTCTAATAAAAATATAAAAATTAGCCGGGCGTGGTGGTACGTGCCTGTAATCCCAGCTACTCAGGAGGCCGAGGCAGGAGAATCACTTGAACCCAGGAGGCGGAGGTTGCAGTGAGCCGAGCTACTGCACTGAAGCCTGGCTGACAGAGGGAGACTCTGTCTCAAAAAAAAAAAAAAAAAAAAAAAAAAAAAAGTAAGATCTCAAACTATAAAAATCCTAGAATAAAATCTAGAAAATACCCTTCTAGACATCAGCCTTGGCAAGGAATTTATGACTAAGTCCTCTAAAGCAATTACAACAAAAACAAAAATTGACAAGTGGGACCTAATTAAACTGAAGAGCTTGTACACAGCAAAAGAAACTATCGAGAGAGTAAAGAGACAACCTACAGAATGAGAGAAAATATTTGTAAACTATGCATCTGACAAAGGACTAATACTGAGAATCTTTATCTAAGAACTTAAATAATTCAATAAAAAACACAAATAATACCATTATAAAGTGGGCAAAGGACATGAACAGACACTTCTCAAAAGATGACACACAATGGGCCAACAAACATTTTTAAATGTACAAACATCACTAATCATCAGAGAAATGCAACTCAAAACCACAATGAGAGACCATCTCACACCACTCAGAATGGCTATTACTGAAAAGTAAAAAAAAAAAAAAAACAACAACAGATGCTGGAGAGGCTGTGGAGCAAAGGAAATCCTTATACACTGTTGGTGGGAATGTAAATTACTTCGGCCACTGTAGAAAGCAGTTTGGAGATTTTGCAAAGACTAAAAATAGAACTACCATTCAACTCAGCAATCCCATTACTGAGTATATGTACAAAGGAAAATAAATTATTCTACCAGAAAGACATATGCACTCATATGTTTATTGCAGCACTATTTACAACAGCAAAGACAGGGAATCAACCTAGGTGCCCATCAATGGTGGATTGGATTTAAAATGTATAGTACATATACACCATGGAATACTACACAGCTGTAAAAAGTATGGAATCACATACTTTGCAGCAGCATGTATGCAGCTGGAGGTCATTATTCTAAGTGAATTAATGTAGAAACAGAAAACCAGTCTTGATGAGGTGGCTCAGGTCTGTAATCCCTGCACTTTGGGAGACTGAGACGGGACGATCACCTGAGGTCAGGAGTTCGAGACCAGCCTGGCCAACATGGTGAAATCCCATCTCTACTAAAATACAAAAAGTTACCTGGGCATGGTGACGTGTGCCTGTAATCCCAGCTACTTGAGAGGCTGGGGCAGGAGAATCACTTGAACCCAGGAGGCAGAGGTTGTAGTCAGCCGAGATCATGCCACTGCACTCCAGCCTGGGCAACAGAGCAAGGCTCCGTCTCCCCAATTCAAAAAAAAAGGAAACGAAACCAAACACCACACTTATAATGTTCTCACTTATATGTGGGAGCTAAATATTGGGTATACACAGACATAAAGACGGAAATAGTAGACACTGAGGACTCCAAAAAGGTCGGGGGAGGGAGGAGGGGGGTAAGGTTGAGAAACTACCTGTTGGGCACTATGTTCACTATTTGGGTGACAGGATCAATAGAAGCCCACACCTCAGCATCTTGTAATATATCCATGGAACAAACCTACACGTGTACCCCCTGAATCTTTCTTTTTTTTTTTTTTTTTTTTTTTTTGAGACAAAGCCTGGCTCTGTTGCCCAGGCTGGAGGGCACTGGCACCATCTCAGCTCACTGCAACCTCCGCCTCCCGGGTTCAAGCAATTTTCCTCCCTCAGCCTCCCGAGTAGCTGAGACTACAGGTGCCTGCCACCATGCCTGGCTAATTTTTGTATTTTTAGTAGAGACGGGGTTTTGCCATGTGGGCCAGGCTGGTCTCAAACTACTGACCTCAGGTGATCTGCCCACCTTGGCCTCCCAAAGTGCTGGGATAACAGTCATGATCCACCATGCCTGACTCCCTCTGAATTTTTTTTTTTTAAAGAGGCATGTTCTTAAAATGTGAAATTCTTTCTACTTGCCGTGAGGTCACTGGCCATAAGTACACAGGAGGAGACAGAATTCTACAAGTATATCATATTCTGGCTGATCTTTAGCAGCCTCCTCTTGTGCTCATGTAACACAAGCTCCCTTCGGTATCATCCTTAAGTTTGATCCCAAGAGTGGGGACTTATTAGCACTTATTTACTTATGATGCTGTGATGGTGTATAATTCAGGAGACTTACACAGGGCTGGTCTCTACTCACAAATGTGCCTGGATAGATGATAAATAAAACATTAAGAACAGGTAAGATTAAATATTTAACATTCCACTCAGACAGAAGATTAAGTAAATTAGAGCAGAGGAAAATGGAATGCCAAGGGAGTATAATGGAAAAAGAAAGGTGCTAGAGGGAAAGCAATGGCTAGCCTTTCATGAGTCTGGGAAAGATAAAGATATAATCTACCACACTGTTAAGGGAAGGGGAATATCAATCCATATGCTAGATGCCATGCTAAGTGCTTTATACATAGTGTCTCATTATTCACTATAATCTTCTGAAGTAGGAATCCTTATTCCCATTTTCCAGATAGTGTAGCTGAGGTTCAGGGAAGTAAAACATCAAGGTCTGATGACAACCAAGTATTTCCGAAGTCCAAAAGACCATACAAGGTAAGAATTATGCCTCTGGATAAAACTCCCAAAGGAAGATGGTCATTTTCATATTCACTTATGGTTATGGCCAGCTAATCTAAAGTCATTAATTTTACAGTGATGGGCCAGAGACAGCTTCTATCAGCTCATAAAAGCTGACTGTTAAACTTTCGGGAACTTTGCAACCCAATTTACTTCGCAATGGTAGTCTGAAATCAGTCATGGTGTGAATATTTACACCATGGGAATTGGCAAACGATGCAAACCAGGGCATCTTATTTTTTTGCTGAGAACTTGTCATTAAATATGTACCTGCACACTGCTACTTGAGAACCTTAGAGATGGAAGTAAGTAACTTTTATCTTGTTTGTCAAGTCCCATCCAAGTTCTATCTACTGATTTTAGTTGCCTGGAAGGCTGTGTTGAGAAGGATTCTGAGACTTTGTTTGTAGTTATCCACCACAAAGAACCTGCCAAAACTAAGAAGTAATGTCTATTATAGGTGGGGAGGGGAAGCAACAGTGACCATGCCATGTGCTTAACCATCAGGCCAATGCTCTAACTTCAGTCATGAAAAAACAGAGGCCCAGAGAGGCAAAGTGATTTGCCTGAAGCCACAGAATTAATTAGTGGCAGAGCTGAGACTAGGAACCAAGTAATTTGAGTCCTAGTCCACTGATCATTCCAGACAGCACAGAAACCACGTTGCTGAGGCTCTATTAATAATATTGAACAACACCGGAATGACAAAGATCCCTAAGCAAGAATGTTGTAGAGGACATACGAACATACAGAGAGGTGGACTAGAATGAACTCTGGTTCTTTCAGCCCTGGGGGTTTATGATGCTAGATTTCTAAGAACTCTATCTGTGTTCTGATGTGCCTTCTTCCTGACCACAGCAACTACTACCCACGTAAAGTGTGGGCTTTCAAAGATCTTACATGACTTAGCAACATCCTGACAACCACTACATTGTCAGTAGTTAAATCACAAGATATATAGATAATACTTCACAGGTAATTTCTCTAGAAAATATGCCAGTAGTATTGCCACAAATAAAAAAGAAAATTCACCAGAGTCTATTCCTATGAACCTTCAGCAGTAAGCTACCCCCAAACCATTTTTGTTCATTTCTTTTTAAACATTGTATTTTTTAACAATATGGCTCAAGAATTGAGGTATAAAATAGCAAACTGTAAGTCTTCCCTACCCTAACTCCAGCCATCCTATTCTGTTTTGTAGAGACAATCATTCTTATCTTGTGTTTCATTTCACAGATATTTTATGGATATGAGAGTGAATATATACAATGTCTTCCCCCTTTTAATACATATAGTAAAGCATCATAGTATATTAAATGCACTTTGCTTTATTCCACTTATATCTTGGAGCTTATTCTATATCCATATCTAAATAACTTCATTAGTTTTTATGAAAGATGCTTCCAACCTTGTGTGATAGAAAAAGTGTCATACCCTTATTTTTACATAAGTGTCTCATTTAAAATATCACAACTTGATGTCAGAGGAGGGCTATAAAACACAAACACCACTGAAATGCAAACATTACTTAAGGTCACACTGAGAAACTTTTAAGAGGACTTCATTTCTGCATTTATTTGGATTTCTTTATAAAAGGAAATGACATACAGTGGTTGCAGGTTAATAGGATAACAGTAAACCCTACTGAATCAAGTTTGGACAATTTTTTTTTCTAAATGAAGAGTAAATAACTGAAACTTTGGTCATGAAAGCACTCTGAAGGGCCTTCCTGTAGGAATAAGAAATTGTTACTTCAAATTATTTCTGTCCTATCTTTTTCCAAAAAAAGAGTCACGTTGCTTCCATGAATTTGTGTGTGGTGTCTGCATTCTGCTATGAGCTTCATGAGGTCAAGGATAACAGTTTGTTCATCTTTGTGTTCTCAGTACAGAATAGGACCTTAGTAACTTCTGTTGAATACATGAAATTCTATTGTGGAGAATTTTTCAGTCATCTCAGAACTAACTCAGTTTGCTACTCTCAAATATATACAAAGCAGACACAGTTCTGACCCGGTAAAATTTCCCCATAAGCTATGCTTTGGGAAAAAAAGTCTTAAAACCTTGTTGAGGATTTACTGGAGGTAAGAAGAAGGCCTAGAAGTAGGAAAGCCAGAAAGTGGTGGTGGAGTGATGGGATGAAGGCTAAGAAGAAATTGGATGGAGATTTATTTGAGCAAAGATCCCATTTATGCTCTTTAACCACAGCAGGTAAGCCACCATTCTTTGTCTATACTCAAGATCATTCCTATTTAGCGCAAATGCATCATGTCTATTATTCAATACAATTCTACAAATACGTACTGAGCATCTGTGGTGGGTATACAGTGGGAACTCAATAAATCGGTATCTGGGTCAATTTTAATCCTCATGTCATATTATCATCACTTCTGTACATGTCTGATTCACTAATAGCCTATAAGAATGATAAACAATCATGTTTTAATTATCTTTGCATTTTAATATGAAATGGGGTCTGCTGGGCATTCAAAGTCTAATCAATGAACAGAACAGGGAACCAAGCACCTCAAGCTGGGAATGGTTGTGGGAGGAGGAAAGTAATCAAGAGATGTTTCATATGAAAATAACAATATCTGCAATGAGCCTTAAAGGATGAACAATATTCCCAGAAACAGATTTTGGGGCCAAGATATGAAGCATGGAACAAAGGAAATAATATTCTGAACATAATGGAGAAGGCATCATTAAAGTGCACAGAGGTAGCAATATTCATGAAGTGTTTGGGAAACAACATACCATTGAATGTTTCTAGAGCCTACAGGGAGCCAGGAAAACATGAGAATGAAAAGGTAGGTTGAGTCCCAACCACAGTGGGACTTAAATGATGTACTAAATGGTTTGAACTTTGCCTTGAAAAACAATGGTGAGCCCCCCAAATTTTGAAAATAATAATACATTTAAAAAAATCAGGATTTAAGGGCAAGACAGCTGGGTTTATATCCTAAATTCTTAATAACTAGCAGTGTCACTTTGGATAAATCATTAAATTTCTTTGAATTTTAGTTTTTCCTCTAGAAGATGGATATAATACCTTACTAGATTGAATTGAAGAAGTGGATGTTAAAGACCTCTATAAACTGGCAAGTACAGCATAAATATTGTCATTATAATAATAAGCTGTGCTTTGGCAAAACATCTTACAAACTTGTTGGGAATTTGTTGTGGGTGACAGGAAGGCCTAGAAGTGGAAAAGTGGGAAAGTCGTGGTGGGCTGATCATTTGCTTGTGCAGATGAGGACAAAGCCCTATTACCCTCACCTGCAGACACAAGGACCTGACCTTGGACCCTTCCCTGAGCAAGATTCCGAGAAACGGATATACACACCAAACACTAGGCACTCTCGGGTCCACATTGTTTGATAAAATAAATCCTGGGTCAATAATCTCAATGGGATGACAAAAACAATTTCCTGTTGCAGGGCATTTACTGGTAGCATTGCATTTGCAGTCTTCCCAATCAGCAGTCCATTAAGCAGCCATCAAAAACACTAAGCCGCGGAAGGCTTTTTAAAAAAGACATTATGTGTAAGACATTAATAATAAGGAAAGCTGGGTGTGGGGTATATGGGAACTCTGTACCATCTTCT